>NC_000003.12:134008604-134311634 GCF_000001405.40 Homo sapiens
ATCCTGGCTTCTGTCCTCACCACCTCACCCTCAGGCCTACTCTTCCTACATGGCAAGGAGCCAATCAGATACATTTGCTTCTCCAGGATGTTTGGCCAAACCTTAGGGCTGAATTCCTACACTCTGAGCCAGCCCCTGGGAGTGGGCACCAGAAGAGCAGAGAGAGCAGATTCCTGGACAGAATCACTTCTTGATCTTCCCAGAAAGGAAAAGGCTCCACATTCTTGCCTCCCTTTAAGACTTCAAGTATTGTTATCTGACTTTGCCTCAATTTCTGGAAAGCCATGACTCAACTGTGACAACAGATGGAAAAATGCAGTGGGAACAGTGATGGCACTGCAGGGGTCAGTCCTTCTAGACAACCCCATCCTCTTGGCTGCAATCCCAGCTGCATCCTTGGTCCACCCTCAGGTAATCGGAGAAGAGCCACTTCCATCGTACATCACATTTTACATACCACAATGAGATGTCTTGGTATGCCTGCCAAAGGAAGCTGGGGCATGACCACAGACTGTAGGGCTTTTTAATGGATAGATTTTTCTAAGCATAAATACAGGACATGTTTACTGTAGAAAATGGAAAACACTGAAATTCACAAAGACAAAAAACAAAACCATTTATAGGTTTCACACACAGTATAGGTACGTGCCCTTCAAGTCTTCCTTCTCTGTATACTGTGATTTTGACAAATTTGGATCATCTCTACATGTGCTTATCCATCCTGCCTTCTTTACTTAACATTAGAGAATGAACTCTTCCCCCAAATTTCAACTATTTTCCATAAGACTTTTTAAAAAATGATTTGCATGTATTTTATAGATGGATGTCCCATGATTTATTTATTGACTCTCTGATTGCTGGATATACAAGTCACCTCCTCACTGTAAGTTTCTGAGAAGGTGAGTCATATGATAAAGCATTATGCAGCTGACTGGGTTTCCATTTATTCTTTCACTTAGAAATCAAGAGTTTAAGCCACTTGACTGCCCCACGCCCATGAAGGGCGTAAATGCTCATGTGCCATACAGCTGGAGTGTGCGTCTAGGCTTACAACCATGGGTTAGGGAATGCGCAAAGAAAGAGGAAACTGAGGAATGAAGACCTTCAGGACCACCACTGATGAATTTGGCTTGGGAAAATACAACAACAGATATAAATAGGCAGTTCTGGTGTGTCCATTGTTATAAAGCAATCAAATAGCAAAGTCTGGCTCAACAGTCTGTGGTTTGTGGTGAAGTACATAGAGAAAAAATCTTAAGACGGGGACTCCCAGAGAGCCCCAATTCCAGATCTGTCACTGTGGAATGTGGCAATTCCCATGGGCTGCCTCCCAATGTCCTCCACTATAAAATGTGGGCAATGCATACCTCACAGTATGGCAGGGAGGGTTTGGTCAGTGTTTCTGAAAGGACCTACCCTTGTCCATATTATCTCAGTAAATTTGGTACATAATGGGTGCTCCCAGGAAGAGGCCTCAAGTGTATTTGCATTCACAACTAAATATCCATACACCACCCTATGTTTTACCACATGTGTGTCCTAATGAAATGTGCCCATATTTGTGATAGTAGCTCAGAAAATTATAATTGCTGCTAAAAATGTGTTGGTGCTAAGGGTGGTGTATTAGTCCATTTCACACTGCTATAAAGATACTACCTGAGGCTTGGTAATTTATAAACAAAAGGGGTTTAATTGACTCAAAGTTCCACATGACTGGGGAGGCCTCAGGAAACTTACAATCATGGCGGATGGTGAAGGGGAGGCAAGGCATATCTTCATAAGGCAGCAGGAGAGAGAGAGAGGGAGAGAGAGCAAGAGTGAGAGTGCAAAGGGGAAACTGCCAAACACCTCAAAAGCATCAGATCTCGGCCGGGCGCGGTGGCTCACGCCTGTAATCCCAGCACTTTGGGAGGCCAAGGTGGGCGGATCACAAGGTCAGGACTTCAAGACCAGCCTGACCAACATGGTTAAACCCTGTCTCTACTAAAAAAACGCAAAAATTAGCTGGGCATGGTGGCACGCACCTGTAATTCCAGCTACTCAAGGGGCTGAGGCAGAAGAATCGCTTGAACCTGGGAGGCAGAGGTTGCAGTGAGCTGAGATCACAGCACTGCACTCCAGCCTGGTGACAGAGTGAGACTCTGTCCAAAAAAAAAAAAAAAAAAAAGCACCAGATCTCCTGAGAACTCACTCACTATCACAAAAACAGCATGGGGGAAACTGCCCCCATGATCCAATCACCTCCCACCAGGTCCCTCCTCGGACATGTGGGGCTTACAATTCATGATGAGATCTGGGTGGGGACACAGAGTCAAACCATATCAGGTGGGAATTCTAAATATTTGTGATTTTAAGGCAATCAAAACAGGCTTGACTAATGCCCAACCCCAGTCCTTATAAATTTTACACATTTACACATTAAATTTTGTCTGTTTTTTTTGTTTGTTTGTTTTTTGTTTTTGAGATGGAGTCTCGCTCTGCTGTTGCCCAGGCTGGAGTGCAATGGCGCGATCTCGGCTCACTGCAACCTCCGCCTCCTGGGTTCAAGCAGCTCTCCTGCCTCAGCCTCCCAAGTAGCTGGGATTACAGGTGTGCACCACCATGCCCAGCTAATTTTTGTATCTTTAGTAGAGACGGGGTTTCACCATATTGGCTAGGCTGGTCTTGAACTCCTGACCTTGTGATCCGCCCACCTTGGTCTCCCAAAGTGCTGGAATTACAGGCGTGAGCCACTGTGCCCAGCCTACACATTAAATTTACACATGGATTCAGTGGGCCCATGATGTGGGAGTCCTGGGACTCTGAGGACTGAAGAAGAAGGAGGCTTGAGCTGCTGTGAGGACGATCTCAGCTGTGCGGAAGGCAGCGTCCTGATATCAAGGGCAATTTGAAAATGAAATTGGCAACCACAGCCCTGTGAGTTCACTTTCCAAGTCAGGGACACGTTCCAGAGGTGGAGTAGTTGCCATATACAAGGCTGGTTCTTCATTAACTTGGACCTGCCACATACCACCCTGCGGGGTGCAGCCCTGGAGCACAGGCTGGGACCCATAAGACCCGTTCCCACTAGCACTGGGTGAGATGCCCTGTGTGAGGGGTCTCTGTTAGCCCTCTGGCAATGAAGCCAGGGAATGTTGTCTCCAGTGAGCCCCTTTTCTACTTCCTCCAGAGAGATGTTGTCCTTTTAGAGGCTGGAGGGTGAAGTCAATGACCTGTCTAGGATACTCCATGAAAGCTTCCAAAGTTGCTGAGCAGTGAGAGCTGGGGTGTGAGAACAGAGGGAGGCGGGGGTAAGAAGGAGGAGTGTGAGAGATGACGTGGGCACAGATCTGGGGGCTGATGAGGGCATCACAAACTTGCAAGGCCTAGTGCAGGGGGCATCATGGGAGGGTCTCTGCTGGGCCACTTTCCAGCTGCTGCCACAAAGCCTGAGACACTCACATGAGTGGTGACCAGGCTCCTGTCAGTGACCAGAACCAGCAATGAAACCTTTGTGATCTGGGACATCAGGAGTTGGGGGCCACACATGTCCCAGCAACGCCCACCTTCAGAGCCTAGTTTGGCTTTCAGAGGAGGGTGGCACTGACTACCTGGTTTTCTATTTCAACCCTGCTGAGCAGTCCACAGTTAGAGGGGCTTCTGGGAGAGGGGAGACAGTATTGTACTAGAAACAGTGAAGCAAGTGACCAGGAAGTAATGGGTTCTGCTAGCTTCAAGCTTCACTCTGGGGAACACACATGGAAGGGCAGGTAAAGATTTCAGCTCCACACAGGAGAAACCTGGTACATGCCTGGGGTGCTACAATGTTCTGGGTCTGCCTTGTGCTACAGTGAGCTCCCCATCAGAACTCTGCAAGCAGAGGCAAGGACATCAAGAGGATTCCTGCGTCTTTGAGCAGATGAGCTTTCTCATCACTGTCTAGTCTGAAAGTCAATAATTCCATAAGCCAGGAAGCACCATCTTTCAATAGCTCAGCTTTATCAACATTTATATAGATTCTATACAATAAGATGTTGAAAAACACTGTAAAAAATCATGGCCAGTAATGAAGGTGGGAAGCTAGGTGGGAGGACTTCTACATAGAAACCAGAGAGGGAAATGAGCTCCACCGCTGTGCAGAAGCCCAGCAACTGCCATCCTGGCTGTCACTTGCCTGCTCTCTGGGAGCCCCCATTTCTTCTCCCCATAGGTCCCTAAGGTTCATTTCCACTCTTGGACACCATCCCTGACTCTCCTCGGCACTTCCCCTGCACCACAGTCAGAAGGTGCATGTTTGTTCTTGTAAAATGTCATAGCAAGGGAGGCAGTGAGGTGACCAACTCGTTCCAATTTGCCCACAACTTTCCCAGTTTCAAAACTGAAAGTCTGGTGTCTTAACCCCCTCAGTCCTGGGCAAATGAAGACATTTGGTCACCTTGGGAGGCAGGGAACTTATAGGCAATTTTTTCTTGGAAACTTGGGAGACTTTCAGGGAGCCAAGTATAAACAGCAACACCTAGTAAAGAGCTTCACCCAGTAGATATTCAATAAATGCTTACAAAGTAGACACTCAATAGATGTTTACAGTAGACACTCAATAAATGCTCACTGAGTGAGTGAGGTCCTAGCTCCATATCAGTCTCAGCTCCCAGACACATACCCCAAATACACTGTAAATCAAAGTTACAGGAGGAAGTTTTCAAAAGGGCCTGTGGCACAAGTGAAGAATGACTTATAAAACAGTTTGAGAAACAGATCAGTTTAATCCTATTCTGCAATCTCTTTGGCAGCCAAACGAGCAGCAGGAGTGTGACTCTGGAAGCCTGCTTTCTCCCCACCCTTCCCTTCCACTGCTGTCCCTTTGCCCCCCACCAACAGGGCCTCATTGTGCTCTCTAGCTGGTTCTGTCTGACGGTGTCCCATGGGGCCCGGCCCAGGAATTTTCTGATGTCCACACCTCACACACTTGTCCCACTTAAATTGTCTAGGTACCATTCCCTCTGCACCTGACAAGCTGGGTGGGTAAGTCAACCAGATAAACTAGTTCCAATGTGAGGTCTGCCTGTGTTGTATTTCCCAAACTCAATTCACTCCACCTGGGAGTCCATATCTGGGAGAGCCAAGTTAGACACACACATCTTCCTAGAGCATCAATGTTACTCCAAGGTTTGGAGAGAAATATGACATATTATTTGGAAACACATAGATTGTGGAGGACAATATATCATTCATTTGATTTTAAGATTAAAGTATAAAAATATATCAAAGAAATGTAATACTCAGGAGTCAGGCCACATCCCCAGACATCTCCCCTCACGCACCTTGTCCTACCCCTACATGGAAACTTCTTCATTCCCTTCTAGAATTCAGGGCCTCTTGGTGGGGCAGTTTGATAAACAGTAGCTCAAGGTAGCCCTCTCTGATAACACAGGCATTTTAACTGAGGCTGTCTGTGCTCTAGGCCAGCATTTCTCAAGGGTGTTGGATGGAGCAGTTTTTAGACATAAACAAGTATGACTGATGTTTGGGTAAACAAAATGAAACTTGTCATCAGGACTCTCAGGTTCCTACAGGATTCCAGTAGTTTGCCACATTTCTGAAGGTAGGGGTCTGCCCTGTTCGGGGGTGGGAGACAGTGCCAAATGCTGACCAGACTGAGTGTTCCGAAGGTCACAAGTCCTGGGGTTACTGCTCTGGCTGTGCCTGAGCCTCCAGTGTATCCATGTGAGCCTCCATAGCTTTTCCCTTCAGCAGGGCAAAGAGGCTGGAAAGACAGGCTCAGGAAGAGAGCTGCTGGCTGCAGAGTATCATCCCATCCTTCAACCCCTCAGTGCAGTCTCAGACTTCCTGCCTGGGTTTCATCTCCACCCCTGGGCAAATTTAATCCATCCCAAACAGTAAGACACACCCAGGGAATTAAGGTCCTCTCAACTGAAAGGGCTGGGGATTACTCAAAGACAATGCGGGTGCTTTCGCCAGGTTTCATAACAGGTCTCCTAGAAGAGTCCAGACCTAACTGGCCCTGCTCCTAGTCTCATCTCAATCAGCAACTTAACATCATGAGATAAGAATCTGAGAGTCTGAAAGGACCTCAGAGATCACTGAGCTCAGGCCCAAATGCTGGTGGATGAGAGAATCCAGAGCTGAGAGATGTTCCGTGGTCACGGGAAGAAGAAGAGTGAGATGACCAGGTGGGAATCCCTGCTTTGCCAGTTACTGGATATGTGGCATTGGATGAGCCTTGGTTTCCTCAACTGTGACATGGAGACGTTGATACCTCTCTTGCAGGGCTGTCATTAAGATTAGAAAAAATTTAGGAACATAGACTTGAAAATCAACTTCAAGGGAAAAAACATACCAATCAGCTAAGGGCAGAAGAAAAGCTGGAGCACATAAATACATAAGATCCCCTCACTTACCAAAAGCAAGCGTTAAACCTGTCCTTAAATCTTCCTAAAAGCCAGAATAGAAGAAAAACTGAACAGGTAATAAAATTTGGTATCCATAAGATAAACACATACCATTGCCCAATAAAACCAAGCTTTTATCCAACTTCAGGACTTGCTCTACATTATTCACAATAGCGAAGATATGGAATCAACCTCAGCATCCATCAGTGGATGAATAGGTAAGGAAAAATGTGGCATGTATACATATGGAATATTATTCAGCCTTTTAAAAGGGGGAAATCTTGTCAGTTGCTGCAACATGGATAAATCTAGAGGACATTATGCTAAGTGAAATAAGACAGGCACAGAAAGACAAATACCTCATGATCTGACTTAAATGCAGAATCTAATAAAGCTGAACTCATAGAAGTAAAAAGTAGAATGATGGTTACAGAGGCTGGGGGTGGGGTGGGAGGGGGGAAATGGGGAGTGGTTGATCCAAGGTACAAAGTTTCAGAGAGATGGGAGGAATAGATTTTGAGATCTGTTGCATAGCAGAGTGACTATAGTCAACAATAATGTAATATATATTTCAAAACAATAGTAAATTTCCAATGTCTCACCATAAAAAATGATAGATAAGCGAGGTCAAGATACATTAATTAGCTTGATTTAATCACGCCACATTGCACAGATTAAAACGTCACATTGTACTCCATAATGTATACAATTATGCCAATCAAAAACTTGTCAATCAAAAATAATAAATTTTTAAAGAAAATAAAGATGGATGGGCTCATCAAATAAAAATAAAGACTTGCTCTAGCTTCAGTAATGAAGACAGACTGGTATCAGCAGAAACAACGAAACAAAATAAAAAACCCAGAATAGATCCACACAAGTACAGCCAACTGATCTTTGACAAAGGTGCAATGGCAACTCAATAAAGGATAGTCTTTTCAAAAAAATGGTGGAGAAACAACTGGATAGCAATAGGTAAAAAAACAAAACAAAACAAAACAAACAAAAAAAACACCTTAACCTAAACCTTACATCCATTCAATTAACTCAAAATAGAAAATAAGTTTAAATGTAAATGAGAAAACTTTTAGAATGAAATATAGAAGAAATCATTCGGAAACTAAGGTTTGGTGAAGAGTTCTTAGACATGACACCAAAAGCAGGATCCAGAAAATTGAAAATTGATAAATTAAAATTCATCAAAATTAAACATTTTCTCTGTAAAATACCTTGTTAAGAGGATGAAAAAATAAGCTATAGTCTAGAAGAAAATCATTTCAGACTGCATACCCCACAAGAGACTTGTGCCTAACATATATAAAGAACTCTCAAAATGCAACTGTTAAAAAAAAAAGATTACAATTAGAAGATGGGCAAAATATAGGAAAAAACATTCCAATGAAGAGGAAATACAAACAGTAAATAAACACATGAAAAGATGTTCAATATTACGAGCCATTAGGGAAATGCAAAACAAGACCATGATGAGGTGTCACTATTCATATCTATTAGAATCGCTAAAATAAAAATTTGTAACAATACCAAATACTGATGAGGTGTCACAGCAACTGGGTCTCTCACATATGGCTGGTGAAAATGTAAACTGGTGTGATCACTCCAGAAAACAGTTCAGCAGTTTTTTAAAAAATATCTCACCATGCAACTAACATATAACCCAGCAAACACACTTGAGCATTTACCCTAGAGAAATGAAAATGTCCACACAAAACCTTTACACAATTGTTCATAACAGATTTATTTGTAATAGCCCCCAACTGGAAACAACCCAAATGTCCTTCAATAAGTGAACGTTTAAACAAATTATGGTACGGTCATACCATGGAATATTACTCAGCAATAAAAAGGAACAAACTATTGATACACAAAACAACTTGGATGGATCTCAAGGGCATAATGCTGAATGAAAAAAGCCAATCTCAAAAGGTCACAGATTGTATGATTCCATTTATATAACATTGTCAAAGTGACAAGATTATACAGGTGGAGGACAGATTAGTGGTTACCAGGGGTTAGAGATGGTAGTCACGGAAGCAAGGGGACGTGACTATAAACGGGTCAGCACAGGAGAAATCCTCGTGGTGATGGAATAGTTCTGTATCTTGAAGTGGTGGGGCGGTGGTTACACAAATCTTCATGTGTGATGCAATGGCACAGAACTATACACACACTTGATAGCAATGTCAATGTTCTGCTTTTGATATTATACTGAAATTATATAAGATGCAACCACTGGCAGAAACTAGGTGAAGGCTACACAGGACCTGTAAGCACTATTTTTCCTATGAATCTGTAATTGCTATAAAATAAAAAGTTTTTTTTCAATTCTAAATCAATCATTTTGTCTGGCACTAGGAACTCAGCTGACTTTCTCTATGGTGGCTCATGAGGCCCCAGATTCCGCAGTGATAACCATCCACGTTGATCCTCCAGGATACAGACAGGTGCAGATTCACACAGCTGTGTCTTCATGTCCTTCCTCAACAGAAACAGAATGGGATGGCCAAGCACATGTTAGTGAACTTAACTTCAGAACAGGGGCCAAACTAGCCTGGCCCTGTGCAGGCTTCCTGATGGGCTCATTTGCCCTGGGAGTATCCCTGGCTGCTTAGTTCCACCATCACTGGCTCTCAGGCTCTGGCACATAAATGGTCTGAAGGCCAGCGCCGCCACAGGCAGAAAGGGGCTTGAAGTGAGTGCTGGGGCTGGTTAAAGACATGGAGCAGGATAAAACTAAGTGGGGGTTGAGAAGAGGGAGAATGAAGAGGGGCGAGGCCAGGGGACCCCCTCCATTCCTCTGCATACACCCTGGTCTATTACACAAGCAAGACAAAAGAAGGCAAAGGGAAGCCACGTGCACATCTCAACGTTCCAACATCACTTCTGGATCTCTCAGAATGGAAAAAACAGGTAGTCACTGTCACAACAAAAGACAGTGATCAGAAAGAGGTGAGGTGAAATGAGCTATCTATACTGCGAAACATACAACACTCTTCCATTTGTTCCATGTGAGTACCACCAGAAGACAAACTGAAAGCTAAGGAGGGCTTTCAGCATCATCCAGGAAGAGGAGGTCTGAGCGACCCATGGCCCACCTGATCCTACCCGTTCCCGTTGTTCTCTCTTCCTTTCTCCCTACAAGCAGGGGAAGCAGGCCTCTCAGGAGGCAGATGCTTAGGAACAGAACAATGTTGTCTTCAATGTTAGAGAAACACCACCCCTGGGGAGGAGTGGGCATATCTTAACTCACTGGGTGGGTAAAGGAATTCTTGGGTTCAGGGGATTTTCTTGAGAGTGTTTTCCTGAGCATGAATCTGGTTGCTGGGATAGAGCACTTTGCTCTGGAAACTGATTAGTTAAGCAAGCCCAAGATGCCTCCCCATTGCTGGGGGTCAGAAGCCTCAGGAAGTGATGGACATAGGCCAAGACAAAGTAATTCTCCCCCCATTTTTTGGTCCTCCCAGGCCAGAAGTCACCAGGGCCACCGAAGCCAAGCTGTGAGGTTTGCCTTTCCCTTCTTCCCACTATTCTCCAGCCCTCAGTCTCCACCGGGATGTTCCCTCACTGATTGGATATACATTACTTCACTACTGGAGCTCTGGGTGTGTGATTTCCTGAAATTTGGCAGCAGTCATCAACCACTCCTTCTATAAGATAACCTCAGTTTGGTCCCAAGGGCAAGTTTTATTTTAAGGAGAAACAGAACTTCCTGAAGCCGCCAGGATAAGTCAGCTGCAAAAGCTGCCTCCCACCCCCACCCTCAGGATTACTAAATGAACCTGTTTAATTTAGCATTCTGGACACCAAATGCTGAACAGTGATTGTGGAGCAGATCTCTGCTTCTTAAGATTCCTGTAAGCTAGAGGCAACAGAGACTCTAGATTAAATCTGGTTTACTACTGCAGGAGCAGGCACATAAAACCCACCTGAAAGCTGCCACATTCTGGAGATGAGAGTTATGAAGAGGGAAAGGGTATCAGCCCGTTAGCCACTGGGAGCATCCACCTGAAGCCACTGCTGCTCCCCTTGGTCACAGCTGGGATGTATGTGTCAACAGGGCCCAGAGAAACCACTGGCCACTGGGAATAAGCACACCCCTGCTAAACCAGTGTTAAACAGCATAGTGTTGATGGTGAGGGCCAGCTTGAACAGGGGTTTGGGTCTTTGACTCTGAAGTCTCACATACCTGGTTCCTCTATAGTCCACCCCTTTCTGGTTATGTGAACAATTTCACAATGCCTTGTTTTCCTCATTATTAATGAGGACAATAATAGTATCCACCTGATAGGGTTGTAATGAGGATTAAATATAGATAAAGTACTTCCATAGTTCCTGGTACATTCATACAGCTCAAATACTGTTAGCCACTATTACTATTATTTTAATCATCATTATTATTATTAAATGTGGTTTTTCTTAACTAATAACTATGCCTCACGGAATTGGTGGAACAATTGTTCCTAAATGTTTGAATGTGAACAAATCCTATTTGTTGAAGCAAGAATTGATCTCAGATGGGTACTGATCCTGACAGCACAGCATGGTTTACAAAGCCTTTTTCCTATGCCTCATTCCACATAATCCTTTTTGAGCCCCATGAGCTGGATATTGGTCAATTACCAGCTCTTGCAGGTAAGGACGCTGAGGCCCTGAAAAGGTGAGAAATGCTTCCCTGCATCATCCCATTAGCAGGTGGCTGGGATGGGACCTTAAATCTGAGTCTTCTGGCTTTATCCGCTTCCCCTAAACTATATGGTATGTGGGTTTTTGCAGGAATGTCCAAAGTGGATTGGTTAGTCTGTCCAGCAACAAGGAACCTAGACAAATGACAGACCCTCTGGTTGAGTTTCCGCTGTTCCCACTAAGGGAGGAGACCACCCCTCATATTGTCTTATGCCCAATTTCTGCCTCCAAAGAAAGAAAAAGTAAAAACTAAAAGGCAGAAATGAAATCCACAAGCAGACAGCCCGGCACCATACCCTAGGCCTGGTCGTTAAAGATCGACCCCTGACCTAATCGGTTATGTTATCTGTAGATTACAGACATTGTATAGAAAAGCACTGTGAAAATCCCTATCCTGTTTTGTTCCGATCTAATTACCGGTGCATGCAGCCCCCAGTCACGCACCCCCTGCTTGCTCAATGGATCATGACCCGCTCATGTGCACCCCCTTAGAGTTGTGAGCCCTTAAAAAGGACAGGAATTGCTCACTTAGCGAGCTCGGCTCTTAAGACAGGAGTCTTGCCGATGCCCCCAGCCAAATAAACCCCTTCCTTCTTCAACTCGGTGTCTGAGGAGTTTTGTCTGCGGCTCATTCTGCTACATTTCTTGGTTCCCTGACCGGGAAGCGAGGTGATTGGCGGATGGTCGAGGCAGCTCCTTAGGCGGCTTAAGCCTGCCCTGTGCAACATCTCGGCGGGGGACTCCAACTAGCCCAAGCAACGCAGATCCTGAGAGCGCTCAGGGGTAGGCATTTGCCCCAGTGGGACGCCTTGCCAGGGCAGTGTGTGGCAGGCCCCCATAGAGGAGCAACGCAGTGGCTGAACACCAGGAAGGTTTTCACCGGTCTGGACATCTAAAACTTAGTAAGACTAGTCTTTAAAACTTGCCCACTCCGTTTGAGTGGAAGCGTGGCCTGATCACCCATGGCGTGCCTTTATCGGCACTTTGGTTTTGGTTTTGGTTTTGACTTGGTTTGAATTGCTTGACAGGACTGGTCTTGAGAACTTGCCCACTCCATTTGAGTGGAAGCTTGGCCTGATCACGCATGGTGTGCCTTTATCGGCACTTTGGTTTTGGTTTTGACTTGGTTTGAATTGCTTGACAGGACTGGTCGTGAGAACTTGCCCACTCCATTTGAGTGGAAGCTTGGCCTGATCACCCATGGTGTGCCTTTATCGGCACTTTGGTTTGGTTTTGACTTGATTTGAATTGCTTGACAGGATTGGTCTTGGGAACTTGCCCACTCCATTTGAGTGGAAGCGTGGCCTCATCACCCACGGCATGCCTGTACCGGCACTTTGGTTTTTGTTTTTGACTTGACTTGGATTGCTTGATACTTTGGTTTTGGTTTTGACCTGGCTTGGATTTCTGGATACTCTGATTTTGGTTTTGATTTTGCTTTGGTGCAAACTGCAAAAGTGTGTGCGTGCCCTTTTTACCTGTTCTTTGGTTTGTGGTGTGCATGTGGTATGAGCGTGTTTTGTCTCGAAGAAGCATAGGTCAGGCACAAATAAGCCCACCCTACTAGGAACTATGTTGAAAAATTTCAAAAAAGAATTTAAAGGAGACTATGGAGTACTGTGACACTAGGAAAACTTAAAACTTTGTGTAAGATAGACTGGCCAGCATTAGAGGTAAGTTGGCCATTAGAAGGAAGCCTGGACAGGTCCCTTGTTTCAAAGGTGTGGCCCAAGGTAACCTGTAAGCCAGGGAATGCAGACCAGTTCCTGTACATAGACACTTGGTTACAGCTGGTTTTAGACCCCCCGCCCCCAACACACAGTGGTTGAGAGAACAGCAGCATAAGTGGCTGGCAGAGGCAAGGAAAGACCAGCAGAGAGAGAGAAAGGAAAGAGAGAAGAAAAGAGGCAAAGAGAGAGGAAGAGACAGACAAAGAGGGAGTCAAGGAGAGAGAGAGAGAAAGAGAAAGGCAGTGAAAGAGAAGAAGAGACAGAGGCAAAAGGAAAGTCAAAGAGAGAGAGACAAAGTCAAAGAGAGAAAGAAAGAGAGAGATATACAAGTAGTTAAGAAAAAAAAAGTGTACCCTATAAAAGCCAAGGTAAATTTAAAACCTATAATTGATAATTGAAGGTATTCTCTGTAACCTATCACACTCCAATACCACTTTGTTGTCAGTGTAAACAAGGGCGTATCCTGAAAGCACTGAGGCCTTCCTATAAAAAATCCTTAACCCAGTAACCCGCAGATGGCCCAAATGCATTCAATCTGTAGCTGCAACTGCTTTGCTAACAAAAAAAAAAAAGTAAAAAAAAAACTTTTAGAGGAAACCTCATTGTGAGCACACCTCACCAGTTCAGAAGTATCCTAAAGGAAAAAAAAAAAAAGAAAAAAAGAGGAGGGGCGGAATTTATGTAAAAAGAGTATTATATGGTAAATTCTTGTCCTGAAATAAATTAACTAGTTGTTTAAAGAAAGAAATATTTGTAATAAGTCAAAAAGTTGAGGCATGTCGAAGAATTATCTGCGAAAGTCATGAAAGAAAAAAGTTATAAAAAAGAATTTATGCAAAAAATGTGGTGTAATTTAAAAGTAACTAGGCCTCCTGAATTTAAAACTATTAAAAAACAGTTTGTATGCAAGGTGTATAAGAAAAGTAAAATATACCTTTGGTAAAAAGATTATAAGGAGGCATAAGAATGTACATTTTTACCTACATTAAAAAGTTAAAAAAAATTATTGTTTTGAAGGTTTAAGCAAGTTTTAAAACGTTAATTATAAAGAAAATTCTGTGTGTAAACATATTAGCTAAAGTTAAAGAAGTATCATCCAGTTTTTCTGTGAACTGGACATTAAAGTAAAAGCATAACAGGTTTTTCTTAAAGCACCAACCTGCTCTTTAGCAAAAATTATAAAAGGTTAAAAAGAGTCTATAAAATCTTACCTTATGGTCAAACATTAAAAATTAGATAAATATGTCTAGAAGGTTTTATTAAAATTAGGTTTAACATTAATAACACACTAATATAAAGGTAAAATTTAGCTTATCTGGTGTAAAAATCATATGAGAAGCACTGTTAAATGCAAAATGGTATTTGGCTTTCTTTGGTTTAAAAACTAATAAAAATAGGTGCTAAAGGAAATTTCTCAGTAAAAAGGCACTAAGGACTATAAAGTCCACTGTCCAGGTCCCCACAGTTAAAACAAAAGGTCGATGTCTTAAAAATTATATACTTGGTTTATCTTCCACTTTCCTTTCTCTCAAAAACTAAGTCTTTTAGCACATGTACCACCCCTAGAATTTCCAGTAAACCAGCACCAGCCTGAAGATCACGTTCTCATCAAAGGGTGGAAAGAAGAAAAACTCAAGCCAGCCTGGGAAGGACCCTACCTTGTGCTGCTAACCAACAAGACTGCTGTTCATACAGCAAAACAAACAAACAAACAAACAAACAAACAAACAAAAGAATGGACTCATTACACCCGAGTCAAGAAAGCGCCACCCCCTCCAGAATTGTGGGCCATAGTCCCAGGGGAAAACCCTATCAAACTAAAGCTAAGAAAAATTTAACTCTTTTAATCTATTCTATTACTCTTTCTTCTTTCCTCATTCTATTGCTGACCATCTAGTTATTAACATAACCAAGTCAATTTCTCCTCAAACTATTGCATTTAATGCTTGCCTTGCTATACCCTGTGAGGACTTGCCAAGTCAAAGACAGCTTTCTGCTTTAGAAAAGTACTTCTGTCCCTCCTGACTCTCCTCAGACTGGGCATTAGTAAAGTAGGACCATTTAATCTGGGGAGATTTCAATAAAGACCCCAGTGCCAACCAGAAGTCTTGCCCCCCGATGTAGAGCTTTCATGCCATAGTTGGTCCAATGTTCTGTGGACCACTAAAGAGCAAGGATGGACTGCCCCAACCAGTTTTTGTAATTTCCTAAAATCATACATTCATTTTACTAGAGGATCATGGAAGTTAAAGACTTAAAACAAACTTTAGCAATTTGAGACAGGATACCAAGATGCAAATGCTTGGTTAAAATGGATCAAATATTCCATCTGCACGTTAAACAAAAGCAATTGTTATGCTTGTGCACATGGCAGGTCAGAGGCCCAGACTGTCCCCTTTCCACTAAGGTGGTCCTCCAGTTGACCAGGTGTAGGCTGCATGGCTCTTTTCCAGGATTCTACAGCCTGGAGTAATAAGTCATGCCAAGCTCTCTCTGCTATATCCCAAAGTCTGGCACCCTGCGGGTCAGCCCCCAAAGGCCATCCAGCCTCCGTTTCCCAACACTAAGTCACTTCATGTCTCTCATGACAGGGAGGAAACTTAGTGTTCCTTGGAGACCTGAAAGGATGCAGTTAGCTTAAGAATTTTCAAGAGCTTATCAATCAGTCAGCCCTTGTTCATCCCCGAGCAGATGTGTGGTGGTATTGTGGTGGACCTTTACTGGGCACTCTGCTGAATAAATGGAGTGGCACTTGTACTTTAGTCCAATTGGCTATCCCTTTCACCCTGGCATTTCATCAACCAGAAGGAGAAAAATAAGACATCGTAAAGCGAGAGAAGCCCCTTATAGGTCTTTCGACTCTCATGTCTGTTTAGACACAATTGGAGTCCCATGACGAATACCATATCAATTTAAAGCTTGAAATCAAATAGCTGCAGGATTTGAGTCAATATTTTTGTGGGTGACAGTTAACAAAAATGTAGATTAGATAAACTACATCTATTACAACCAACAGCAACGAGCTTTTCATGAGTTAAAAGAAAAACTCATGTTGGCCCCAGACCTGAGGCTACATGACCTGGCAAAACTCTTTACACTCTATGTGTCAGAAAGAGAAAAAATGGCAGTTGGAGTTTTAACCCAGACTGTGGGGCTCTGGCCAAGGCCAGTGGCCTGTCTCTCAAAACAACTAGACGGGGTTTCCAAAGCCTGGCCCCCAGGTTTAAGGGCCCTAGCAGCAACAAGGGCCTTCTTGTCCTGTTAGCACAAGAAGCAGATAAACTAACCCTTAGGCAAAACCTGAATATAAACGCTCCCCATGCTGTGGTAACTTTAATGACTACCAAAGGACATCATTAGTTAACAAATGCTAGATTAACCAAGTACCAAAGCTTGCTATGTGAAAATCCCCACATAACCATTGAAGTTTGCAACACCCTAAACCCCACCACCTTGCTCCCAGTATCAGAGAGCCCAGTTGAACATAACTGTGTAGAGGTGTTGGACTCAGTTTATTCTAACAGGCCCAACCTCCGAGACCATCCTTAAACATCAGTAGACTGTGAGCAGTATGTGGACGGGAGCAGCTTTGCCAACCCCTGCAAAGTGACTCTGAAGAAGACGACAAGCCCTGCTCTAGTCACACCCGGAAGCTGACTGGTCCATGCACGGCCGAAGCATGAGAAAACTCATTGCGGGACTCATTTTCCTTAAAATTTGCATTTTTACAATAAGGACTTCAACTGACCTTCCTCAGACTGAGGACTATTCCCAGTGTATACATCAAGTCACTGAGGTAGGACAAAAGGTTGCTACGGTCCTATTATTTTATGGTTATTATAAGCGTACTGGAACTCTAAAAAGAACTTGTTGTATAATATAATTCTATACAAGGTATGTAGCCCAGGAAATGACCAACCTGATGTGTGTTATGACCCATCTGAGCCTCCCATGACCACAGTTTTTAAAATTAGATTGAGGACTGAGGACTGGTGAGGGCTCACAAATGATATGAGTAAAGTGCTAGCCAAAACAGAAGAAAAAGGGGTGCCCAAACGAGTCATCTTAAAATTTGATGCCTGTGCTGTCATTAATAGTAATAAGTTAGGAATAAGCTGTGGTTCTCTTAATTAGAAAAGAGGCTATATAGCAGAAAATAAGTACATCTGTCATAAATTAAGACTGTGTGGAAAGAAATGTAAATACTGGTCTTGTGTCATTTAGGCCACTTCGATAAAAAAAAAATGAAAAAGATCCAGTCCACCTTCAGAAAGGAAAAAATGGCCCTTCCTGTACTAAGGGACAATGTAACCCCTTAGAGCTAGTAATAACCAATCCCCTTGATCCTCGCTGGAAAAAAGAGGAGCGTGTGACCTTAGGAATCAATGGGGCTGGACTGGATCCTCGAGTAAATATCTTGGTTTGAAGAGAAGTTTACAAACGCTCTCCTAAGCCAGTGTTTCAAACTTTCTATGATGAACTAAATGTGCCAGTACCAGAAATTCCAGGAAAAACAAGAAATTTGTTTTTGCAATTAGCTGAGCATGTTCTCTCAATGTCACTTCATGTTATGTATGTGGAGGAACTGTAATAAGAGATCAATGACCATGGGAAGCCCGAGAATTAGTACCTACAGACCCAGTTCCTGATGAATTCCCAGCTCAGAAGAATCACCCTGATAATTTCTAGGTCCTAAAAGCCTCAATTATTGGACAATATTGCATAGCTAGAGAAGGAAAAGAATTTACTCACCCCATAGGACGACTTCTTTGTCTAGGACAGAAACTTATAATGGTATCACAAAAACAGTCATTTGGTGGAGTTCTAATCACACAGAGAGAAATCCATTTAGTAAATTCCCAAAGTTGCAAACCGTGTGGACCCACCCGGAGTCCCACCGGGACTAGACAGCCCCCACTGGATTATACTAGATACGTAGGCATAGAGCTTACGCCAAATTACCTGACCAGTAGGCAGGTAGTTTTGTTATTGGCACTATTAAACCATCTTTTTCCTACTGCCCATAAAAACAGGCGAACTCCTGGGCTTCCCTGTCTATGCTTCCCGCGAAAAGAGAAGCATAGCTATAGGAAATTGAAAAAATGATAAATGGCCCCCTGAGAAAATCATACAATATTATAGGCCTGCTAGGCACAAGACGGCTTGTGAGGATACCAGACCCCCATTTACGTGATCAACTGAATCATACGGTTACAAGCTGTCTTAAAAATAATCACTAATAAAACCGGCAGAGCCTTGACTATTCTGGCCCAGCAAGAAACTCAGATGAGAAATGCTACCTATCAAAATAGATTAGCTCTTGACTACTTGCTAGCAGCTGAAGGAGAGGTCTGTAGGAAATTTAACCTTTCTAATTGCTGCCTACATATAGATAATCAAGGGCAAGTAGTTGAAGACACAGTTAAGAGATATGACAAAACTGGCACATGTGCCTGTGCAAGTGTGGCATGGATTTGATCCTGGGGCCATGTTTAGAAAATGGTTCCCAGCGCTAAGAGAATTTAAAACTCTAATAATAAGAGTTATAATAGTAATAGGAACCTGCTTACTGCTCCCTTGTTTGCTACCTATACTTCTTCAAATGATAAAAAGCTTCATCGCTACCTTAGTTCACCAAAAAGGTTCAGCACAAGTGTACTATATGAATCACTATCGATCTGTCTTGCAAGAAGACACAGGTAGTAAAAATGAAAGTGAGAACTCCCACTATTGAGTGAGAATCTCAAAGGAGGGGAATAAGGGAGGAGACCACCCCTCATATTGTCTTATGCCCAATTTCTGCCTCCAAAGAAAGAAAAAGTAAAAACTAAAAGGCAGAAATGAAATCCACAAGCAGACAGCCCGGAGCCGCACCCTAGCGCTGGTAGTTAAAGATCGACCCCTGACCTAATCGGTTATGTTATCTATAGATTACAGACATTGTACAGAAAAGCACTGTGAAAATCCCTATTCTGTTTTGTTCCGATCTAATTACTGGTGCATGCAGCCCCCAGTCACGTACCCACTGTTTGCTCAATCGATCACGACCCTCTCAGGTGCACCCCCTTAGAGTTGTGAGCCCTTAAAAAGGACAGGAATTGCTCACTCGGGGAGCTCAGCTCTTGAGACAGCAGTCTTGCTGATGCCCCCGGCTGAATAAACCCCTTCCTTCTTTAACTCAGTGTCTGAGGAGTTTTGTCTGTGGCTCGTCCTGCTACACCACCATGTCATACATGTCCCAAGATATGTGCAACCCATCCCCCACTGCAAAGTGGCAGGGCTATTACAAGCACTCTCATTGGGAGGAAATATCCCTTCAAATAGCAGAGCTCCCAGTTATTGCCCCAGGAGGGAAAGGTGCAAGTGACTTTAACTGATGGAATTTGAGATTCAAGATTTACCTTAAGCTATCCAACCTCGTACCTGGTTTCAGGCTGATAAGTGGAGTTAAATGGAAGTCCTCCAAACTCTGGTCTTGCAATTAGTATGGATCAAAGGAGGTGATGACTAACAGAATCTCATTTTTAGAGTCAAGAAAAACTCTTAGCCAGTATGAGTACTTAACTCCTTTAGGAGGCCAATTGGCCTGAGCCCAGCCCTCAGGTACGTGTGGTTAAATCATCAACACATGAGAAATCATCTTATTTATATAGATCTCCAAATAAATTGCTGCCATAAACATTTATTTTAGGGAACCAGGGTGGGTCTAAACGGATCAGTCTCATTCAGCTGTACCCTCACTGTCAGGAATCTGTTCTGGACACCCGTCCCTCCTGCCCTTCTTGGTGAAAATGAAGTGAGGTTGCCCCACCCTGGTTCCTGCAGAGGCCCCTTTCTTTACACCATCTAATCCTAGTCCCTACCCTTTCATCTCAATTCCTAATTTATAAATACCAAAGGTTCCAAAATTCCTGATGAAATTTCTCCAAAATGGTGGAACCAAAACTGCGCACAACATTTCCATCCAGGTCTGGCCAAAAATGAGGAGATTTGGAGATTATTTTAAGCTATCTCAAAATTTCTGTTGCTTATCCATATACAACTACAAAATCAATTCAGCCTGTATTTATTGCGGTGCGGAAAGAGCAGAAGCAGGAGTGGAGATCCCAGCTGAGTAAGTATGCAGGTGAGATCCACTCTGACCTCCAGATCCCTTTCTGTTGGACACATATAACCAGTCCACGGACACCCCCATCATCCCTTTGTGTAATCTGGCTTCCCCTTAATTGCACCACCGGAGGCTTTACTCAGTCCCATCTGACTGTATGTTTGTGGGAAACAACCTCTCTACACCATGATCCCACCCTGACCAGAAGGGGCCTTGATGCAGTCTCTGCAGTCTCCCACATCCTCACCGCAGCAGCTTTGGCCTCTCAGGAGGTATCTTCCATTGTTACTTCTGCCTAGGCAGAACGGGCAAAAGAGCCCGAGTGCGGATTGAACCATTCCAGGTCCTCCTGGACCTGTGAGGGAGTGGAAAGCATTTCCGACCCCATGGGAAAGGTGCTCTCATCCTAACAGCTGCCAACACCCTATCTTCTCACCCGCTCCCCATAACTTGCCTGGTGAGTGGACCTGCTTAGACCTTACTGAACCGTGAGAGCTGTGACCTTCCTGGGGCCATTTCCAGACCAGGGAAGCCAATCTGAGCACGCGGGTTGGTTGCCAGCCTGGGGAAGCCGCCCGCTGAGAGGGAATTCTAAACATAACTGCGAGCGGCACAGCCAGGTAGCAGAGCCCCCCGCCCCCGTTGGCGGGAGAAGAAAGCCTGGGGAAGGAGAACATCCCTTAGGCCACCCACCCCAGGACGAGGGGGCTCGGACGAGACACAGTCTGTCCCCCAAAGCGCGGGGGGTCCCCCTGGCACCTCCAAGCCCATCCCATTGACGAAGTAACCGCCCGCTGGAGGCCGAAAAAGCGTTCCTCGAGATGATCTTTTTCAATCATCGAGGACAATTCTCTCGCTTATAACTCTGCCTGGAGTTGTCCGAGTAAGCGGTAAGCAGGTACTTCCACTGTCCCATTACTTAGTCCGATGAAGGCGTGTGAACACACACACACACACTCGCACGCACACACACACGCTCACACACACACACGCTCACACACACACTCGCACACACACGCCCAGCACGCGTCGCCCGGGGATGAGATCGGAGCGCGGCACAGGAGGGAGCCCGGGGCTCCCGGAGCCTCCTGGCTCCGGCAGACAGAAGCGGGTGCCCAGCCGAAGGTGCGCCAGGCGCGGCTCCGGCCCGGAAGACCCCGCGGACTCCGCTCACCTTAATGTTGCCGAAGACCGAGCGGGCACAGCGGCCGGCTCGGCTAGTAGAGGTGTCGCTGCCCTGGGACGCGCCGAGCTTGGGCAGGAGCCCCATGGCTGCGGGCGGCTGGCCGGGCGCGGAGTGGCGCGGGGTCGGGGCGCCTCGGGCTGGAGCGGCCGGGCGGGTGAGAGGCGACCGCGGCGGCAGTGGCCGGAGGAGATTCGCGGAGCGGAGACTGAGCCAGCGAGTGCGCGCCTAGAAGTTTTTATAAGTGGCCGCCGCCGATGATGAAACGCGCTCTCCCTCCTCCCTCTTTTCCTCGGGTGTCAAAGGCGCTACGAGCCCCCGCCCCGCCGCCGCCGCCGCCGCCGCCCCCTCAGACAGGTGTGACGCCGCAGCGACCCGCGAGGCTTGACTGCCCCGAGAAGATCCCGCCTGCCGGGAGGCGGAGAGGGAGGGAAGGAGGTGGCGGGCCCGGGGAGGGGAGGTGAGGGCTGTGCGGGGGCAGGAGGTTGCAAGGGGGTGGAGGTTCCTGGGGACTGGCGAAGAGAGGGTGGGCGAAGCGAAGGTGGGTGAGTGGAGGGGATGGAGAAAGAGGTTGGCAGGGCTGGGGGGCAGGAAGGCTGGGATATGAGGGTGCCCGAGGCGGGCGCTGGAGGGGCCAACGTGAGCCGGGGGTGGAGGGGAGCCCCAGCACCCCTCCCGACGTTCTTGGGGAGATTTACGGAGCCAGTCTCTGCTTGTTTGCACTCGCAGAAAACCTGGGCCCTCAGTTCCGGTGATGGCTCTGAGACTCGCTGCAGCTCTGTTTGTGTTGAGGACTGATTTATATTTAAACTGCTCTTTGCGCTGGAGAGGGGGCTGGGTAACAAGGTGAAAAGGTGGGGGCTGGGCCCGAAGTCTCTGGACCTGAGCCAAGGTAAACTGCAGGGGCTGTCAAGTGTCAGCATGGCTGGGTCTGGCCTGGGGTGCTGGGGGGAGGGGTAGAGGGGGTGGGGGGGGTGTGGACAAACAGGACGCACCCCACTGACCTCCTTCTCAGTGCTGGAATGAATAGTGGGTTTATTTTTTCCCCAAGATTTTCTACTAACAGGATTCCAAGCGCCGAGAAGAGACAGTGAGGCTTCTCAAGGGAAGGATAAGAAGGTTCTTCCAAAAGCAGCTGCAGTGAGGAATCCAGCTCTGGAGGCATTTTTCCAGCTCCCTCACTTCTGTAGTCCCGTGCAGAGGGAACCTCTCCAAGCCCACCCCAAACCCAGGAAAAGATGCCGTCAATATCCAGGAGGCTTTGGCTAAGACAAAGGCCACAGGATAGATAGACCACATAGGCTTCTTATTCTACCCAAGACCTGATACCTTTCTGGGCCTGGTCTGGCCTGGCCTGGGCTTGGGGGCTTCTATCCACCTGCGACCCAAGTTCCCTGGACACGGCAGCATTCCAAAGATGTTGAACAGTGGGCAGCCTCTGGCCTCTTCACTCAGCCACAGAGCGAGGTACATCCTGACAGGCTTTCCACAGCACTGTAGCAGCCCCAGCCCCAGCCCCAGAGGAGGCATGAATTCCAGGTCCCATCTGTCCACTGGGAGAACATGGCACACAAGGACAGGTACCAGCATGGAGCACTTGGTGTGTGCTGGGCATACCAGGCCCTCTGCTGAGCACCCACATGCATGATTTCATGAAGCCCCAACGTTAGCCCTACAGGTATAGGTACTGATGGAGTCTGGACTCCACAAACAAGGATGCTAGAGCAGTCGGCTAAGAAAGCTGTCTGAAAGCCACACAGCTAGCAAGTGGTGGAGCTGGACCCTGAATTCAGCCTTGTCTGACTCCTAAGCCCAGACTTGAAGCACTATGCCTTCTGATAAGTTGTCTAGTCCAACAGCCCCATTTTGCAAGTTGAACCAAACAGGGACCAGAAAACCCCCAGGCCAAGGTCACAGACACCTTAGGGCTACCATGCCTGGAGCTTCTTTCTCAAACCCTGAGGCCTCACTGTGATCCTCTGGTAGAACCCCTGGGAGGATCAGCCTCTCCAGCCCTCACCTAGTCCTGTTCCATTAACCTGGCCCTCTGCCTCCCGTCAGCGCCAGCATCATCTCCAAAGGAAAAGCCTATTCAGAAATGCTCACAGATGCTTATCTTCCTTCATTGACCTTTACTGGGTGGAGTTCAGCTAAATGTAATGGAGAGCCAACCAAAATGACTTAAATGAGATTTATTTGTCTCTCAATAATTAGAAGTCTGCTAGTAGGTAGTCCAGGGGTCATGACCTAGGCCCTTCAAGATTCCTTAGCCTGTGGTTCCCATCCCTGTGGCTGGCTCATTGTCACAAGATGGCTGCTCCATCTCCAGCCTCCTCTCCTAATTCCAGGAAAGATGTGGAAGACAGGAAACAGGAAGGGGCCATGCTTACATCAAGGGAGCAAATCTCTCCCTTGCGTGCACAGTTGCTTTTACTTAAGTCTTCTTGGCCAAACCTGGGTCACATAGCTACCCCCTGCAAAGGATGCTAAGAAGTGTAATTAACACTATTGCTGTCCTCTGAACAAAATTGGGGTTTTATTAGGGAAAAAGGGAGAAATAATATTGTGTTTTACATTTTCAACACCTACACATGGAGTAACCCATTTCCTTTCAAGAGCACTCCTAGAGTCGGTCTCCCAGACTTTCCATCCTTAAATTTCAGTAAATATTTCCTAGCACTGAAAAAATACAAAAAATAGGCTGGGCACGGTGGCTCATGCCTCTAATCCCAGCACTTGAGGAGGCTGAGGCGGGCGGATCACTTGAGGTCAGGAGATTGAGACCATCCCGGCCAACATGGTGAAACCCCTTCTCTACTAAAAATACAAAATTAGCCAGGCATGGTGGCAGGTGTCTGTAGTCCCAGCTGCTTGGGAGGCTGAAGCAGGAGAATTGCTTGAACCTGGGAGGCAGAGGCTGCAGTGAGCCAAGGTCGTGCCAGTGCACTCCAGCCTGGGCTACAGAGCAAGACTCTGTCTCAAATAAATAAATAAATAAATAAATAAATAAATAAATAAATAAATAAATTTTAAAAAAAGCTAAACCACAAGAACATCTCCTGACCTCAAAGACTCTATGGTCTCAGGGTGGGAAACAAGAAGAGAAAGTGTGGCTGTGATGTAGGAAGAAAGCTATTGTGCACAGCTGCTATGGGAGCATAGAAGTGGAGCCCTAATGCACCTTGGACAGCAGGAAGACTTCTAGGAGGAGGCGACTGTCAAGCTGAGCCCTAAGAACTAGTAGGATTGAGAGGATTAGGGTAAAGAGGGTAAACCTACTCCATGGTTTCAGTCTGGCTGGAGCTCAAGACCAAGCGCAGTGGGTATGTGTGTGTGAAGCAAAGAGGCTGGGAGTTTAGGTTTTCTCCCCAGCACAATGGGGAGCCGTTAAAGGCTTCTAACCAAGGGTGACCTGGGCTAATTTGCATTTCACATGGACCTCTCTGGCAGCCAGAGTGGAATTAGGTAGTCTGTGGAAGGAATCCCAGGAGCTATGATAAAAGCTGGCATGGCAGCAGTGGGATGGTGGTAGGAAGGAGAGAAAAGCTTAAGAAATGTCAAAGCGAGGTGGCACCCACATATCAGTGAGAGGAGAGATGTTAGTGATGACTCCCAGGATCTGGCTTGGGCAACTAGCGTTGGTGATGCCCACTCCTGACAGAGGGGGCCCAGAAGGAGCAGTCACTATTGAAGGAAGCCAGTGAGTATCCTGGTCACATTTGAAATTCAAATTTCCCAGACTATACCCAAGTAAAGATCTTCAGGAGTCAGATGGGTATATGGGTCCAGCACTCAGGGTGGACACTGGGCTAGAGATATGGGCTTGGAAATCCCACGTGGAGGTGGTGGTTAAGCCTCAAGAAGGGATGAGTCTCCTAGGGAGACTGTGTTGATGAGAAGTAGGTCCAGGATGGGCCACAGCAATATCAAGGTGGCACAAGGGACGGAGCCAGAGTGGAGGAAAGTAAACCAGGGGAGGAGGTGTTGATAGAGCTGAGGGTACTCTTTCAAAATGGAGGAGGGCGGGCACATGGCCAGGCTGCTGGGGAGGCAAGAGAAGGCCTGAGGAGTGGCCACCAGGCTGGCAACGCTGGCATTGAGGAACTTGGCAAGAGTGTCTGCAGTGGGTGATGTGGGCAGGAGGAACTGGATAGGAGAAAATGCAAATAGAACCCATCGACAACTTTCTCAAGGTTGCGGAGGGAAGGAAAAAGACAGGGAGCAGCTGAGCAGCTACGGGCTCTCCTGTCTGCCTGAATTGTCTCCAGCTGTCTTGGGCCTCCTCCTGGGGCAGTTAAATTCATTCCCACCTCTGGTTTTTGCTCATGCTATTCCCCTGCCTGCACTGCCAGCCTCACAATGCTTGGATTCTACTCTTCAAGGAGTGGTTCACATTATTATTACACGAACTTGTAGTCAGACAAAATTGCTGACTACCTTCGATAGCTTGCTTAACCCATTGGATCTGCGGTGACTTCTCTTCGTGATGAGCTGTTATGAAGTGCATATGAGATGATGCATGGAATGCCTGGAGCATAGTGAGGTCTCAATGCTGGGAAGCTGCTCTTGCTGTGGGGGTTGGTGGTTTGATGTTAGTAAACTGTGCTCTAGGTCTCTTCCTTCAACTCAGCTGTGGGCTCTTCAAGGGCAAAGGTTCTGTGTCAACTCTCTTTATATCCCCCATTTGACCTAACATATCCCATTGCTCAAAAATGTTTATTAAGTGCTATTAAGCAGAAATAAATTCTAAAAGGGCCCTCGTGACTGGAAAAGGCCTCATTGCTCCTAGACCTCCATGCCATTGTTCTCTCTGCCCAAACCCCGCTCCTTCTGCCCCCTGAAGGCCTCTGGGTTGTCTCTGGGTCTCAGCCTTGTCTCTTCTCACCACTGGCTGGCCATGAACTTGGTGGGCCACACTGCCCACTCCTGCAGCAGCTGATGAAGCTTCCTTGGCAATTTAGATACCCAAGTGTGATCATGGATTAACTCTCAACAGTGACTGCCTCTCCTGAGTCAGAGGCCATGTTTGCAGCAAGTGCTCCACTGCTTTGTCACTGTCACTGGTGGGGCAGCCTGTTCCTCTGCAAGTCACCCTGACCACTATTTTATATTTTAACAGTGCCAACAGTCTGTGCCAGGTTCTAATACAAGGTTGATTCTTTTTTGTTTTGTTTTGTTTTGTTTTTGAGATGGAGTCTCGCTCTGTTGCCCAGGCTGGAGTGTAGTGGTGCCATATCGGCTCCCTGGAACCTCCACCTCCTAGGTTCAAAAGATTCTCCTGCCTCAGCCTCCCAAGTAGCTGGGATTACAGGCGCCTGCCACCACACCCGGCTAATTTTTTTGTATTTTTAGTAGAGATGGGGTTTCACCATGTTGGCCAGGCTTGTCTCAAACTCCTGACCTCAAGGGTTCCACCCTCCTCGACCTCTCAAAGCACTGGGATTGCGGGCGTGAGTCACCGCGCCCTGCCAAGGTTGATTCTTTTAATCCTCAAAACCACCAAATGAGGAAGGTTATTTTCATTAGTTCCATTTTACGTGAATTTCAGCAAATACTTCCTAGCACTGAGAAAATACAAAAAAAAAAAAAAAAAACCTAAAAAACAAAACAATTAGCCACAAGAACATCTCCTGACCTCAAAAACTCTACGGTCTCAGAATGGAAAACAAAAAGAGAAAACGTGGCTGTGATGTAGGAAGAAAGCTGTTGCGCATAGCTGCTATGGGAGCATGGAAGAGGGGCCCTAATTCACCTTGGGCAGCAGGAAGACTTCCTGGAGGAGGAGATTGTCAAGCGGGGCCCTAAGAACTAGTAGGACTGAGAAGATTAAGATTAGAAACTGAGGCATAGAGAGGTAAAATAACTTGGTCAGGCCACATGTGTAGTAAGTGACAGAGCCAGGATTAAAGCCCAGGCAGCCCAGGTACAGAATCCAAGCTGCTGGGAAACTCTTGCTCAAAGGGACTGAGCCACAACATGTGGGCTGACCAAGTCCACCGCCCACCCACAGCATGACCCTTCAGGGTCAGAAGCCTACTTTAGTGCCTTGCCCATCCCTGCCCCCTTGGAAAGCCCTCCCTTTTTCTTCCCAGGGATGCCATCTCAGGAATCGAGGCCACACCCAGCCTGGTGAGTTCTCCCTAAATGAAGGCCTGAGCACAGACTGGGGTCACTGGTGGGCCCTCACTAGATCCAGCCCCGAGAACCTCTTTTCTGCTCTTGCTGACTGCACATTCCATTCCTCCAGCATGGCTTTCCACGGCACATACTGCGTGCCATTCTACCTCCCACCCCCTCTTCCCGCTCAGGACATGAGGCAGACTTTGCCCTCCTGCCCCCACCTGAGAAAATGCAGTGTGGCAAGGGAGGGGCACCACAGCACCAGAGTGTCCTCCTGGGACCCCAGCTGCTCTGCATTTTCCCTGGGGTCTACCCTCTGTGCACAGCGCCTGGCACACGACGATGGGGTTTCCATTGTCTTCCATGAATGACTCGCTCAAAGCCTGGTCTGGCTGTCTGTTCCACTTCCTGGTCTCACCCAGTAGAAGACATTCTGTGCTTTTGGGGGAACATGAGAAACCCCAATAGGCCTCACCGTGCACCCCTTCCCTGTCTGGTCCCTCAGCAGCCTCCTCCCTGGGGGAGGGAGCCCCAGCCTGGCCCCGTCTGCAGACCAACCAACTAGATTCAGGTCATACCCTCCCCCAAGGGGTGTTTATCACAGCCCGTGTGCCTACTCATCAGCACTGCTGTGTGATAACCAGCCACTCTTGGGGAGCAGGGATTCCATCTCTGCTTCTGGAACCTGCATGTATAGTGCAACACATGTTCAGTGAGCACCTATAATGTCCTCAGTCCTGTGCCGGGCTGGTGACCCAGAGGATCCTGCCATCTTGATGTTGCCGAACAAATAGAGAACCAGACTTTGTCTCTCTGCCTTGATGCTTGTTTTTAAACTGCCTGCTAATTTTTATATTATACTCTTTCAAAAATAACTGTGTTTTGACTCTACTGGGGGAGATAGAATATTTGTTTCATTCACCTATCATTCCATACCACTACTTAAATTTTACTGAATTTTCTACTTTTTCCAGTTTTTCCCATAAACATGTTTTTACCAAGAAAAATCATGGTATGCCATTAGTATCCTACCTTTTACAGTAAACATTGTTCTGTGTTGAGAGGAGCTCTTCACCATCTCTTGAATGGCTACATGGGCAGCCATGGGCAACCAGGAATTATTAAAAGATTTAAACCCTCTGCTGGTGTTGAAAGTTAAGGCTGCCTCTAACTTTCATCCTTCACAAATAGTGACTTGATGGATAACATTTTGCAAATAGTTCTTTGCCTTAGGACTGACTGACAGTGGTATAATTACTAAGCCCCATGGGTGTGAACACTTCTAGATATTTTTCTCTATGGCATTGAAACTATTTCCTCATGCTGCATTTCCATCCCTTAGGCCCCTTCTTCCTTACAGTGACACCTCTCCTGGCCTGTATAGAGCAAGGGGAGCACTCCAAGGAGAATGGCATGACAATACCAGCTGTAGAGCTCCACCCCACTCCCTCCCCACAGACCTTGGGCACTCCCCGGGGCTTCCTTGTCTCCAGCAGTCCAGACAAACCTCATGAGCTCTGAGAGCCTCGTCGCCTTCACCACCCTGGCCAACCTGGGGCTCACCCAAGGATGCAGTGGAGTGTGGCTGCCTTGACCCAGCACCCCCCCCACCCCCAGTTCTGGAGAAGGAACTCAGCACCCAGGGTTATAGGCCAGAGACCTTATGTGGGTGCCTTCCCAGCAAGAACTGGATTCCTCACCGGCATAACCGAAGTGTTGGATTTTAGGTCCAAAGCCAGGCTGTTCTCTTGGTCTATCCCAGCACTGTCGGCTTATTAGCTATGTGACCTCAGGCAAGTCACCTAACTTCTTCTCTGTGCAGTGCTTAATTCACAGAGGTGTTTGTGAGGAGTGAATTGGTCTCACAGCCCTCAATAATGGCCACCATTATTACTATCATATTTTTCTTCTGAATTTAGCAGTGCTTCCCTCATGGTCCCCTGTTCCCTCCCCAGTTGTTCCTCACTTTTCTCTACAGGAGGCCCTGCTTTCTCTGGGGCCTGGGTGGCTCTACAGTTAGTATAGTATATACAGCTCATGGGAAGAGGCTCAGGACCCTGCTCTCCCATCTCCTCCCTGAAACTTTCCTGCTATGCACATCTGAGACAAGCTGGGAGTCCCAGTGCCAGCCCTGGAACTCCCTCCCTCTGCCTTTGGAGCCTAAACCCTGGGAGCTGTCAAGAGGCTGCAGCAGGACACACACACACACACACACACACACACACACACACACACACGCACACACACAGGCACACATAGGCACACACATGCACACATACACACAGGCACAAACATGCACATGCACACACACATGCACACACAGGCGTGAGCACACACACACAGGCACATGCACGCACATACACAGGCACACACACAGGTACACATGCACATACACACAGGCAATACACACAGGCACACGCGCACACACAGGCGCACACGCACACAGGCATACGCATGCACATGCACACGCATACACACACACACACTTGGCAGGCAGGCTTCCTTAATGCTGTCTTGGCATTTCCTGGTGAGAAGTGCTCTCCTTGTGTCCTCACCTTGCTCATAGCAGGGTCAGCCCGTGGAAGCTCTAATGAAGAGGTTCCCTGCACATCCTTATTTGTTTTCTGGATTCCCCACAATGCCTGTATCACTTGTATGATCACTCTGGGGCTCGTGTACCCTGCTCTGGGTCCAGCCCCTGGTCTGGGCCCATGCTCCCACCTGCCCTGACCTCACTTCTGGGAGGGATCTCTTTTTTCCTCAGTCTTGCTTCTAGGGCCCTTTCTCTCCCCTCTCTTTATTTGCCCAGGTCTGTGGCTTCCTCATTTATTGAAAGGCCCCAGGCTCCCGATTTCCTGCCTTCCTGCACCTCCACAGAGCCCAAGGAATACATATTGAGCCCTGTTTTTCTCTCACCTGGGAAAGGGAGCGGGTGCCCTGCATTGCCATGCACACGCCCTCTCTGCACTGTTTGGACTGACCCCATATCAGGTAGATTGTGAGCCTTCAGGGCAGGGACCAAGTACAAACACAAGTGCAGATAGCAGGATGCCACCACCGGAGACACAGCAGGGCTGATCTGTCAGAAGAGCTTGCCTCTCCCCACCACTCCTGCGCGAGGGGCTGATGGGAGATGCATGTAGTGCATACCTTATTTCCCAATTGAACAAAGAAAGTGCCAAGAGCACTGGGGGTGGGCAGCGGCTCCTGGGTCCTGGACCACAGCCTCTTCCTGTGCTTGAGCCCCTGCCCTAGGCCAGCCTGTCTCTCCCACGCAGCGTCAGTTCTCCCTTCTCTGCTGTAAACATCAGGGCCAATAAAAGCTCAATGAGACCCTTTACCTGGGCCCTGGTCTGCAACACACCCTGGGCCCAATATGGTGCTCTGAGTCACCTGGTGAGGTCACTAGAAGTCAGGCCTCCTCCCTGTTCATGGTCACAGGGAGGGAGTGCCTGGAGGTGTGGCTCCATTGCAGGGCACTCAGGAAGAGAATGCTCATTGCTTCCCTGTGCAGGCAGCAGGCTAGGAGGCCGAGGAGAGTGACCAGGGAGGACTCTGACCTGAGGACAGTAAGCCTATGGCTCTCTCACACCAGGGTGTGGAGACTAAATGCACGCAGGGGCTCCTGGCCTCACCGGCTCTAGGAACCTCTCTCCAGCGACAGTAGTAGGAATGATGGTCAGCAAGGTAGACCTCTGCTGTTTACTCCTCTCCAAGTCTATCCCTCTTCTCGTAAAAGTTCCCTGACCTTCCTTCAGGGTCCCAGCCCTCCCTACTCTCAGGTTCTGAGGCCTAGGTAAGCTGACACTCACTGGGGCAGGAGGGCATGGGGCCTAGGCCTGACCACTTGGGCCCCCTGCTGGAGCGACCAGGACAGTGTGCTCTCTCCTAGGGCCAGGGTCAGGGCAGAGGGCCTCCTCCCTCAGTGTCAAGGTCTAGGGAGCAGTGGGGAGAATCTGCCCCAGGATGTGGCCACCGAAGGAACAGGAGTGTGGGCCAGAGGTCATCGGGGCCCATGGCCACATCCTTCAGGCTCTAAGTCTCAATGGGCATTGCATCTGGTCTTTGCAGTTCTGTGAGCCAATAAATTCTTTTTATAGTTTAAGTTTTGTTGAACTGGATTTCCTGTTGCTGGCATCTGAAGAGTTCTATTGAATCCAATAAACCAAGTTTTCAACAACACCGGGCAATTCACACAGCAGCCTCAGAGCCAGCATCTCACTTAACCCCTGCAGCTACCATGGGAAGTGGGTCCGGTTGTTGTAATCTATGTTTCAAAGAACAGGAACTAAGCCTTGGTTATTAAGGGCTCCCAGGTCCCTGTGAAAGGTTAGTGTGACCTGGCACCCCCACTGTGAGAGGTCATTGTGACCTGGCACCTGGGACTTCTGAATACAGACCTTGTCTTCCTGCTGGGTCTCAAGGAGCTACTGTCCCTGCTGGGATCAGGCCCTGGTGGCTAAGAAGGTACTCAGGATGGAGGTGGGACTACCCAGCACCTTGGGGAGATGGTGGATCTGCCATCCCAGTTGACTCTGCCTTTGGGGGGATTCTTCCCAGTCGAACTTGGCTCGTCTGTAAGGTTTCGTGGGGAGGGTCACACTAAGGGCATTGGAAGGGACATTTTCATCAGGCCAGTGCAGTGGATAACCCACATTTTAAGATTCCCCTGCTGATCAGCCACCTTCCGGCACTGCTTTTCTCCTGCTGGCCTTATGAGCAAAAATTATGGTCCATGGAATTGTAATAGGCTAAGTCTTTGGACAAAAACTACTTAGGGTAATCTTAAACTTTGTTGGCAAAAATGGGGGCTCCTTTGAAACTCCAAACTTGCCTATTTGCGTGCACAATTGGAACAAAGAAAATACTGAGCCTCCCAGAGAAAATGGAAAGGAAGCCTAATTCTCAGTTGGCCCTTCGAAAGTTCTAAATTGAATCAAGAGGCTACCATTGCCTCCCTTAGAGAAATAATTCCCAACTGAATGAGTGCCTTAATGAAACAGAAAGAGATAGTGCTTGCAAGATTGAAATTAAAACTGTTAAAACACCTTTGAAAGACCCTTATTCCACTAGCCCCCTTGCCCACCTCTGCCTGACTTCTGCACCTTTTTCACCGTCTCTGGTCTATTGTTCACTCCCTCCTTCCTCTTTCACTCTTTCAGCTGGTTATCTTGAAAAGGTTCCTACATTTTCTCTAGGCTCATCTGCATGTTTCTTTGTAACATTGTGTGATAAATTCCTATGATTTATGTCACCTTGGCATGCATTTTAATCCTCCTCTAGCACACCCAAACTCCTTCTTGAGAAAACTTAAATTCTCTCTGTGCTTGAGATACAAATTTATACGCTGTTTTATCTGAAATTCGGTAAAGGCTTTGGCCACGGGGGACAGATAAATTTCAGCCTATTACATTTACAGAAACACAGTTTTGAATCCAACTGTCCTTTTAAACTAGTGAGTTTTAAAATTAAGCTGTAAAATCTTTGCGCCTTTTTGTATTTTTGTGTATATATGTGTAAACATATCTGTTTGTATATTGTCTATGCCACCAAATTGGTTTATAAATGAATGGGTACTCGTAAATTAAGCAAATAAGCCCAAATGCTTTTCAAGTTCATGTAACTTAGTAGTCTTTTGGTGGGTGGGACTAGTCTAATATTGTTGGTTTGGTGGGAATCACTATGTCTTCTGAGTTATTAGAAAAATATGCATGTATTTAACTTTAGGGTTCTTGCTTTTATGATACTTGCCTGGCATGCAATAATGTAAATTTTGCTGATGAAAAAATTTAGCTTAAGATGGTAGCTAGATTTGTCTAGTGTGTCATGAAGTTTTCCAAATATAATTTTTAAAAGCGAATGAATTGGATGGATATAAATGAAATAAAAGTTCATAAATGAATTGTGGATAATGGTTATGTTTTATATGTTTACTTAAGAAGATTTCTCAAATGTCTTTAGTAATGATATCCTTAGGGTTTGCTAAGCTAAATTAAATGATGGATATACATTGAATGTCTAGATCATTTTCAGATAAGATGTAATGCTGAGACATTTACTGCTGAATATTATGGGTTTAGGTTCATATACTTTTGGCTTCTTATTTCTGAGAAACGTAAGTGGATCTTCTAGTAAAAATATCCTGTTCCATATTAAAGAGTCGGTTCTGTTAGAAAGCATGTGTTCCTGGAAATTGTAAAATGTATATTCTTGGATTGTTGGTACATGATTGATAGTTAAAAGCTGCTTGCTTTCTAGGTTTTTACCGAAAATTAGGGTCACCAAGAGTTAACATTGTAATTAATGTATGTGATTAAACCACTATTGATGAGAAAGACTATTCTGTGTGCAAGCGTATAAGGAGGGTAAGATGTATATTTGGTAAGAAAGAGAAAAGACAAGAAAAGAAAAAAGAAAAAGAAAAAGAAAAGAAAAGAAAAGAAAATAATTTATGTGAGAAAAAATCTTGGGTGGTAAATTTCCATTCTAGATTAAATGACTGATTATTCATGAAAGAGGAAGTATGGGACAAACCAGAAAGTCCAAGCATGTTGTTAATGATCTAAGTGAATCATGATAATGTTGTGAAAAGACAATTTATAAAAGGAATTTTCTGTGTGATCAAGTGAGTTACAATTGGAAGGAACTTGTGTATGAGCCTTTCTAGAGATCGAACTTTGATGTTAAAAACACACTAATACAGAACTTAAAATGTTGGTCCCCTATGTTAGAACAATGAGGTGTTTCATAAAATGTTGATTTGCTTTTAATAAAATTGTAAGAAGTTTTGATTTTTGGTTCTGAAATCAGTTTCTTAGCAGTAATCCTCTAAACTACAAACAGTTTCTATTTCTGCCACATTTCTTCCTGAGCTCTATCAAATTTCCCTAGTTTCAGGTTGGAAATGCAACTCTCCTTTCTACCCTTGAAAAGGTCTATCTTTTTGCTTGGCTGGGTTGATTACCCTCTCCTTCAACATTTTTGCCAAGTCCTGTAACTTTTTCCCTGGTTTTAGCACAGCCATTACAATTTGTCACTAAAGTGTTCATCTTTTTTTTTTTTTTGAGACAGAGACTTGCTCTGTCACCCAGGCTGGAGTGCAGTGGCGCAATCTTGGCTCACTGCAACCTTCACCTCCTGAGTTCAAGTGATTCTCCTGCCTCAGCCTCCTGAGTAGCTGGCATTATAGGCATATGCCACCATGCCCAGCTAATTTTTGTATAAGTGTTTATCTTGAAGGTCTAGGAAAGCAGTGTTTCCTACAGTACAACTTGATTCTGTACTTTTTTTTGAGATGCAGACTCGCTCTGCTGCCCAGGCTGGAATGCAGTGGTGTGATCTTGGCTCACTGCAACCTCTGCCTCCCAGGTTCAAGCAATTCTCATGCCTCAGCCTCCTGAGTAGCTGGTATTACAGGTGCCTGCCACCATGCCTAGCTAATTTTTGTACTGTTAGTAGAGATGGAGTTTCACCATGTTGGAGAGGCTGGTCTTGAACTCCTGACCTCAGGTGATCCACCTGCCTTGGCCTTCCAAAGTGCTGCGATTATAGGCATGAGCTGCCATGCCCGGCCTGATTCTGTACTTTTGACTTTTCCTGATAAGTCTTAATTGTTTCATGTAACCAGGAAATTTCCTATGTCATTACTAAAAGCCAGACATTCTCCTGTGCAAGGTGCCAGTTTTCTTGCTTACATTTCTCTATAACATAAAGTACATTCATAACCCTGGATGAACTTATCCTGTGCCTGATTAAATTCAAGTCCTCTTTTTGTTAGGCTTAACTTACAAGTTATCTAAAGGAACATTGTATAAATAAAAGCAATCACACTACAGGCGGTTTTCTTTTTTCTTTGCCTTTTAGGTAACTGGCCTAGGAAACAAAGATTCTATGCTTTACCAAGATAATTTCCTGTGTTTCATGTTATCTTTATTGAGTTTTTGATATTTAGGAAAATTGAACTTTAAAAGGATTAAGGTTTTTACATCCATGTAACTTTCTGTAGTGCTTTTGAAGTCTTTTGATTACCGCTCTAGTTAAATGAATAACTATTATTTAGCAGTGACCTATGATTCTGTTCAATCAAGTACCTTAGACTTTTTGACATCTTTGGTAGATTTCCCCTGCATCAAAATCCAAAATTAAATCTTTTTGGCCTAAAATTAACTTTGGGATTTTCCACGTGGGCTCCTGGAGAGCCTCAAAGAATGTATCTCTCATCTTGCATAAAGATTAAATGATTAGGCTTATTGAGAAATCATAGGGGAAGCATTATCAATTAAGAAATGATGTTCAACTTCCTTTAAGTTATATTTGTATACATGTGGTATTAAAATATGTTCCAAAATTGTGTGAGAGTTCTAAAACTCTGATATGTCATGACATGTACTATCAGTCATGATTAGGCTATTATGTTAAATTTTTATATACACAAATATAACTAAATTTCCTTGTCCACTGTGGACTTCTGTCAGATGTTTGAGCTTGGCTGTTCTAGGTTTTTGTTACCCACAGTTATTGTTTTCAATTTTTCTCTGGAAGCATTTGCAACCATTTATAGTCCAAAATTGCTTTTCCTGGAACTGCTAATCAAAATTGAGCAAAACAACAGCAAAATTAATTACATGAAATTAAGTAGTTGATAATTGATAAAGTTGATTTTTTTCCCTAGTGCTTACATAAGGAGACAAGAATGGTTAGTTCTTTATTTATGTGCTCTATTTTTCAGATTCAGGGAAATTTTCTTTCATAAAGGATTTATAGTTTGCAATAATTTAGTGAAATATCTTTTCATGAGCAAAAGTGGAAGCATTTGATTTTTATACCTACTTGATTCCTCCAAAATTCAGAAATTATTTGTGAGTATTCTTATTTGTATTTATGTAAGTTCAATAAAAATCTGCTCTTTCTTTATATGCAAGATAAATTTGGAAACCTTGGTTATATTATAAAGGTTTTGGTGGAAATGTCATATTTAAGAATATGCATAAAATGCCTGGCTTCAAGAGTGTCTGGCCTTACAGTGAATGCGTAAAAATTGTCACTTTAAGAACCTGAAGATTGTAAGCAAAATCTAAAGCCTCCCTTGGTCTGGCTTCTTAGCCTTAAGATTTTTTTTTAAATCTGAGATTTCTATATGATCAGTGTGGAGAGAAAAAGTTATGTTTCTGGGGAAAAAAAACACTAAAGCATATCTCTTATTAGATTGTAGGCCAGTCCATTGTTTTTAAGTTGTAGACTGGACTAGATCCTGAATTCTTCTAATTTCCTCCAATAGTTGGCTATGACTAAATGTTGATAAAGCCCCTGGCTCTCTTCTCTCATGCAAAACTAGAGATGCTTCAAGGACATTCAAGGGACATTTTTCCCTACTCAAAATTAACCAACCAGGAGAATTGGATATTAAAATTGGAAACAAACTAATCAGAGCTATGGTCAACACTGGAGCTATCTTGTCCATCCATCCTTAACCCTGATATGCTTTCAATGAGCCCTCCTCCCCAGAGTTCTGAATTCATCCAGATGGTCAAGGTGGCCAATCAGGCTATGATGGTCCCTAAATCTCTACCTATCCCCTTCCAACTAGACCCCTCACTGGCAGTCATTGCCTTTTGCTTGTCCTGTTGGTCCCCATGCACTTCCTGGAAAAGACTTCTAAGAAAGTTACCAGGCTCGTATTTCCTTCTTCCCAAAAGGGGAAATAATGCTGAAATTATCCTCATCAGGAGATTTTGCCACATAAATGGCTTTTACCCAAATTTCCATCTTTTCAGTTAGCCTCACCAATGCTACCTGCCACCCTGCTCTCCAAGAGCTAGCTAAGAGTCTTTGGGCACAATCCAACACCAATGATAACCCTTCAGATCATGAAGATAATAGTTGTGTGGATACTCTCAAGGACACTCTCATTTACCTGGGAGTGATGGGGAGATTAACCCTAGTGAAGAAACTAGATGGGCTTGGCTTGAACTAGGCCCTGCTTGGAATGAATATATATGGTCAGAATCCTTTCCCACACTATTAACAGAATTGCTTGCCCTGCTGCCTGAACCATAAGGACAAAACAGAGGTCCCTCAGATTCCCTTGCTTATGTGGTCTTAGATAACCACATTGCTTTAGACTATCACCTCACCACACTGGGTGGTGTTTGTGCTGTCACTAACACTTCTTGCAGTACCTGGATAAATACTTCCAGTTATGTTGAATTGGAAACATCTAAGAGCCTAAATCTGGTTAAATCTCTAAAAGGGACATCTTCAGAAAGCCTTCTGGCTGGACTTACTGGACTAGATTTCCAATTTCCAGATATTTTTCAACTGGCTTTGCCCTGGTATAGAATCCCTTCTGCTTTCCACCCTAATGATCTTCTTCATATTTGGGCTAAGCATTTGGCTCCTCTTTAAAATTGTTCTAGCCTGTTTTAACCTCCACTAGGATTGTGCTAACTTGACACCATGAGACTTTAAACTTGCTCCATCCAGACCAGAACAAACTTAACCCAAGATGCTTTAGTCAAATTTGGCAGGTACCTGAGTGCCTCTTATAAGTGGCTCTAATTGCTCAGTTGGTCACTGTCCTGCCATTAGAATTCCTGAACAAGACTAGATGAACCTGGAGCACGTAGCCAACCACTCCAGTGCCACAATGATTGGTTGAACCATCACTGATGATTGAACCAACCTATTCAATCATCAGCATGTCTGCCAACAGGTTTTGATCAAAATGGGGGAATGTGAACAAATGTGAACCTGGAAGAGCCAGTTCTTCAAGATGGATTCCAAGTGGCTAACAGGGCCTAAATTTTAAATAGAGCTAAGTGACCATTTGCTGACTAGAGGTCATACTACTCTCAGTTTCCTGAAAACCCACATCTCTGTGTAACTCTGGGACTTTAGGATCTCAGTTGTATCAACCAATCAGGGCTCAGTTGTATTGACCAAACAGAACTCAGCTATGTTGACCAATCAGAACTAAGTAAGTTTGAATCCTTCACTTGCATAACTAGACCTGATTGGGAACCTGGGCAAGCACTTTCTCTATAAAAGCCAAACCCAGAGGGGCATTGTGGCTCCCACCTGTAATCCCAGTACTTTGGGAGGCTGAGCTAGGAGGATCACTTGAGGCCAGGAGTTCAAGACCAGTCTGGGCAACACAGTGAGACTACATCTCAAAAAAAACTAAAAAAAAGAAAAAGAAAAAAGACCATGGTTGCACGTGCTTGTAGTCCTAGCTACTTGGGAGGCTGAGGCAGGAGGATTGCTTGAGCCCAGGAGTTCAAACCTGCAGTGAGCCACTGCACTCCAAACTGGGTGACAGAGTGAGACCTCATCTCAAAAGTAAATAAATAAATAAATACCAAACTCTTCATTTGTTCTCTGGAGTGCACCTTTATTTTACACTTTAGTCTGTGTCTCCCCAGTTTGCAAACTGTTCCCTGGAATAAAGTCTCTTTCCTCCAAATTCCTTTTCAGAGACCTTTTGTTTATACCTCTATTCCAAAACATTCCTGGGTAACTTGTTTACTTGTCCCTCTCACAAATATTTATTGATCACCTGCTATGCACACAACACAATTCTTGTTCACAAAGGAGATACAGAGGATGTGTGAGAGACCAGCACACTCCGGCAACTCATACCACAGCTCAGCAGTCTCAAAGGGGAGCGTGTGCACCCTGGTGGGAACACAGGACCATTTCTTGGGCAGAGGGCAGAATAGATCATAATGTTTATTTAGAGGTATTTGCTGCCATCTCATAATTTTAAATTTATACTTTTTATACATTTTATAATATACATAATATATTGCTATAGTAATAGCCACATAAAACATATGTGACAAATCTTTGATTGGTGTATAATCAAAAAAGTTTAGGCTGGGTGCGGCGGCTTACGCCTGTAATCCCAGCACTTTAGGAGGCCGAGGCAGGTGGATCACCTGAGGTCAGGAGTTCCAGACCAGCCTGGCCAACATGACAAAACCCTGTTTCTACTAAAAATATAAAAATTAGCTGGGTGTAGTGGCGGGCACTTGTAATCCCAACTACTGGGTAGGCTGAGGCACGAGAATCACTTGAGCTGGGGGAGCAGAGGTTGCAGTGAGCCAAGATCACACCACTGCACTCCAGCCTGGGTGACAGAGCTAGGCTCTGTCTCAAAAAAAAAAAAAAAAAAAAAAAAGTTTAGGAGACCCACCAATTTTATTTATGACTCCATATACATAAAACTGTAAAATAAAAATGCAAGGTTATTTGGAGATTAAAATGAGAAAGAATATAGTAAGAGTTCAAGGGTCAGCAATGCTCAAGAAAGACTCTCAGAGAAGGTGGGACCTGAGTTAATTAGGGTGGGTGGGCTTTATTCAAGAGAAGAAGTTATCAAAGGCAACAAGAAACAGTCATCAACAGAGGCTTGACTTTGGTGATGTACTGGGCATAACTCAGGGAATGTGATCACAACACTGGCCTGGGACATGGCCCCAAACACAAGGCCTTCAGTTTCTGATCCTCTGCCTCCTTCACCCCTAGACTCCTCTATGATTCCTCCCAGACCCAACCTCCCACTGCCCTGCCCCTTCCAACCCCTTCCCAGCCCCTTGATCCCTGGGTCCACGGTCCATTCCCCACCTCCTCAGCCTCTGCCCCCTCTGCTCTTGCCACCTTCGTCTCTGCTGGAACCCAGCTGCCCTCAAGGGCCCTGCTCCCTGTGTCCTTCTGAGCAGAGGCTGCTCTTTCTCCAACACTCAGGGCCAGGAAGTGGGTGGGGTGTGGGCTTTTACCTGGCTCTCTGAGGCCCCTTCCCAGACTGTTTCTTGAACTCTTTCTGTGAGGCTCCACACCCACCCTTCCCCTGTTTGCCGTGAATTTCTCCCCAGGTCCCTCTCCCTCATCCTTCCAGGTTGAGGTTGTAACCTAGAGCACTTCCCCTCAGCCTCCACTCACACCACTGCCACACTGGGCAATGTCCGCGTCCTCAGGGACCGCCATCTCCTGCCCATACCGTCAGTCCCTTGACTTCTTCCCCTTCGGAGGCCATCACCTCCAGGCCATATCAGTCACCTGCACTCACACCCAGGGGCCCGCCCCCACCAGGAGGCACCCCACCTCTGAAATGCCCACACTTTGCTCTCTGGCCTTATTCCACCTGAAGCTGGACTTGCACTTCATGGAGCCATGCAGGGCTTTGGCACCTTCAGTTCTCCCATCTATTTATCCTTCCTATTTTCACTTCCTGTCTGGCCTACAGAGAATTCAGTGGAAAGACAGTCCCCCTTCTTGACTAAGGGCAGCCCCTTGAGCTGTAATCTGGATCCATTCTCCTCATTCTCCTTTCCCCCCCTCTCTCTCTGTTTCTTTTTCTTCCTCCCCAAGCAAATTTGTTTATGTCTCCATATTAATAACCAAACAACCCTCCACCCCTTGGCTCCCTCTTGCACTGTCCTGTTTGTTGCTGTTTTTGTTTTTGAGACAGAGTCTTGCTCAGTTGCCCAGGCTGGAGTGCAGCCTCGGCCTCCCAAAGTGCTAGGATTACAGGCATAAGCCACTGCACCTGGCCTGACTGTACTGTTTTTTTGTCCACCTTCTATTGTCAGCCTTCCTAAAATTGTCTCTACTTTTCTTACTTAATATTCTCTGCTCAGCCTGCTGCAAACTGGCTTGGAGATTCCCCATGACAATGGAGTTGCTGTTGACAAAATCAACAGGGACCTTCTAATCAATAGATCATGGACACCTATCCCAACCCATTGCAGCTCACACAGCCTGGATCATCCCCTTGTGGAAGGTTTCTCCCCACTTAGTGCCCATCATGCCTCTCCTGCATCTCCCGCCCCCATGCTGGCTGCTTCTCATGCTTCCTCCCAGCATCCTCATCATGCACACCACCTAACCATTGGTGTCCCTGGGCTCTGGTCCTCTCCTTTTCTACTCCACATCCCGTGACTCTGCTAGTAGCCACCTACTGCTAGTGACTCACAGCCATCTCTGTGAGTCTTTAACCCAGACCCTCTCTGACCTCCAAACCTTATGCCTAGGCCTCTGGACCTCTCACCTGGGCAACCCACAGATTCCTGAAACTCAGCTGAGTGCATCCCTCTTCCTCCCCCAAAACTCTTCATCCTCTTGCTCATGTGTTTCCAACCAACAACTCAGAGGCAGAAATCTTGGTGTCTTGCTTGACTTCTCTCCCATGCCTCCCAGCCAAGCAGTTGTAACAGTAGCAGACAGTAGTGGTAACAACCATGGCATTGTTCATCCAAATCTGGGATAACTCATTCTCTGGAACTGAGCTAGAATATCAAGTGTGAGTCTCACTGCCCAGACTGTGAAGATGCCTCCTTGGTGGATATTACATGACCCGGAGGGGAGTGGCCCACATGGAACCCCTCTGTACCTCATGACACCCCCAATCACTCTCCCTTCTGTCTTTTAGAAACTCATTCCAGGCCCGGCGTGGTGGCTCACACCTGTAATCCCAGCACTTTGGGAGGCCAAGGCAGGCAGATCACTTGAGGTCAGGAGTTTGAGACCAGCCTAGCCAGCATGTTAAAACTCCGTCTCTACTAGAAATACAAAAAAATTAGCTGGGCATGGTGACAGGTGCTTGTAGTCCCAGCTACTCAGGAGGCTGAGGCACAAGAATTGCTTGAACCCAGAAGGCAGAGGTTGCAGTGAGCTGAGATCACACCACTGCACTCCAGCCTGGGTGACAGAGTGAGGCTCTGTCTCAAAAAAAAAAAAAAAAAAAAAAACCCAACCAAAAAAGAAATTCATTCCATTGAAGTCTGCACTTCCCCAAAAGTTAGCAAGTTCACATTTTCCCGCTCCTTATAAACTTCCACAGACTCTGCTGTGGGGTTTGAGTCTTCACCAGTCTCTCTTTGTACAGAAGCTTCATTAGTGTAGATGGAAGGCGACATCAACTCCTCATGATGGAGGACGGTGGAAAGCTGTCAGAATATCTACTCCGGCTGCAATTTGCTTCTCCCCCTTTTGCTGTGCCTGAAGACCTAAAATATTTTAGGGGTAGCTCTTGTGCCAGAGGTAATTCTTTCCAAATTACAGGAGATTCATACCCTCAAGTCACCTAACTTTGATCTTACCATGCAATCAGGCCATCTGTCTTTTCTCTGACCTCGGTTTAGCTTGCAAAGCTCTCCTACCAGTCTCTTAGAGAAAGCATCATGGTTCTATGGAAGGTGGGCCCATCTGGTCTCTAGAGGGGCACATCTTGGGTTCCGATTGTCTCCGCTGCTCTGTGTTCTTCATTTCCATGGAATTTCAGTAAACGTTGGTGAAGAGAGAAGCCCGTGGGCAGCAGCAGGGCCCTGGTGAGTTCAGAGACTCAGGCCACTCGCTGAACCTGGGGATCTGGGTATTCTGCCCTGGAAAGTCCGTGTGGAAACATTTGTGAGGCCTGGCATAGGTGGCTGTGAAGAGATGAAAGCAGGGTGCCCATGGAGAGCGTTGGTGCTCATACTTGGGTGTGCATCAGAAACCCCGGAGCTTGTTCAAACACATGGCATGGGGCCCTGCCCTGGGGTTTCTGATTCAGTAGGACTGGAGTAGGGCCTGAGATTCTCCATTTCTTTTCTTTCTTTCTCTTTCTTTCTTTCTTTCTTTTCTTTCTTTCTTTCTTTCTTTCTTTCTTTCTTTCTTTCTTTCTTTCTTTCTTTCTTTCTTTCTCCTTCTTTTTCTTTCTTTCTTCCTTCTCTCTCTCTCCCTTTCCTTTCCTTTCCTTTCCTTTCTTTTCTTTTCTTTTCATTCTTTCATTCTTCAGGGTCTGACTCTGTTGCCCAGGCTGGAGTGCAGTGGCGTGATCTTGGCTCACTGCAACCTCTGCCTCCTGGGTTCTAGCGATTCTTGTGCTTCAGGCTCCTGAGTAGCTGGGACTACAGGCGTGCATCACAACAGTGGCTAATTTTTGTATTTTTTGTTGTTGTTGTTTTAGTAGAGATGGGGTTGGCCCATCTTGTTGGCCCATGTTGGCCAGGCTGGTCTCGAACTCCTGCCTCAAGCGATCCACCCACCTCTGCCTCCCAAAGTGCTGGGATTACAGGCATGAGCCACTGCACCTGGCCTCTGCATTCCTTTCTAACAAGTCCTCAGGTGTAGCTACGGCTGCTGGCCCAGTGACCATGCTTTCAGAACCTCTGTTTTAGAGGAAAGCACCTTGTCCCGCCCCCACTCAATGCATACAGCAGGCTCATACACAAGAGGGCCCACTCCAGCCTGAGCTGGAGGGATGGTATTGGCTTACTGGCAATGGCGAGTCCCTTGACACTGGCTTGCTTCTGTGCCTGGACTTTCTTGGCCCATTTTCTAACTTATTCTTGGTCATTGTTGCTGTGGCTGAAGAGCAGAAAAAGGAATTAATGATGTGCAAGGCCTAGGTAAATGGCAGCAATGGCCATCAGAAGGGCGATCTCCCTGCACCACCCTCTCCTCCCTCAGCATCAGACATTCCTTTTATGATTGTTCTATTTTTCTCTACGCCTCATTCATGTGTATTTTAGAGGACACAAAGCCACACTTCTGCAAAGGCCGAAAAATGTTATGAATTACATCCAGAATACTTTTTCAGTTTCCTCTATGCTCCCTGAGCTCCCCCCAGCACCCACATTCCGGACTGAGAGTCAGAAGGACTTTCCACATAGGGAAGATGCCAGCCCTGGAGAGGAAACGGAATAAACACATTTGCTGATGTAGGAGCAGGAGGACAGCCTCCAAACTGAGGTCAGCATCACTCCCCAGGGGCACAGCCTCAGAGCCACCCTGGCTCCTTCCTCCCTGCCTTTCGTCTGCCCCAGGGACTAAATAGATGGCTTTTACCTTGAGCTCCTTGCCAAATGTCTGCCCTGTTTTCCATAGTCAGCTAGGGCTGATCATATCTGCACAGGAAGAAGGGAGCTCATTCTCAGATGGCTGAAGACATATATGTGCATGACTGTGTGAAGCGGTGGAAGAAGGGGTTGCGTTTCTGTGGACAAAGCCTAAAAAAAAATATATATATATATATATATATATATATATATATATATATATATATAACACTGTAATAAAATGGTCCTCACTTTTCTACCAAGACCCGGATCAGATTTAATCATTGAAAACAGCTACACTTTAATAAAGTGGTTGGCGCAGGGCCTGGATCACTGCCTGGCCCTCCAAAGGTGTTCATAAATATTTGTTGAATGAATGAATGTGTTCATCCCAGGATTATCAATCCTGATTTGAGAGGATCTGATATGATCCTGGCTACTGTCATTTAAACTGAGTTCTTGTTTCTTTTAAGGTTCTCAGATGAGGCATTAAACAAACCATCTTTCATCCTGCAGCTGGCTGCCAGGGGACATTGGAGTGGTCACTCAGCAATGCAGAAATTTCAAAATTCCCCAAGCATGGGCTTCCTGCCCATTTGAAACCCAATCAGCCCTCCACTCCATTGCATCCTGATATGGTCTGGCTCTGTTTCCCCACCCAAATCTTATCTTGAATTATAATCCCCACATGTCAGGGGAGGGACTTCATTGGAAGTGATTAGATCATGGAGGCGATCCCCTCATGCTGTTCTTGTGACAGTCAGTGAGTTCTCATGAGATCAGATGGTTTTTATAAGGGACTTTCCCCCCTTTGCTCAGCTCTCATTCTCTCTCCTGCCGCCCTGTGAAGAGGTACCTTCCGCCATGATTCTAAGTTTCCTGAGGCCTCCCCAGCCATGTGGAGCTGTGAGTCCATTAAACCTCTTTTCTTTATAAACTACCCAGTCTCAGGCATTTCTTCATAGCAGTGTGAGAATGGACTAATACACCCCGAGTCCTACCCCACCTTCTGATGGCTCCCTAATGGGATGCAAGCATCCAGGGCTACCTGCCCTTCTCTGGATGTTTATGTGTCTAGGAATCTGCAAGGGGAGGGCTGTCCTGTAATGACTGTGAAGGCATCCCTACCCTTGTAGGTTCCTGAGTCTGGGGTCCCCTGCCAGTCCCCAGGCCTCAGAAGATTTGGGGCTTGGAAGACAACTAAAGAAGGGCCAAGGATGGAGGCCAGGGGTCAATAAAGAGCAGATGAAAGATGTTTTTAAAAGATTGATTTGAGCACCAATATGTAAAAACCAACCTGCCTTGTCCAGGGCCAAGAGTTGAAAAGATGCACTTCCAGCTATGTTTCTTTTTATGCCTGGTTCACCTTGTTTATTGAGCTCTCTATGCCAGATCCAAGGGGATGCCACAGAAGTTTAGGAATAGGTCATTTCCTTAAGGAATTCACCATCTCCCTGGGGAGGTAAAGCCATGTTACTTAAAATGGCTAAATAATATGATGATGTGGCATAGGCTGAACAAATCACTCTGCAATATACCATGATATAATAAATGATTATTGTTGATATTAATGTCACACTTTTCTAGTTTACATTAAAATAAACTCATAACCATTCACAAAAATACTACAGTTTGTTTGTGTATGTTAAACCATGTCCATTACTCTCCCCCTGCCGCCATGGGATGTACTCTTCTTTGTGAGATGTTGTTACAGGCCAACGGCCCTGGAAGGATTCCCAAGTGTTGCTCCAGCAGATGACTATTTTCTCCCAGGTCCAGCCAGGCAGAGCAGAGTAAGGGGAACAGCTCATGCTAGACGGGGTTGGGTTGTGCTGCCTGTCTGGATTATATGGCCTAAAGGCACAGCCCCAGGCTTCCCGCTCTTTTTTTTTTTTCCTCTTGAGACGAAGTCTTGCTCTGTTGCCCAGGCTGGAGTGCAGTGGCACAATCTTGGCTCACTGCAGCCTCTGCCTCCTGAGTAGCTGGGACTACAGGCACATGCCACCATGCCCAGCTAATTTTTTGTATTTTAAGTAAGAGGCGGAGTTTCACCATGTTGATCAGGCTGGTCTTAAACTCTTGACCTCAAACGATCCACCCATCTCAGCCTCCCAAACTGCTGGGATTACATGCATGAACCATTGCGTCTGGCCTCCCTCTCTGAGCTCAGCTGCCAAAGTCATTTCTCAGGGCAGAGCCCCAAGGGTAGAGTAGACAGGTAGTCCATTAGTCAAGTCTACCAAAGCTGGGGTCCACCTGCTGCCCTCCCGTTCTGACCCTTTGCCTGCACAAATAAAAGGCATTGCAACCCCTTTATTCTCTACTGGCTCTTTCACCATCTGATCTAGCTCATGGCCCAGCTTCCTTGGGGAAACCACATCAAAAAGAAATGCGAGGCTCCCAGCAGGTTTCTAAGTCAACCAGCCAAGGCTGCTGTGGAGGGAAACTGTGGCTGCTGACCTGCTCCAAGCTGAGGAGTGGGAAGCCCACAGCAGACTCTCTGAATCAAGGGAAGGAGTTCACATCCATGACCCCCTCCCAAGGCCAACCCAGGTATCGACACATTCCCCCAAAACACTGAACAGGCAAACAGGACAGAGTGTGCTACAAACATTGTATTAGGAAGCAATATCCATCCCAAAGAATTTCACAAGCATGTAAGTAAACAAATCAGTCAAAAATTTGACACTTTATAGGATCAATTAACAAGGTTAATCTAAGTTCTCAAACGTTGAACATTTTTTCAATAAATATTGATTTTGTTTATATATCTTCAATCCACAAGTATTATTAACAAGTCTCAGAGGTGTTATTGAAGACTAAGAGTCAATACATTTTATTTATTATTTAATTGACTGATGTGTACCAAGGTGTCATTAACCTGAATAATGTTATGCAAAAGTCCAGCTCTGCCCTTTCAAAGATGGTCATGGTGTCATCCTTGCTTGTGTGCAATGTCAAAAGGTGGATGCTCTCCTCATGCTGTCTTCACTGGGCTTGCCTTCTTCCTTTCCAAAAATGTATTCATGGGCCAAGAAGAGAAAGAAAAACACAAGCGGCTATGGAAGTGTGAGCTCACAGTACCATCCAGCTAGAAACTGTCCTATAAGGCCGTGCAATGACCGCCGGGGGCCTGAGGGCTGGGTATCAGTGGGGTTGACCAGAGGTAATCCCACTCTCTAAAACCTGAGACAGCGGGGTTACTGCCAGGAGAAGCCCTAGGCCACACTCTAGTGTAGACCATTGACAAACTCAGCTCTTTGCTATGGGGGTTGCAAGTTCCTTGCAGAGCCTATGATGTGTGATGGCTCATGCCAGCGGGTGTAAGCACTAGGTTAGGACCACCAGGTCAAACGTTGATGCCTGGTTCAATTTGAATTTTAGATAAACAACCATTTCTTAGCATAAGGATTCCATACTTAGCAAATATTCCATACTTGGGATATACTTATGATTAAAAAATTATTTATTGTTTATCTAGTATTATTTATTATGTTGAGCTGAGTGTCTTGTATATTTTCACTTGCTAAATCTGGGGCCCAGTTAATTCATTCCACAAGTGAGATGTCATCATGCTGGCATTTCATTTCAGACACACGAAGCATTTCAGTTGGATAAAAGTAAACACCAGCCAAATTTAATGTAAAGATTAAGGTTGGTAAACTGAGTCTAGGTGCTTTATATCAAATGTGTGATTGTTTCTTGGTTTGAGGCTGCAGATGTGAAACATTTAATAGAAGGACTCAAAGAGAGAGAATTCTTACTATTAACTTGATTTCTCCTGTGAATTGGGAAAGACTATCATTGTTTTATCTGAAATGCAGAACATACTCATTCTAACTGGAAGAATGTCAAGAACCCACCAGGATGCATCTTGTTAACACAGGCTGGAAACGCAGATAGTGGCCCAGGAGGGCGGCCTGGGGCAGCCAGCAGGGCAAGCTTCAGGCAGAACTGAACAGTTTACAATGGCCATGAGACAGGGCAGTCAGCGGGGGAGGGGAAGGCCTGAGGCTGCACAGCACCTATAAAAGGTGGGAGAGTGTGAGAGTGCATGTGTGTGTGAGCATGTGTGAGAATGTGAGTGTGTGAGTGGGTGTGTGGGGGTGTGTGTGAGAGAGAGAACGAGAGAGTGTATGTGAGTGCGAGTGAGCGTGTGTGTTTGAGAGAGTGAAAGTATGTGTGTGAGAGACAGAGAAAACGAGTGTGAGCATGTGAGTGTGTGTATGAGAGTGTGAGTGAGTGTGCGAGTGTATGTGTTTGAGAGTGTGTGTGAGAGAGAGAAAGAGAGCGAGAGAGCGTGTGTGTGTGTATGTGTGTGTGGTGTTGGCACTCTGGAGCATGCAGAGTCCATTATGAGTGTGCAGCAGGGTCCAGGCACACTCAGACTTGGGAGCAGGGGGAGCTGGGGATCCATAACCCAGGGGAAAGCTGGGTCTGCTGCCATGGCCTTTGCAGGAGGGACCCTACAGGGAGCAGGCAGGGCCTGTCTGAAGGGTTGAAGTCTCAGGCTGAGAAGCAGGGGTTGATTACCCTGGGAGAAGCCTGTCAGATGATTGGAGCCCAATTGGAAGTGGTTGGGGCCTGTCCAGTTGGCTGGGGCCTGCCTGGCACCTGACCAGGCATGAAGGGACAGTGAGGGCAGGAATGAAGTGGCCAGGGAGGGCCAGGAAGGCATCTCTGGGTGGACAGAGGTGCTGGGAGCTATGCTGTCTGGCATAGGCTGTTATTATGTAGGATGGAAATTTAGCTCCTACCTCTACCTGCTGTTGGCCAATCAGCCAGATGTCTCCCATCAATACTTGGCCTGAAAGCTGGCTCTCACATGAATCGTCTCTTTGGATGAATCATGTCTCTCCTCGGAAGCTGCTTTCTCATCAGCCCAAATGACAGGACCCAGAGAGTTACAGCTTGGTGTGCTTGGGGAAGTCACAGCTTCTCTCCTGGATGGGCTGGCTGATCACAGCAATTGGCATGGATCCACAGGCAGTCCCTGAACCTAGAATGTCTCCATGCAGGATCACCTGCCTTGGCCCTGCACCCTCACGATAGTGCCTGAGACTCGGGCACACATCACACCAGTCCTGCCTCACCTTTCTCAGGGAGTCTGAAAGTGAAAATAACTGGCAAGAAAAGTGAAACTGCTTCTCCTCCCTCCCTGGGGGAAGGGACAAGGAGCAAGCAGCAAGCCTAAGTGGCCGAGGAGGCAAAGGTCAATTTGTGCCCCTTGAAATGGAAACCCAGAGGAACCTTTGCGACTTCCTCATTCCTAGTCTCATCAGCTGTTCCTGAATGGCTCTGGTTCCTGGAACACAGCAGGCCCCAAAGGCTATCATTAGAGCCCTGTCAGCCAGGTGACCCTGGTGGCCTGCCCCGCCCATTCTACATGAAGGCCAGCTGAGCTGCTGAAGGTAAAGAGAGTGGCTGCGCACACGAGCCACAGGCAGAATCACATACACACTTGGACATGCGTGGCCATGAACAGGATCAAACACACCTGCATACATGCATCCATTCTCAGGTGCACACAGCTAGAGACACCCTCACCCACAGCTCTCCGACACCACACACACACACACACACACACACACACACACACACACACACACAGCTCTCCCTAGGTACAAGCCCACACAGACACACATAAACATGCTTTCCCCCCAGCCCTGCCTGCGTAGCATCTCTCCTGGCACAAACACACAGGCGCCCATGGCCACGGGACATAGCGCACTCTTGCATGTACACCTTTTCCTGTCCACACACATGCCCAGTTGCCCAGTTCATAGACACACAGTCAGCTGTGCAGCTGCACAGCTGGCTATGTGTCCTCTGGACAAGAACACCAGCTTCTCCCTCCCCTCCAGTCTGGAAATGGCCTCCACCACGTCTCCGTTGGGCAGCAGAGCAGTGCCCCATAACTGCATTTTGTCCAGTTTGCACTGACCCAAAGGGCACTTGAGATCCAGGCCCTTCAAAGCTCAAGCCAACCATTTGCTGGCTGCTTTTCCCATGTGGGTTTAAATGCAGAGTGGCTACCTGGGCTCTCTGGTATTGAGAAAGTTTTCATTTCCATGCTAGAGAGGCTCTTCCAAGCTGCGATAAACACAGGCACACTCCAGTTACTTTGAGTCACGAATGTTTATTGTAAAGGAGAAAGGACAGACAGATGGGCAGGACACTATCAGTGCAGTTAGGACATAGGGTTTAGGATTCATTCAAAGGCAGCCTTAACAATGAAGATAGCTGGCAATTGTTGAGCATTTCCTCTTCCTGAGTGCTAGGCATGGCCCCAGATACTCTGTGTGCTTTATGCTGGATGCTGGCAACAGTCTCTTGGAACAGGTTGTCATCAGCATCCCGATTTGAGGAGGAGGACGTTACGGCTTAGAGAGAGAGGTTTGTAACTTGCCCAAGTCCCACAGCTAGTAAGTTCAGGGCTAGGGTGCAAACCTAGCTGTCAGGAGCCCATCAATGTACCCCAGGAAAACCACTCTGCAGAGGAGACCCTCTATTTTGCTACTGCCCAGATGCTGGCATCCATGGCTCCTGCCCTGGGGGATCTGTCATTCTTATGACACGGCTTCCCTCTGTGTCTCTCTCTGCTTCCCACTCTCCTTCTCTGCTTCTCACTCTGCGTGTCCCCAGTTCAAAACTCCCTGAGAAGCCCTTCAAGGTCAGTTGGATTTCAGCACATGTAGAACCACTCTGAGGCAAAGGAAAGTAAACACTTGCCTAGCTAAACCCACGTGCCTGGGGCTGCCTCACCAGCTAATGGCTGCCTTTGGGTGGGACAGTCAGCTGCCATCTGGGCAGCAGGTCACAGCCCATATAGGACCCCTGTGGGTGGAACAGACATCTACAGACCACAGAATGTCTGATGTGCTTTCAAATACTGTTATTGGAAATCTTTACTGAACATGTTTCTTATATTCCTGACTTTGTAAGATTTATCTAGTACACATAATTGAACTTTTTAAAATTGGTCCGGATTGTATGACTCCCAGGATATCATTCTGAATTCCAACTGGATCAGGCCACAAAAGTAGGAGGTATGGAGAGCTATTTTGTGGTGACAACCAGGAAATTCCCTAAACGTCTTTTAAAAATACATTCCTGCTTGGTTATTTGCCCTCATTTTAATGTGGAGGCAACAATGAGAAGGAAAAGTCCCTGGCAATGGGCTCCAGGGAACTTCGACTTCATGGTGGAAGCTGCAAATGCAGGCAGGTCCCAGCAGATGTGGCTCCCTTCTCCCAGGTGCTTCCAGGCAGGCTGCTGAGAACCATCTGCCCTGGGGGTCTTCCAGGGACTCCTCAGACATGTGGGCTCCGGGCCAGCTCCTTTGTTGCCTCCCTACCCTGGAGCTGCCTCCACTGATAGAGGACAGAAGATGGATGTCTCTGGTCGCTCCAGCCCCACAACACCCACAAACACAGGCTGCTAATCCAGTCTTGGAACTGTCAGGAAAAGCCCATTTTCATTTGATCCTTTGCACAAATAGATTAGAGGCCACCGACCTTGACGTCTGAGCATTGTTCAGCTTGTGTTAGAAAACATCCATATTTAGGGCGGTTGGGAGAGGCACGGAGGAGGGAGCAAAGGTCCAAAACACTCACTGAGAAGACTTGACCAGGACTGAACATTCACACCCAAGCTAAAGTCTGAACTCTGAGCGCCATCCTATGTCAAAAAGGATTCCCTGTGGACCTGAAACACCCAAAACCAGCAGCTACTGGGGAATGAATGCTTTTCCAGGATCATCAGCTCCTTTTGGGCTCATCCCTTCCATGCTGACTGAGCTTGGGTGGCTGACCTTTTGTTTTCTTATATGTGGGAGGCAATTGAGAGCAAGGCTGTGAGGCTGGAATTCAACCCCTCTCCCCATGGCCCCAGGGTGTGTCCATGTGGGGCTGCCAGATACACAGGAAAGGAGAGAAGAGCTGGGAAATGTTGACTCTGGATTTTAGGCAGCCTGGGTCCTCCCTTTTTCCTAAATCAGGACCCAGTCAAGTAAGGAGATTGCCTCTGACCATGTGCTGCAGCTTGACAGTAACATGACAATAGACCAAAACCCACAGTTACTCGAGGCAAACCTAGATTTTTAAGGGGAGTGTATGTGGGTGGCCTTATTTTACTGAGAAAAACCTTGTTTTGTTTATATTTTTCCCCTTACTTTGCAGAAGAAATAAGATCCCTTCTACCAAGGTTGTCCGTGATTTCTACTTCATTACTTGACTTGGAAACTCTCCCAAGAGGGTTGATATTCACAGTGTTGACATGTCGGTCTTGTTCTCCTGACCTTTAGCCTATATTGTTGACCAAAGCTGTTTAAAGGGCTCCCTGTGTGAAAGGAAGCTGGGGTCGGGTGATTCTCGGGAAGGCAAGAGAACAACACCCCATCTCATGACTAAATCAAAACTCAGCTCAGGACAGGAGGATCTAGGGCTGAGTGGCTGCAGCAGAGAGATGATCCCTAAGTGGAGAAGCGAGTCTGGCCCTGGCCAGCAGCCTCCCGGAGCCCTTTGCCCTCACACGGGTGATCTGAGCATCTGTGGCTCAGAGGTGATCACTTGACACAAGCAGATCTCCCAACCCAAGGAAGCCAGCGTGTCCATACAGGACATCCAGAGTGTGAGGAAGGACGAGGGAGTTTGGGCCCTGGGCCCTGGGTGCCTACCCAGCCATATTCAGGGAATTCAGCCTTCTTCTCTCTTCTGCCAATGATGAAAAGGAGAGAAGAGGCTAAACTTTTCCTCTCAATCAATGCGACCAAGGCCCTTCCAGAAAGCTCCTGCTTGTGCAACGTGGTGTGTTCCTGAGGGTCCCTGCTTAGGGACAGCCTAAGGTGCTATGGGGACTCGTTTTGAGCTACCAGATCTTTCAGGCTGAGAGACCTAGCTGGAAATCTCCAGGACCAGGGAGGCAGGGGCTGGATGGCAGGGGTTGGATGTTTGAAGCAAATGTGTATGCAGAAGGGTCTGAGTGGGAGAGAAGTGAGCAGCGTGGTTCTCTGGGCGTGCTGACATCTGTTGCATTCTGTCCAGGCGTACTGTCTTAGTTTCCCAGGGCTGCCATAATGAAGTACCTCCAACTGCATGGCTTCAAAAAGAAATTTCTGTCTCACGGTTCTGGAGGCTGGAAGTCCAAGATCGGGGTGTTGGCAGGATCCGTTTCTTTTGAGCCCTCCCTCTTTGACTGGTCGATGATCACTTTCTTCCTATTTCTTCATGTTATCTTCCTTCTGAATGTGTCTGTGTCCAAAATTCCTCTTCTTATAAGGACACCAGCTATATTGGATTAGAGCCCACCCTAATGACCTCATTTTAACTTAATTACCTCTGTAAAGATCCTGTCTTCAAATATGGTCACCTTCTAAGGTGTACTGCAGGTGAGGACTTCAATGTATGCATTTCGGGGGAACACAATTTGGCCTGTAACATCTACCTAGAGCAGAAAGCATCTTATCCCAAATGAGCAGCTTTGCAGCCCTGCCGCCAACCGAAGCCATTTCACCCATAAAGGCACAGTCCTATACTGCTCACGAAGCATTTGCACTTGTGATTTCTCCTTTAATCTCTCTGACCCTTCTGAAGTCAGCAGAGAAGACATTCTTGTCCCATTTCACAGATGAGAAGAAAGAGTTCCTGAGAGGTAAAGTATGTGGCCTTGAGCCCCACTGCCAGGAAGTGAGAGAGCTGAGCTGAGACGTGGTATCTCAGTCTGTTATCTCTTGCTATAACAGAGTACCAGGCTGGGTAATTCATAAAGAAAAGAAATTTATTTCTTACAGTTCTGGAGGCTGGGAAGTCTAAGAGCATGATGCCAGCATCTGGTGAGGGGCATCCCATGGCAGAAGGGCAGAAGGTGGAAGTGGGCATGTGAGACAGAGAAAGGAAATTGGCTGAATTCATCCTTTTTATCAGGAACCCAAAACAGTAATAATCAGCATTAATCCATTCACCATCATGACTTAATCTCTTAAAGGTCCTGCCTCTCAACACAGCTGCTTTGAGGATTATGCTTCCAACACATGAATCTTGCGGACACAGTCAGACTGTAGCACCCAGCCTCCTCACTCCTCCTGCAGAGCTCTTTCAAACTCACTGGGTCTGGACCAGAACATTCCCCCTCAAGGAGGGAAGAAAATATTTCATCTGAGAGCTTCCCATCCAAATCAGGTATGGTGACACTCTGCTTGTCCTGTTTAATTTGCCAGAGCTTTACCACAACATTTATTTGTTAAATAAAGTTGCTGCTCTCTGATGTTAGCCCGAGTCCACTGCTGTAGGCCAGGCACTCTTCTAGGCACTTCATCTGCATTATGTCTCATAGTAGTCCAGTGAAATCATATTTGTGGATGAGAAAGTGGGAACATAAGGAGGTAAAATAAAGCACCTAGTTAGTGCTGGAGGGGTAAACTGAACTCAGATAAGAGTAAGTTAGAATCCCTTGTTCTTTGCAGGGTAGTGGTCTCTGATAAATTTATTAATTCAATAAGTATCTGTTAAAGATAGCTTTATGCTAAGCACTGTTGAAGGCTACTCCAGACGCTTAGGATCAATCAGTTTACAAAACACACACTGGTCCCTAGCCTTGGGGAGCTTATATTCTACCAGGAGGAGACAAATAATAAATATGAGTAAATTATGTTACATATTAGAAAGTGAAAAGTGCTATGGAGAATACAGGTGCAAGGCAGGGGTGATCAGAAATACTGGGGGTGAGGGAAAGTTGCAATATGATACAGGGTGGTCAGGAAGTCCTCAAGGAGAAGGTGACATTTAAGTAGTGGATTAGGAGTCCAGCAACCTGCATTCCTGCATCAACTCCAGCTTGGTTTCTCAGTGTACTTGAAAAATGACTTCAGCCAGGCGTGGTGGCTCATGCCTGTAATCCTAGCACTTTGGGAGGCCGAGGCAGGTGGATCGCTTGAGGCCAGAAGTTCAAGATCGGCCTGACCAACATGGCGAAACCCTGTCTCTACTGAAAATACAAAAATTAGCCAGGTGTCGTGGTGTGTGCCTGTGGTCCCAGCTACTCAGGAGGCTGAAGCAGAGATCACTTGAACCCAGGAGATGGAGATTTCAGTGAGCTGAGATCGTACCACTGCACTCCAGCCTGGGTGACAGAGCGAGACCCTGTGAAAGAAAAAAAGAAAGAAAGAAAGAAAGAAAGAAAGAAAGAAAGAAAGAAAGAAAGAAAGAAAGAAAGAAAGAAAGAAAGAAGAAAGAAAGAAAGGAACGAAGGAAGGAAGGAAGGAAGGAAGGAAAGAAAGAAAGAAGAAAAGAAGGAAAGAAGGAAAGAAAGAAAGAAAGAAAGAAAGAAAGAAGGAAGGAAGGAAGGAAAGAAAGAAAGAAAGAAAGAGAGAAAGAGAAAGAAAAGAAAAGAAAGACTTCTCCTGGGCCTCAGTTTCCCCACCTGTCAAATGTAGGTGTTGGTCAAGATCCCTGTGCTCCTCTCCAGCTCCCTGGAGGTTTTCTGTGCCTGAAGAGAAGCCCATGCAGTGTGGGGCCATGGATTTACTCACCTACTTATTTTTCCTACAGGATTTAGCCCGATTTCCTGGCATCCCCCTCTCCCCAACTAACCTCTCAACTTGGTCTGAGCCACTTCTGCAGGAAGGCTGTTGGGTTGAGCTGAGCTCAGAAGAGTGCTGGAAGAAATCTGGGTCACACAGTACCACTGCCCCCCACCCCAGGAGGGGAGCTCCTTCTGAGATGTGGGGAGCACAGTCATGGTGGGCATACACAGACCCAACTAGAAGGTCCCTTAGGGACCCCTGTTTCACTAATTGAGCAGCTGAGGCTAAGAGAGGGGAAGCGACTAGTCCAGGGTCTCACAGAGGTCACTGAAAATATCTGACTTAAAAAAAAAAACAGTTTTATTGAGGCATAACTAGCACATATTAAACCACACATATAGTGTACAATTTATTGTATTTTGACACACATATACACCCACTCAACCATCTCCACAGTCAAGATACTTCACATTCCCATCAGCTTCCAAATTTTCTCCTGTTCTTTTGTATCCCCCTTATTCCACACTCCAAGCCCCTCGGATCTATTTTCTACCACTATCGTTTAGTTTCTGCATATATTTTAAAATAGAGCTGACAGGACTGGCTGATAGATTGGGTGTACATTTTGAAAGAGAAGGGTCTAGAATGACTCTGAGAGTTTGGCCTGAGTAACCAAAAGCTGGAGTTGTCATCATTTGAGTTAAGGGAGGAAGGAACCTCAAGCAGCTCCCCACGTGGAAAAGGCATTGGTGGCAGCTTCCAGAAGAGCCTGGAGTTGCAGAGACAGCTTGTCCTGGAGAACAGAGATGGAATTGAAAGCCAGGGCTAACTAAGCCAGGCGTGGTAGCTCATGCCTGTAATCCCAGCACTTTGGGAGGCCGAGGTGGGTGGATCACTTAAGCCCAGGAGTTCGAGACCTCACTATGTAAAGACATAGTGAGACCCTGTCTTTACAAAAAATAAAAAAGTTCTATGGGTCTGGTGGTGTGTGCCTGTGGTCTCAGCTACTTGAGAGGCTGAGGCAGGTGGAATGCTTGAGCCCAGGAGGTGGAGGCGGCAGTAAGCCACTGCCCTCCAGCCTGGGGAACACAGGGAAATCCTGAATCCAAAAAGAAAGCCAGGACCTGAGGGAGGTCTCCAAGGATCAAGGGTACCTGGAGACAGAGCCTGGCTCTGGATGGCTTGTGGACCATCTCTCTAGAAAAATGCACTCTTGTCCACAACTCTGCTCCCCAAAAGGAGTCACAGAGTCCCTGAGCCCTGGAAAGGAGCCCTTCCAGGGCAGACCTGTGTCATTCCATCTTAATGTTTCTTCCAGGGCAGACCTGTGTCATTCCATCTTAATGTTTCTGGTGCCCGCACAGTGCCTGGCCCTGGTAAGAGCTTGTACATGCTTATTGAACCACGTGGCTGGAAGAATAAAGGGAAACTTTTCCCTTCTACAGTTAGGAACCCTCTTCTGCTTTCTTCCCAGAAGGCACACCAGGCCCTGAGTCACATGAATAGGATTTGCAGTCCTTTACCATCAGCTGGAGAGCGATTTCCCAGTCTGTAATGACCACTCCCAGGGACTGGGAGAGTTTCCCTTTCTCCAGCTCTCACCTCTGGCCTGTGATTCTGCGAGAAGGAAAAAGCAAAATGACGTTTGATTCAGTAACACCTTTCAAGAACTTTCCCTCAGCTGACCACCCAATAACCTTGCCAGTTAGCTCTTATCATCCCCACTTCACAGATGAGGAAAGGGAGGCTACAGAGAGAAGACAGGAGCAGGTTTGAACCCACCATCTCTGACATCACTGCAGCCTCCCTGCAAGGAGGACGTTCTGTTGAAGAAGGGGCAGCACCCTTGGTGGCATTGTACAAAGGCTTGAGGGACTCTGCCTCTCGTTTGAGGGTCTCCTCACTGGGCACTGCCCCTGAACAGGTCTCTTTTCACCCCTGCAAACATATATAAGACATTGTGTACCAGGCGGACGACTGCCCCTCTGACCCACCTGCCCAGCACCCTACCCTGGCCTGTTCTCTCATGTCAGCCCCACATCGTCCAGGCCCTAAACTGCCTCCTCCTACCCCAGCTGTATGCAGGACCTCATGGAAGTACCTTCTGAAGACCCCAATCCTGCTAAAACATTCCATTGTCTCTGCTTCCCCAGTAAGCATGGGCGGGCACTCCCACTGTGTCTGGCCAGCACACAGGCAGCAGGCACTGTCCCAGCCCTCCTGCAGCCGGAGTGAGTCAACGGATCACCCCCAAGAGAGTCACGGTGGCCATGAGGAGTGCTGCAGAGAAGTCCAGGGCGTGGGACAGAGGGACCAGCCCTCCGGGAGGTCCATACAGGCATCCCAGGGATTGAGGGGAGAGCTGGGGCTGAGGGATGAGGGGAGAGCGGTCCAGGCAGAGGAGAGAGCTGACAGAGGCATAAGGGGAGGAGAGGCCTGTGTGCCTGAGGGTAGACCAGGAAGACCAGAGAGGATGTCTGGAGGGAAAGCAGAACAGGAATCTGTGAGCCTTGGACACCAGCAGAGAAGCCAGCCCAGTAGCTGGGCCCAGGCACTGGGGTCTAGCAGGGGCCTTGTTTTGTGTGTGTGTTGGCAGGGAGTCCAGGCTGGGTGGTCACATGGCAGGCCCCAAGAACTTTGCCCGTCAGAGAGGAGGCTGCTGATGTCCCCACCCAGTTTATCTCACAGTTTATCTGTGGAGAAGAATTTCTGCCTTGGTCAAAAACTCTCAGTGGACTGTAGCCCAGGCCTTTGGTCTGCTGAGAGTTTCTGACTGAGGCGGAAAGGCTGAGCCCTGGAATCTGCTGACCTCTGACTCCTGCAAGGCTCAGGAGCTGAAGCTCATTCTTTCCAGTGCCAAAGCCCTGCTGAAGATGAGGGCGGGCAAGGCCCAGAGCCGGGCAGGGCTGCTCAGAAGCATCCACTTCCCTTAGGATGGTTCACACAAAGGCCTGGACTCTCCCCAGAGCCTCCTCCCTCCTCCTTGGCATCCTTTCCTGATAAGGAGAGGAAGGCCTCTGAGGCCAGGGTCAGCTATAAGCACACAGCCAGGAAAGTGCCAGCTCATTGCTTCCTGGGCAGAGCCCTGCCAAGAGTCCTGGAAGCCAGAGCCTTTCAGGAAACTTTGCCGTTGGTTTTTGGAAACCTGTCCTGCCGCTGCACAGGAGCAGGGCACACACGGCCTGCATTGGGAGGGAAGTCCCAGTGGCTGAAGGGAGTGGGGTCTTGGGGGATAGCTGTCAGGCAGTGCCCCGGGTGTGGGGAGGGCACCAGCCTCAGAGAGACCTCACCCTTGAGCACCATTCACCCTCAAGCCTCTGGGGCCTCATCTGTAGGATGAAAATCATAGCAGGTCTGCCAGCGCCCATGGAGAGGTTTGAGACAGTAGGAGGAACTAAGGTGCTTTCAAACTGTGAAGGGAGACTCCCCTAGTCCTGTTATCCTGGGGAGAGACACTGAGGTCAGCCAGTAACCACAAGCATCCATGGGAAGCAGAGAATTGGTGAGCTGCCTGGGGCCCTCAGGGACCCACAGCGCCAGGAGTCAGGTGAGGGCTGATGGAGACTTCCTCCGCACTAGTGCCCTTGATTCTGAAACCCAGTGCCTGGGATTCTTCTCCACAGATAAACTGTGAGTGCTGAATGCCCCTGTCACGCCAAGACTTGGGCTTGCGTTTGGGCTGGTGACTTAGCTGGATCCGTTGAGAGTCTTCTGCAGGGGCAGGGGATGCACACACACGCATTCTGGGAGTTCAGACTCTCCCCGGGGCGAGGAAGGCACAGGGAGCCTGGCTGCAGAGCCCCGGGAGGTCAGTGTGTGGGCGTGAGGACACAATTGAGAACAATTCCCAGGCGGTTCCCATTGCTCTCTGCACTCCGTTCTGGGTCTGCCTCCGTGGACTCTTCCCTGTGGTGAGTTCTCAAGGGTGTGGGTGTGGGTGTGTTTCCTTCTCCTTAGAGCTCAGAGTGTGGGTCACAGAGCAGGACCTCTGCATCTGCTGGGAAGATGAACAGAACACACTCATGAAGAACTCTCAACTCAAGCCTCTTTGTCTCTAGCACCTAGCACAGCATCTGCCATATAGCAAGTGCTCAATAAATACCTGCTAGCTATTTGCTCCCCCAATAAACCCTGGTCCACAGTCTAGTACTATTGGACATTTCCCAAACATGCCTCTTGTCTTCCAAACATGCCTCTTGTCTTCTAGCTTCCCAGCCCTGTTCTTTCTGCCTGGGGAAAGCCCCTCTTCCAATGAACATTTGGAGTGTCCTTCATGGGCCTCCTTTTCTGGGCTGACTTCTCTGACCTGTCTGACCCAGACTCAACACCACCCCCAGTCAAAGACTCCCAAGGACATTCCTCAGTCTTACTGACAACTTCCTGAATCTAAGTGCTCACTCACGCCTCCCAACCCCAGCCTTTTCCCTGGCCCTCACCCTAGTCTCAGCACCTAACTAGGGTACATACCAGCAGATGATGTCCAGCAGTTTGCAAAGACGCGTAGGTGTGCACGTGCCCTCTCTGACTTGCAGGGGTACATATTATCAGTGCACACATGCACATGCTCGCTGCTTTTCAGGAGACACCAGGCTGGCTAATAGAGGTGAGAGGTGCTCGACACGTCACCTCCCTCCATTGGAAAGTAAGTGGTGGTTTTAGAAGAGCACAGAGCTGGCTCCAGGAAGCCTAGGCAGGTGACCTTGGAAAAAATCACCTCCCTGAGCCTCAGTTCCTCCATCTGTAAAATGAAGGCGTGGGATCAGGTGATCTCTAAGGTCTCTCTTGGCACCAGAGGTCTGACACAGGGACACTGGGTGATCACATCATAAGAATGGGATTCCCCAGGCCGGGCGCAGTGGCTCACACCTGTAATCCCAGCACTTTGGGAGGCCGAGGCGGGTGGATCACCTGAAATCAGGAGTTCGAGACCAGCCTGGCTAACATGGTGAAACCCCGTCTCTACTAAAAACACAAAATTAGCTGGGCGTGGTGGCACGCGCCTGTAATCCCAGCTACTTGGGGGACTGAGGCAGGAGAATCGCTTGAACCCTAGAGGCAGAGGTTGCAGTGAGAGCCGAGATTGGGCCATTGCACTCCAGCCTCGGCAACACAATGAGACTCCATCTCCAAATTAAAAAAAAAAGAAAAGAAAAGAAAAGAAAAGAATGGGATTCCCCAGACTGACTGTGTGGGGAAGGGAAGGAGAGAAAGGTGAAAGGCAGCCGGCAGTGTCCCTGCACTCCATGCTCCCTGGGCCCTTCTGTCCGGAATTGGTGGGTTCTTGGTCTCACTGACTTCAAGAATGAAGCCGCGGACCCTCGCAGTGAGTGTTACAGCACTTAAGGTGGCGCGTCTGGAGTCTGTCCCTTCTGATGTTCAGATGTGTTCGGAGTTTCTTCCTTCTGGTGGGTTCCTTCGTAGTCTCGCTGGCTCAGGAGTGAAGCTGCAGACCTTCGCGGTGAGTGTTACAGCTCTTAAGGTAGCGCGTCTGGAGTTGTTCATTCCTCCCGGTGGGCTCGTGGTCTCGCTGGGCTCAAGAGTGAAGCTGCAGATCTTCCCGGTGAGTGTTACAGCTCATAAAAGCAGCGTGGACCCAAAGAGTGAGCAGTAGCAAGATTTATTGCAAAGAGCAAAAGAACAAAACTCCCACAGTGTGGAAGGGGACCCGAGCGCGTGGCCAATGCTGGCTCGGGCAGCCTGCTTTTATTCTCTTATCTGGCCCCACCCACATCCTGCTGATTGGTAGAGCCGAGTGGCCTGTTTTGACAGGGTGCTGATTGGTGCATTTACAATCCCTGAGCTAGATACAAAGGTTCTCCAAGTCCCCATCAGATTAGTTAGATACAGAGTGTAGACACAAAGGTTCTCCAAGGCCCTACCAGAGCAGCTAGATACAGAGTGTCGATTGGTGCACTCACAAACCTTGAGCTAAACACAGGGTGCTGATTGGTGTGTTTACAATCTCTGAGCTAGATATAAAGACTCTCCACGTCCCCACCAGACTCAGGAGCCCAGTTGGCTTCACCTAGTGGATCCCACACCGGGGCTGCAGGTGGAACTGCCTGCCAGTCCCGCGCCGTGCGCTCGCACTCCTCAGCCCTTGGGTGGTCGATGGGACTGGGCGCCGTGGAGCAGGGGGTGGTGCTCGTCGGGGAGGCTTGGGCCGCAGGGGAGCCCATGGAGTGGGTGGGAGGCTCAGGCATGGCGGGCTGCAGGTCCCGAGCCCTGCCCCGCGGGAAGGCAGCTAAGGCTCGGTGAGAAATCGAGCATAGTGCCGGTGGGCTGGCACTGCTGGGGGACCCAGTATACACTCCGCAGCCACTGGCCCGGGTGCTAAGTCCCTCATTACCCGGGCCGGCAGGGCTGGCTGGCTGCTCCGAGTGCGGGGCCGCCAAGCCCACGCCCACCCGGAACTCCAGCTGGCCTGCAAGCACCGCACGCAGCCCCGGTTCCTGCTGGCACCTCTCCCTCCACACCTCCCTGCAAGCTGAGGGAGTGGGCTCCAGCCTTGGCCAGCCCAGAAAGGGGCTCCCACAGTGCAGTGGTGGGCTGAAGGGCTCCTCAAATGCCGCCAAAGTGGGAGCCCAGGCAGAGGAGGTGCCAAGAGCAAGCGAGGGCTCTGAGGACTGCCAGCATGCTGTCACCTCTCACTTCCATCCTGTTAGTCCCTAGCGAGGCACCCGCCGAGAACCACCCCAGCGGCTGAAGAGACAGCCAGCAGATAGCCAGGCCCCCTGTCAGGTCTTTGCCTCGTTTTACTGTGTCTATTATAGATCCCCTGGGGTGTGGTGAGGAGGGGCCTGTGGTCAGCTGTCCCACTGCATTTCAGGCAGATTTCCTGAGGAGCAAGCCCTGGAGTCGGCTTCTAATTTCAGAGAAGAGAGAACAAATGGAGTCCAGTGAAGGGCTGCTCTTTCAAGAACATGAAAGCCAGCTGTTGTTTCTGCAGCCTGCAGACTGCCCCCCTCCCCTGGCAGCTGCTCCCCTGAGGAGGCCGGCACCCCTCACCCTGTCCTTAGAAGCCGGGTCCCAGAACGCCCTCTCAGTTCCAACCAGCAGCACTTCCGGCTGGGATTCTCCATCTTGGACTTGCTCCCGGGAATTTCTGGAAGCATCCAATGGTGCAAACAGATTGTTTTCATTATGATTATTCTGGGTTTAACCTACTGGCCTTGCATCACCAAGATTATGGGCCCGCTCTTAGCACTGCGTGAGGCCACGGGCCTTTCTTTCCTTCTGCTCACCACCTGAATTAGTCTTTATTTTCCTCAATCCAACCCTGGCCCCTGTCTTGAGAGGCCTCGAGCCTTCCACACACCCTCTTTGCCTCCTCTAGGCTATGTCTGAGGAAGTTGAAAGGCCTGGGGACGGCAGAGAGGCCTGCAAGGCCCTGCCCTCCTGCCCTAACCTGTGACCCTGATGAAATCCTCTCTCTTTCTCTCCAAGCCTCTTCCCAGAGGGCTTCCAGGGGCTCTGCCAACATTTACTTTGAATGTTTTTTACTGTGAAGATTTTGCTATTCAAAATTGTAATAAATACAACACACCCACACAAATGTGTTACGTATAAATTTTAGTATATTGAAAACTACCAACACATTAACTTGGGCCACTGCATTAATTTGTTTTTTCTTTTTTTTTGAGAAGAACTTAGAATAAAACTCCTATTTAATTAGAGGTGGTCCTGGGAACATCAGGAGAGCTGATTAAAAATAAAACTAGGGGCTGGGCGTGGTGGCTCATGCCTGTAATCTCAGCACTTTGGGAGGCCGAGGCGGACGGATCATGAAGTCAGGAGCTCGAGACCAGCCTGGCCAACATGGTGAAACCCCATCTCTACTAAAGATACAAAAAATTAGCCGGGCATGGTGGCAGGCGCCTGTAATCACAGCTACTCGGAAGGCTGAGGCAGGAGAATCGCTTGAACCTGGGAGGCGGAGGTTGCAGTGAGCCGAGATGGCGCCAGTGCACTCCAGCCTGGGTGACAGGGTGAGACTCCATCTCAAAAATTATAATAATAATAAAATAAAAATAAAACTAGGCCAGGCGCAGTGGCTCAGCCTGTAATCCCAGCACTTTGGGAGGCGGAGGCAGGTGAATCCCCTGAGGTTAGGAGTTTGAAACCAACCTGACCAACATGGTGAGACTTCATCTCTACTAAAAATACAAAAATTATCCGGGCATGATGGTGGTCACCTGTAATCCCAGCTACTTGGGAAGCTGAGACAGAAGAATTGCTTGAACCTAAGAGGCGGAGGTTGCAGTGAGCCGAGATCGCACCATTGCACTGCAGCCTGGGCTACAGAGTGAGACTCCATCTCAAAAATAAATAAATAAATAAATAATAAAAATAAAAGCATCTTACCAGTTGTAAGTACTTCACCATGCAAAACAGGATTTCTTGATATTGCACAATGGAGGTAGACAGCAGTGGTTCTCAAGGGGGCGATTTTGCTCCCATACCCCCACCCCCAGGGACATTTGAGTGTCTGGAGATGTCTTTTTGGTTTTCACAAGTGAAGTTGTTACTAATTGCATGAGGTGGGTAGAAACCAGGGTTGCTGCTACACATCCTTCAGGGCACAGAGCAGCCCCACGACAGAGAATTATCTGGACCCAATGGTAATAATGCCAAGGCTGAGTACCCTGATATACGGGGAGGCACCAGATGCCTGGGATTGGCACGAGACTCTGTTCATCAAAACTGCCTTAATAAGTCAAGGCGACAAATGGCAGCAAATAACGATATGTAATAAAACACTGTTTATATGGGATTCCAGGTAAGATTCCTTTAAAAAAATATCAGTAACTGAGAAAGTGTGACTGGCTGAGCCGGTTGCTATTTAAGGCACTCCTGACAGCCTGACCCCGCTGTGTGTCCACTCAGCCACTCCCTCGGCTGCAGGGGAGACACAGCCCCTTAGGGTGAGCCTTCCGCGTGGACAGGAGAAGTGGGTTTCTCCTATCACTAGAGTGTGCACTGCACAGGGGCAGAGGTTTTGGTCTGCTCTGTGCCTGGTCCAAAGCAGGCGCTCATTAAATACTCTGAATGGAAGCGAAACTTATTCCCAATGCTTCCAGGACCTGGAGGTTCTCCCTCCATTTGAACGGTGGGAAAGGGGTTAGGCTGTCCTGGGAAGCTCTCTCCTCTGCCACCCGGCTGCTCTTGGCCCAGCTGGGCACGTCAGCTGTGCACGGGAGACTTGCTGCTCGCAGGAACTTCTTGACATCACAGGCACCTTGCCTTCTCCAAGTCCTCTGGTCAGGGAGGGTCAGCATGGACACCTCCAGGAGTGCACCTTGAGGCCTCCCATTCATCTTTGAAGGCTCCTCCCAGAATCCCATGCACTGTGAAAATCCACTCCACACCTCAAGAGCCTCAGTCTGGTGGGCTTGGGGCTGGCGCTCAGGGGCACATTAGTCCACAGCGTCTAAAGGTAAGCAATAAAAATTTCTAAGTTGCCTTCCCTTTCCAGGGCACAGGACAGGGCCCTGGCAAGTCATGGACAGAATCTACCTGTTATTTTTGGAGGCTTCTAGGGTGACCGTCTTGACACAGCTGCCATGGTGACCATGCAGCGACCGCTTTCCCCCAGTGTGTGAAGCCCCTGCTAGGCACCAGTAGCACAACAGTCAATGCACTCATGGCTCACCCCACTGAAGTTCACCATTAACCATTGTAGGGAAGAGTCATAGAGTTCTAAGCCCCCAAAGGCAAGTATCCCAGCCCTGTAATGTTAGCCTCCTGGCAAAATTTGTTTCTTTATTCTTGATCATCCAGGAGCTGTTACCAGACAATTACCGGCATGGTGGCAACTGTCAGAGTGGTGGGCTTAGCTCATGGTCTTTACTCTGCTAGACCATGAGCTCTCTGAGGGCAAACTTTGTCCCATTGATCCCTGAACTCCAAGAGGGACCCTGTGAGTGTGTGTGGAAGGTCCTTGTACTGTGGTGCCAGGATGGCGGGTGCCCTAACAGATTCTGGCACTCCCCTACCCTGGCCAAGGGTGGCCGTCACCATGAAGGTGCACATGTTGGGCCACTCAGCTTTCCACCCTGGCCCCACCAGTCCCAGACCTCAGACACAGCGCTAATCTCTCCAAGTCTAGATTTCCTCAACTATCATATCACCCACCTCCTTTGTCAGCCATGAGGATTACACTGGATTATCTGTGTGAAGTGCTTAGAACAGTGCCAGGCACATAGTAAGTCCTCAGCAAATGCTAGACACCACCAGCGCTGCCTTCCTGCCACATCCAGCAGCCTTCAGGTCAGCATTGGCCACAGGAGGATACCTGTTTGTCCCCCAGTTAGGAGACCCTTTTATTCCTTTGAGTCCAGAGCCCTGACATGGTCTCTTAAAGGAGGAGCATGGAAGCATCCCCCCGTGGGAGAGAGCTGGTGCTGCTGAGTGGCCAGAACAAAGTCTCAAGCCACAATATCCAGAGACTCAGAGACTGGACAATCCGCCGCCTCCCCACACTGGCAGGTCTCCCCACTTCCTCACGGGTCATGCCTGGGAGTGTGGAACTGCTGTGGGCTCAGCCCTGACCTCTGACTTAGGAGAAGAGCCGCTCCTCAGTTGTCACCGCTGCTATTCAACTTGCAGAGATCTTGGGGGAGGGAAGAGGGGATATCCCTGCCAGCACATCCAAGAGGAAAGGGTGCTGTTTCCATTTCAGCAGGCCCTATTGTTTCAAAGGACACAATGCTTCCCCACTGTGGAAATGTGGACGTTTCCCACAACGGCAGGATTGGCTCAGAATTCCTCATGTCTTGCAGTTGAGGCTGGGCTAGCTGGGCAGTGTGTCTATAACAAAAGTCCTCACCAAATTTGCCATCTAGTGGAGCCTAAACATTACCTTCCAGTATCAAATGTGAGAATTTTGGTCCAAATATGGCAACTGAGCTTATTCACTTCCAGTGGGGCTCCTGTAGGACAAGAATAGGCTTCATCCAGCTGTTGGAGTCAGAAGAGCAGCCAAGAGGGCCCTCCTCCCCTTCAGGAGACTCCAAAGAGAGCGGCACCGCATGGTGGAGCCTAGAAGGAAGGAGACCAAGACTTTGGGTTTTCTTCAAGCTTGTGTCTTTCCCCACCACCAAGACGTGGGTGTGGAGAAGAAACTGAGGCCTGTTCTGGAGGCTTGCTTTGCTGCATCAGTGAGGCTGAGAGGAACTATTGTAGAGGTTATTGTAGGGTCTATCTTTGACATCTCCGTGCCTGCCCCTGAGAGGGACCGCCCCCTCCACTTAGCCTGATCCTCCCACAACCTTCCCCATCACCACCTTTCGGTGCTCAGAACGAAACCCTGGGGTTGCACTGATGCCTCTCTCACTCTCACACCCCTATCTCATCCATCAGCATCCTGCTGGCCCTTCCTGCAGCATCATCTCAGAACCGGCCCATCTCTCACCCCATCCACGGCGGCCTTCCCAGGCCAGGTACTTCTTCCCCTACCTGGGCTATTGCCATGGCCTCCTCCCTGGTCTGGTTAAAAGCAATCATTTTAACATGCAAGCCCAATGTCATCACTGGCCTAGAATACTCCAGAGTCCAGACAGCCCTTCCCATCTCACACAGGGAAAACTCCAAAGTCCTTTCTGTGGCCTGCACAATCTGCACCCCCATCCCCAGCAACCTGATCTAGGATCCCATATCATATCTCTGTCCCTCGCTTCTCCATCTCCAAATGCACTGGGCTCTGTCAGCCATGGGGCCTGTACTGCTGCCCCAGGCTCCACTCCCAGACATGGCATGGAACCCTTCCTCACTTCCTTCAAGTCCCCATTTAGGTAACCCCTCATCAGAGAGGAATTCCCTGAGCACCCAACAAAATTCCTGGTGCTCACTGCACAGCACACCCTGGCCTCTTGTACTATTCGCTCATAGCATTGCCAACCCACGAGCTGTGTGTCTATTGCTTGTTTATTGTTTGTCTCCCTAGAGTATCAGCGCCTTGAGGGCTGGACATTCTATGGTTCTTGGCTGTGTCCCCTGTGCTTAGCCATCCATGGAAGGAGCTCAAGCAATGCTTGTTGAAAACGTGATGATTAAATAAATGATGCTGAGACGTCAGCTACAGACACCCATGTTTCGGCTCTCCCGCTTCCAGCTTATTGGGTTGGGTACCACCAATCCCCACATAGGCCAGCAACAATGGCATGGTCTAGTGGGGAATGCTCAGCCCATGCAGATGGTGGGGATTCTCTGGACCAACCCCAGGTCTGCCTTTTAGCTCCCTCTCTCTCAGGAGTTTAGAGAGGACTAGCCAGGCAATAGCAAGAAAAAGAAAGCGTCCTTAGTTGCAGATGGGGGCTCACCATGGAGAGACCACAGGCTCCAGGACCGGGCCCCCAGGCCAACCCAGTTCTCTGGTTCCAGGTGCCTTTGGAAGCCATCAGACAACAAGTGAAGCACTGTTTTACACATTTAATATTGTGTCACTGGTGTGGATATTGGCACTGGGGTTGTAGTACTGTTGGGTTGCTGTGTGTGTGTAAATAGGAGGGTTCAGGGAAGTCCTGTGTGAGGTAGAGGAATGCCTTCAGCAGCCTTTGGTGGGGGTTGGGCTAGTCTGGGAAAGCATCCCAGAGAGGAGGGTCAAGGAACGTGCTCACAACTTCAATAGATGACAATGGACGTGAGAGGGTATTCTAGGGAGAATAAAACACAACAAGAAGCAACAGAACTGTTTCTTGGACAAGGGCTGGGAAACTGGAAAACAATTGCCCAGATTGGCCAGAGTGTAGGATTCACACTGTAAGGGCAGGGCAGGAAGAGATTCTGGAGCACCTACTATGTGCCAGGCCCTGTGCGAGGTGGTAGAGGGTGAATAAGGCCTGATATCCCCACCCCCACAGCCTGCACAGGGAAGTTGGTGTCAGCATCTCTCTCTCCTCCTCTCTCTCTTTTACACACACACACACACACACACACACACACACAGAGCGAAGACAATGAAATGGTTGAGTGGCCTCTGTCAAGTCTTTGAAACTGTTTCTCCCAACAGAATACAAGTAGTGGAGCTACAAGACCCACAGGGCAGCTCACAGGCTGCACCAGCTCCTGTTCTGCACTTTCCCAGGGCCATCTCTCACCTTGAAACCAATCCCTTCAGGGGGGTCCTTGTCCCTTCCTAGAAAGCACCCAACTACTTCCTCTCATCAGAAATGTTTAGAGACTCTCAGATATGTTGTTAGTGGGAAAAGCAGGGTGAGGAACAGTGTGTGAGCAGCCTGGTACTTTGTGCAATGTTAAAAGTCCCTGCAACAATGACATGTGGCTTTGCTCTGGAAGGAAAAAAGATATGTGGGGTGGGGACGAATGGATATTGGATTCTACTGTGTTTTATTACACACATTTGGAACTGTGTAGCAGGCTTATGTTTTATTTAATTGAAATAAGCAATTCATTAATTTTTTAAAGTTTTTTTTCAATTCTCAGGCTATGAGGAGCCAGACTGTTTGTTTCATGAGCAAGTCCTCAAGTGTGGTGGCCCACAGGCCTTCCTTACCATTGGGCATCTGCCAAGTGCTGCAGCCCCAGGCACACCACGGCTGCAGCCAACCATGCACAGAGCATGTGGGCTGGAAGGCACATGGCTGCCCATGGAGGCCGGAGCCTGGACAGCCAGGCTGTATCTGGGCCCCTCTGGCAGTTGCAGCCCAAGTGGGCTGAAGTCTATACATCTGCTCAGACCTCCTGCCATTCTCTTGGAGAATCAGGGGCCCAGGAGAGGAAGTCTCATTTTCCATACCTCAGCCTGGTGCCTACCCTCAGCTGTATTAGAGTGAAAACAGGCAGGGCCTGGGGCTGGGAGCAGACATCCTGCCACACCTGGGAACATCCCTACCAGGGCTGCCCCAGCGGGAAGGCTTCATTCACTAGAGGAAATTGGGTGCTATTAGGTGCCAGGGGGGGTGCCAGGCCACTAAAAGTGGCTGAACATTCTCCCAGAGGGATAATGGAACACAATGCACTTGAAACTGCGGGGAGAAAAATGCAACGGTGTTTGATTGGATCAAAAGGAGCATGGGATGAGTAACCAGTCACAGGAGACTACACTCACTTCCCATTGACAGACTGCCCTACGAGGGAAGGAGTCCAGAGCTTTGAAGGATTTGTTCAGCTATTTTGAACGTGAAGTTATAATTTCAGAGGCAAGTAATGGGATTTGGGATGTATGACTCAAGTTATAAATCTATTGGGGCTAAAACCTCAAGGAGCCTGAAGAGCCATGCCTGAGACTGTTCCTTGGCTTCTAGCGGGAACCAAAGAGCCAGAGGCCGAGAAAGATCCTCGCCAGTTCAGCAGCCCTCCAACATTGGAAAGGGCGGGTGGATCCAAGCACAAGCCCCACTTTCTGGCTGAGTAGCCTACTCCTTGGCAATCTTGGGGTATCCCACAATCTCTGAAAGGACATTTTTCTATCACGAAAATTTTGAAATAATTGGAGCTGCAAGATGCCATCAGTGACAAATCTGGCATGAAAACTCCTGCCATGAGTCCTAAAGGTCAGGCTGCCAAATACCAGTGTTCTCACTCACTTGGTCAGTATTAAACAATGACTAACCCCAATGAATAGAGATGATTAGATCAGTTTCAGGGGACTGCTTTTTATTACATTAAAACCCAATTTCAGAATAGCTAATAAGCCAACTATACACCTCACTATAGTTATCAATAAAACATTAACCTCAACCAATCTTGGACAGGGAAGAGGGTATTCAGTTACAGTTGATACCAAAGGCCAAAAGCCTTGTCAAAAACCTTTCCCAGCCACAGACTGGGAGAAAGGAGCCAGGTGCCCCTGTTTTCCCTGATGGTTCATCCTTCCAAGAGGGCCCTGTTTTCACTTTAAGACATTTCTGGTCCCTTCCGTGACAGAAGTTATGCTTGTTTTGTCCTGCCATGTGACCTTTTGAGAACAGTGGGGTGGAGCTGTCTCCAACCTCTGGCAGGAGTATCAGGGGCCCCTTGACCCAGGCCTGTCTTCCCAATAGGGTGATGAAGTGTCCCAGTTGACCTAGGACTAAGGGGACCCCGGGGTGTGGGACTACCAGAACTAAAACCAGAAAAGTTCAGGACAAACTGGGACAAGTTGCTCAACCTACTTCCTAATCACTCAGTCCTATCATAGCTGCCTCCTCCCCTTGGATCCACGAGGACTGGGACTGAGGAGGGACAGTGCGGTGTCTACAAGAATAAGTCAAACAATTTCTCCCACGTGATGTTCCTCTTGCCCCAGACTCTGTGCCAAGGACTTTTCATGCATTATCTCATCTCACACTTTCCACAAATGCTTTCCCCATGAGTCCCAGAGAAGTTAAGCAACTTGTCCATTGTTACTCAGCCACCAGGTGAGAGGCAGGGGACACAGGTCAATGTGATGTCAAAGCCTCACACTTCACCCAGGAGCCATACAAATATAAACCAAGCAATCATTCTACATTTTCAGATACTAGTTGTCTTTAAAAATCTTTAAAACTTTTTAAAAAATCTTTAAAATTTGTCTTTAAAATTTTTGATTGAGAAACCCTAAAAGTTTTTTTTTTGAAAAGCATTGTACTTGCTCAAAATTACACGCAAAGTATTTTATCACAGTCTAAATTGCTCCAAATATACAATTTCTGATATATGGTAAACATTAAATGAAATTGTCACATTGATCTTTAAAGTATATCCAAAGTTGGGAATGCAAAAATGGTCTAAACTCTATGGAGGTGAATTTGGTAACATCTAACAAAATTACAGAAGCATTTTCCCCTTTACCCAGAAATTCCTGTTTCTAGGAAACTGTTACAAGGATACACTGGCAAATAATGTAAAATGACACATCATAAGGCTATTTACTGAAGCACTGTAATAGCAAAAGATTGGTAATACACATTTTGAGTGATAGGAGACTGTCTTAGTAAATCACAGCATGTTCACACAATGGAGTGCTATGCAGCTTAAAAAGGAATAAGGAGAATTGCTGTATATGTTTTTGGTATAATCTTCAGGGCATATATTATTAAATGAAAAAAGCAAGGTGTAGAATCATGTGTGTAGTATGCTATCTTTTATGTAAGGGCTGAGGGAATATAAAGATTCATATTTGCCTATATTTTAAAATGAAAGAAATAATATTTGAAGAGTAAATGAAAATGGTTTCCCATATGGGAAGGGAGTGTAAAGAAATTAGGAGAAGAGAATGGAAGCTGAATTTCTCTGGCTGTACCTTGCTTTATAGTTTTGACTTTAGAATCATATAAATATTTTACAGATAATTAAGCAAACTTAAAGCAAAAGAAAATATCCCTAAAAATCAAACACAAAACAAAACAAATGAACCTAACTGGATATCAAGTTGGTGGCTTAACCTTACAGAGAATTATTAAAGTGATTTTAAAATACAATAATTTGGTGAATATTCCAAATAAGACATATAGTAAATGAACTGCAAAGAAATCTTAAATTGATTACTTCATCATATTGTGGTACTAATGTTAGTAATGTTATGTTGAAACTATTATATATTAGGATAAAATGAATAATTATGTTAGTAAAAATCAAAATGTTCAATGTAAAAGAGATACAAGTACAAAATTTAAAAAGTTAAGTCAAATACCATAATCTAAATTTTTAATCTAAAATATTAATATTGACTCACAAAATATTTTTATATTTCAAAACAAGTATCTATTTCCTCACTCAGTCTTCTGAAAAGACCTGGAATCAATGACCAACCCAACAGCAATGAGCACCCTTAGCTCCCAGATTATGGTCTCTAAATCTCATCTCCCAAGGAAAGATTCCTTGAGAAAATGTCTGAAGGTCTGAAGCAGAAAATGTACAGGGGAAGCCCACAGCACTTCCTCAAACTAAAAGGCAAGGATGTTATCCAAGACTACTGAGGTCATGTCAAAAGATCACAGGAGCCAAGTCAAAGTGGCTCCACTGGCCAGAGATGGGACAATTTGAGTATTGAAAAGAATAATGACCACAATGAAGGGAAATATATCAAATATATTTTGAAACAACTGAGTCCATACACAATAATATGAAAAAACAAAACACTGTTAGTCTTATGCCGTGGGCCCTGAGCACCCTTTCACGCATGCTCAGTATGTAAAGAATGCAAGGCCTTGTCCACTATTTACCCAGGCCATTTAGCCATCTATCAGGGTTATGTTTGCAGACAGTAGCCTTGAGGAATGAGCAATGTCACCCTGCAGGACAAAGGGGAATCTCTCCCATCTCCCAAGCTCAGTGTTTCTCAGCTGCTATGCAACCCTGCTTCTTGTACAGCATCTACCTGGGCCATGCCACGTTGCCCTTGTGGAGCTGGGAAACAGGGGAATTGATGTAAATATGAAGTTCATGCTGCTTGCTGTGCTATGAGTAATAAAGTTCTTTGTCTCTGATCCAGGAATTGCAAGTCTTCTGCTGACATCCATAAAACTGGCAGGATAACTTGGTGGCTTTTAGAAAGAAAAGATCCCAGATACTGACACCCATCTCAATGTCACCTTTGACAATTATTAGGACACCAGCTCATTATTTTGAAAACTGGTAAAAGGCAAGTATTTCTCTTCAATTCCTGCACAATCTATATTTCGGGGTAACCAAATAGTTGATGTAGAAAAGTCCTTTACAGAAGAATTTTAGCTAATAAATTCAGGAGTGGATAGATTTTGAAAATCACCATTTTACATAACCTAATATAATAATAGATCTATAATAATAGGCAATGCTTATTAATGGCCATCTTTTAAAACTACCAGCTGGAATGTTGATGAAAAACTCTACAAGGAATGCCTAACAAAAACAGAAACAACAGACATTATGTGACTACCAGTATGATAAAATAAGAATGAAATCATGCCATTGTTGAGATATCCTTATAGAAACTTTATCATGAATTTGATTAGGCCTCCAGATCTAACTACCACTGACAAGAAAGACAGGGAATAGAGGAACATGTTAAAGACTCGAAGAGGGAGGTAATCAACAAACTCCAGAATATGGAAAATTCTACAGCAGTGGTCCCCAACCCCTGGGCCTGTTAGGAACCAGGCTGCACAGCAGGAGGTGAGTGGCTGGTGAGTAAGTGAAGCTTCATCTGTACTTACAGCCACTCCCCATCACTCACATTACCACTGCAATGATCAGCAGCAGCATTAGATTCTTATAGGAGCATGAACCCTATTGTGAACTGCGCATACAAGGGATCTAGGTTGTGTGCTCTTATGAGAATCTAATGCCTGATGGTATGTCACTGTCTCCCATCACCCCCAGATGGGATTGTCTAGTCGTAGGAAAACAAGCTCAGAGCTCCTGCTGATTCTACAACATTATGGTGAGCTGTATAATTATTTAATTATATATTATAATGTAATAATAGAAATAAAGTGCACAATAAATGTAATGTGCTTGAATCATCCCAAAACCATCCCACCCCTCCTGCCTCCAGGTCTGTGGAAAAATTGTCTTCCATGAAACCGGTCCTTGCTGCCAAAAAGGTTGGGGACCACTCTTCTACAGGACAGACAACTTGGTTTCTTCAACAAATAAGTCTGGGGGACCCTCATCAGTACTCAAGGCCTGAGCAGGTTCTGGAGCTCAGCACCCTGAGGGTTGGCCCTAAGAGCCCCATGACTTGTAGGAAGCTACTTGCTAGTGTTTGAGGGTTTCCAACCCTTCCTGATAACAGGGCGATAGACCCCTTTCCCAGGACTCCAGTTCCCACAAAGGAAAAAACAAAAAGTGGGAGTCTTAAAGAAACTTAAGAAAAATGTCAGCCAAATGCAATCAATGTGTGAGCTGTGTTTGGATCCTGATTTAAACAAACCAACTACAAATGGCCATCAGTGAGGCAACTAGGGAATTTAAACTAGAGATATTTGATGATATTGAGGAATGATTATTAACTTTCAGGTGTTATAACAGCATGTGGTTATGTTTTTGAAAAAAGAGTTCTTACTTCTTAGAGGTACTGAAGTATTTACAGATGAAGTGATATGTGTCTGGAATTTGCTTTAAGTAATCCAGTGGCCAGAGGCAAAGGAAGAAGTGGGAGAGGGAACTGGAGATGAAACAAGATTGATCATATGTTAAAAATGTTTAAAGCTGGTCATGGACACATGGGAGATTTTCTCGATTATTTTCTCTACTTTTGTGATTGTTTGAAAATTTCCATAGTAAAAAGATATTTTTAAACAAATTGGTACTATTCCTTAGCTCCTTAAGTAATGCACCTAATGAAATCCACGTACATGGTAATTATGTAGTTGGCAGAACGAAAACAGTACATCAAATCAGAGAAGAAGGCATTAATCCTATTGAAGCAAAGCTGACTTTCTAAAGATTCTGGGCATTCCATTCCTAAATAGCATTTGGGAACTTTTTGTCCCATGCCCATACCTAAGTAGATGGTCTGCTTTTAATTTACATTTTGGAAACTGTTTGCATAAAGGGAAGGTTAAAATATTACTACTGTCAATCATATGAAAGACAACAGATATTTGGATGTCAAAAGAGTTGATTCACTTGAAAAGATTGGAACTCACTAGACAGGGGCTAAGCGGGAGTATGGCCTTTCAGGCACTATCTCAGCTTCCTCTGCCCCGTCTCTGAATCCACTGGGTGCCATCACTCTGCCTCCCAGCCTGCACTGTGAACTTGCCATTGAGCCCTCTGGGGCCAGCATGCTCATGTCAGCCTTCCTTCTCTCCTCTGCTGGTTTGCCTTTCTCTCTCCAGCTCCTGTCTCAGCCTGCAGCCATGGCATGTGGCACAGTGTGGGAAGGGGCCAGACTCCTGACCCTGCTGTAAATCTCCCTGCGAGGAAGGGCTCAAGTTCTCACTTTCCCTTCTCTGGGTCTACAGGTAGCCTTCCTTCACCAGCCCTAGCCAGGAAGGTAGGCAGCCTCCTGTGCCCTCCTGGCCTCCTGGGAAGCTGGCCAGGCTGGAACCCACCACCTAGGTCCTCCCCACCCTTTGTAGGGTGCTGCCCTGGATGGAAGGTGAGTGAGGAGGTGCACACAGAATCAGAGGGGCAGAGTAGAAGGCTAGCAGAAGAGAGCATGTGGTGGAACCAAAAGGATGGGCTTATATACCCCCAAAGTAGGCACAGGCACAGTCTGCACACACTTGAAGAATGAAAAGGTGAGTGAGTCCAAAATATGGTCAGCCTGATGAGAGGGAGAGGCAGCCTGGGAAGGGAGTCAGCCAGTTACTGATTCAATCTTCTAGAAAATAGAGGCTGTGAGCCAGACCCTGGCTGAGCAGCTGGGGTCTGCAGTGCTTGGGACATGACCCTACAGCTGAAGGCTCCCTATTTAGATGTCACAGCTTGATACCTAAAGGACTGTCATCAGAGCATTGGCCTGGGAAATCCTAATTGGGGTTCAGGGCCTGGGGGACCCTCATCAGTGCTCGGGGCCTGAGAGAGCAGGTTCTGGAGCTCAGCACCCCTGAGGGTTGGCCCTAAGAACTTCGTGACTTGTAGCTACTTGTTAGTGTTTGAGGGTTTCCAATCCTTCCTGATAACAGGGCCATAGACCCTTTTCCCAGGACTCCAGTTCCCAAACAGGAAAGGTTGGCTGCCAATGTAGTGAGATCAGGCCAGGTAAGAGGAAAGGAAAGGCCTCCCCAGGACTCTTGCCTATAACCAGCAGCTGAGCCAGCCTCACCCTGCAGAGAGAAGCACCCCCCAGGTGAGGGACTGTGAGTGCAAAAGTTGGCAAAGCACTGCCCTAAGTGGCTCTGATGCCCCTGTTCCCTGACCTCCTCAGCTGGGCTCCCTAAGCTGTGGCAGCATGAACAAGGAGAGTGAGGGCCAGAGGACACTAGGTCCCCAGGAGGAGCCCCTGTGAGTCCAGCCAACCCAACACATCCCACTCAGAGGCAAACAGAACCCGACATGAACTCCTAGTATCTCTTTGACCTCACCCCGCTTCTGGTTTCTCTAGGGCAGGGTGGGGACATAGCCCAGGATGTCAGATTTAAGAACAGGCCACGCTAAAGCGCAAACGTTTTGATCAGACTGGCAAATGTGCATGCTGTGGCCCGCACTGGCCCTGCGGACCTGCCTTCCTCTGCCCCATTGGATCCTGCACATAGTCTGCCATGACCACTCAACCGTTTGTCATCCATAAGAGTGTGTCACATGTGTCTCATCATGAGTTCCTTGACTCAGCGGCAGCACAGGGCCTGCCACAGAGGCACAAATGAGAGAAGTTGAGTCAATAAGAGGGAGAGAGGAGTGGACGATGCTCGTAGCCTTGGGAGCCCTCTGGGAAGTGCCCTGCTTATTTGGCCCTTGGCTGTATAGCTGCAAAGGAAGGTGGCATTTGGCCGAGCCCAGAGGGTTGCAAAGCCAGACTTCCCAGGAGAAAAGTTCCAAGGGCTGAAATTCCTCAGTCCAAGAAGCAGAGGCTACCCAGGGACTGGAATCAGCTTTCCCAGGATGTGCTCAGCTTCCATCCAGATGTGTGATGAGCAAGGGCCTCAGATGTGCCTTGGCTCTCTAGATGACTCATGCAGCCAGAGTGGGCATCGGAAGTCCACTGAGCAGAGGCCCCATTGGCTCAGGCTCCTCTACCTGCCCTGGGGATTCCATTTCAGAACCTCCTGCAGGGTCAGGAAGCATGTGGCAGAGGGCAGGGTGGGAGCAGCAGGACTTTATACCATACAACCTGAGTGGCACACTGGAATCACATTTTTCAAAATATTAATATTCTAGTCCCACCCCAGACCAATTGAATCAGAAGCAGTGGGGTGGGGCCCAGGTGTTGATAATTTTTTGAAGTTTGCCAAGGGATTACAGTGTGCAGCCGAGACAGAGAATCCCTGGCCTAGCTCTAATTGGCTCTAACTTCTCATGAAATAAAATGCAAAAAAGTAGTGAGAAGGAGGTGCTTGGAGGTGAGCCTCTGGCCATGGCATCTATGGCGACCTGACTTAAGCTTCATTGTCATCTCTCCTGGACCATGCGTTACAGCATTACCTGCCAACTGGTCCTTGTCCCCAAGATAAAATGCAAACTCCTGAGCCTGGCACACAACAGAATGCCCACTGCCCAGAAAACAACCTTGAGTCATGCAGGGTTTGTTCTGGGAGTACTGCTGGGTCTTGGCTCCTAATGGTGTCAGAGGAGAGGAGAGAGAGTGGATGGCAGGGAGTAGACTGCAAAGGTAAGAATGCAGGCTTTGGGATCAGTTTGGTTTCAAATCAGACACTATGACCTTGAAAAAATAACCTCCCTGAGCCTCTTTTTCATCTGTAAACTGAGGACAATGATTCTGGCTGCCTCAGACATTGAAGGTGAGAGATTTAAGGAGGAGTTCTCAGTTCTGCCTGGTAGCAGGAAGGGCTTGATGAAGGGGTACTGCCATTAACGTTAATGTGCGCCCAAACATGTTACTTGCCACAATGGCGAGCTCTCTGGGGGAAAAGTGGTGTTGGCCTGATTCAGTCTGCCTTCCCTGTGAGTGGCCAACAGAGTTTTGATTCCCACGAGGCTTACGGTGAAGGTGGTACAGCTCACCTGAAGAGGTTTGCTTGCCATAAAACTGCCCCACCTGATTCCACTTAAGGCTGAGTAAGACGTCTGCCTGGGTAAGGAAAAGTATGGGGACATTTATGGAACCCACTGAGTCATAGCCTGGGCTTTTGCAACACCTGGGACTTAGAGGCTGCCAGGGTACCACTACAAATGTCACCTTCCCATCCTCAGGTGTGTCAGAGGGCTCGAAGGTAGATCCTGAAGTTTTGTGGGAAAAGCTCATGCTTTGAAGGCTGCCAGATCCGTGCGCAAATTCAGGCTTGGCTTCTTCCTAGCTCTGTGGCCTGGAACAAAACTGAACACTTCTGAGCCTCAGTTTGCCCATCTCTAAAGTGGAGGTAATAATACCAACCTCACAGAGCGGCACTGATGACAAGGGATCACACATATGATGCACCCAGCATGGCACAGGGCATACAATGGATGCTCAACTCCCACCAGGACTCCTTTCCTTCCACCTGTGCTGGGAATAAGAACCACAGTTCTTGGCCAGACTGCTAGCCAAGGATGCTGACTCACATAGGATGGCCATGTGGTGTAGGTGTGGTAAGAAGTGGGTGACAGTGCTCAGCTTATCAGAACTGCTGGAAAGCAAACCCTTTGAGTTTCTGACTTCCACCCCTAAAGAAATGAATGAAGTCTGACGCAACGTTTATTCTTCAGAAATTGGGTTATGGCCTTCCTGAGAAGATGTCCTGATTGCCTGCCACAACCCCAGAGTGAGGTGGGCGAGTGCCCACCAAGGGCCTGCCGCTCTAATGTTTGCCCCATGGCCGTTTGCATGTCTGTCTCCCCACTACGTGGTGAGTGCCATGAGGACAGGGCTGTGTCTCATTCATCATGGTGTGCCTGGAACCCAGCACAAGGGATCTGCCAGTGTAGCCTCTGGGCCCCCAAACATAGAGTGAAACATTCAAATACCAGGATGGAGCCTGTCCTCCAGATGGCACAGGCAGACACCCTCAGCTCTGCTAGCCAAGGACCATATAGAGTTGACCCTCCATCAAGAAATCAGTCAATTTGGTTGCTGGGCAGACAGGCCTTGTTAGGGTCGCCCCAGCCTCCCCAGCTTGCTGACCTGCCTGTGAGGACAGTCTGTGTGCCCAGCACCCCTTTGAGACTGGCCTGTGTGCAGTGGCAAGGCCCTGTCGTCTCAGAGAAGGAACAGGAGTTTGGGCTGCGCAAGAACACACTTCCTGGAGGGGAGGGCAACCTTGCAATGGGAGAGAGCAGACACCCTTACCTGTTCCCAACAACTCATATAAGGCTTCTTTCTGGCTGAGCTACTGCACTCCCTGTAGCCTACTCCCCGCATAGGAAAGTGTCCTTGAGTCTCCCCAGCTTGGACAAGCAGGCTCTTGTAAGGTCTTTGACTATTACTCTGAATGAAATGAGAACCACTGGAAGGCTTTGAACTGCAGAGTGATATGTTCTGTCTCAGTTTTAACAGGATCTGTCTGGCTGCTCTGTTGAGAATAAACTGAAGAGTAACAGGCTGGAAGTGTGAGACCACTTAGGGGGTTACTTGATACTGACAGTGTGCATTTCACATGAACCAAGGCTTAATCCTCAGCCCAAAAATCTATGAAGTAGGTATAATTATAATCAATCTTTTTTTACACATCAGAAAACTGAATCAAAGAGGTTAGGAAACTCCCCAAATATAAACAGCCAGTAACTGGTAGAGTCAAGATTTGGACCCAGGCATTCTGGCTCTAGAGTCCATGTATTTAATCAGTTCACTATATAGCATGTGTAAGAGGTCATCTGACTCTAGAGATATTTCAAGGGAAGAATTAATATGATCAAATAATAATGTGGTATAAGGTATCAGGAAAGAAACCAAGAATGATCTTAAGGTGTACTTCTCACCACTTCTGTTCAATATAATACTGGTGGTACTAGCCTGGGCAATATGGCAAGAAAAAGAAATAAAAGGGTAAAGATTAGAAAGGAAGAAGTAAAACTATCTTTATTTGCAGACAACACGCTCATGTACACTGAAAACCCTAAGGGATCTATAAAAACAGTTGCTGGAAGTAATAAGAGAACTCAGAAAGGTTGCAGGTTACAGAATGAGTATATATAAAATATATATATTTTATTTCTATATACCAGTAATGAATAATTGGAAAATGAGATTTTTTGAAAAAAACAATTAGATAGAATCAAGAAATATGAAATGCTTAGAGATAAATTTAACAAAGTACGTAACAAAGTATGTGCAAGCCTTGAAAACTAGAAAACATTATTTTTTTTTTGATACAACTTATTTTATTATTTTATTTTTTTTGGAAGGTTTTTTTTTTATTACTATTATTATTATACTTTAAGCTTTAGGGTACATGTGCACAATGTGCAGGTTAGTTACATATGTATACATGTGCCATGCTGGTGCGCTGCACCCACTAACTCGTCATCTAGCATTAGGTATATCTCCCAATGCTATCCCTCCCCCCTTAGCAAACATTATTAACAGAACCTAAAGAAACAAAAAGATATATCACTTTCATGGATTGGAAGACTATATTTTTAAGATGTTAATTCTCACCCAGTTTTTTCTATGCAACGCCAATCAAAATTCCAGCTGGTTTTTCTTATAAGAGTAGGCAAACTAACATTAAAATGTATACAGAAATGCTAAAGACCTATACAATCTTGAAATAGAATATATTTGGTGAACTTACACTATATTTGATTTTCAGATGTACCAGAAAGCTATAGTAATCAAGATAGTGTGGTATAGGCATAAGATCAAAGAAACAGATTAGATAGTCCAGAAACAAAACTAAACATATGGTCAACTGATACTCAACAAAGATGCAAAAATAACTCAATGGGAAAAAGGATAACATCTTTTCAACAAATGATTCAGGAAGAACTGAATATTTGTAAAGAAAAATTTTAAGGAATCTCAATTCTTACCTCATACCATACACAAAAACTAACTTGAAACGGAGCATATACCCAAAGGTAAAAACAAAAACTATAAAGTTTATAGAGGAAAATATAGGAGTAGATATTTGTAAACTTAGGGCAGGCCATGATTTTTCAGGACATAAAAGGTACTGACCATAACAGAAAAACTATCACTTAGATTTTATCAAAATTAAAAACTTCTCTTCAAAAGACATGTTTGACAAAAGGAAAAAACAAGCCACAAGCCAAGAGAAAATATTTACAATACCTAAAATAGGCAAAGGGTTTGTATACAAAATATATAAATAACTCTTACAACTCAATGATAAGAATGATAAACAACCTATTTTTAATGGGCAAAAGATTTGAACAGATACTTTACAAAATAAAATGTACCAGTGACCAGTAAGCACATGAAAAGATACTCAACATCATCAGTAATCAGGGAAATATGAATTAAGACCACAACCGGATACCACTAAACATCCAATGGAATCATTAACATTTAAAAACTAATAACACCGAAGGTTGGCAAGAATATGGAGCAAACAGAACTCTCATACATTGTGCAAGTGTAAAATGATAAAACAGTCTACACATTTCTTATAAAGTTAAACACATAGTAGCCATATGACTCAACAATTCCACTCCTAGGTTTTGAGAAAAAGGAAAACATGTTCACAGAAAGACTTGTACACAAATATTTATAAGATTAGAAAGGGAGAAGTAAAACTAGTTTTATTCATAATAGCCCCCAAACTGAAAGCAACACAGATATACCTCAGTAGATAAATGAAGAAACAAAGTATAGTATGTGCCTACCACGGAATATTACTTAGCAACCAAAATGAACCAACTAACAATTCTCTACAACAGTATGGTCAGCAAAAGAGCCAGAGGGAAAAGAATACAGACTGTCTGATTTCATTCATATGGACTCCTAGAAAGGACAAAATTAACTTACAGTCACAGAAAGCAGATCAGCAGTTGCCTGTGACTGGAGCTGGGGAGCAACTGGCTGCAAAGGAATCTGAGGGAACTTTCTGGGGGTGAGGGAAATCTTCTCAGTGTTGATTTGGGTTGTGGTTATCCAAGTGTATACAGTTTTTAAAAATTCATCAAAATGTACACTTAAAATAGGTGCATTTTATTATATGTATATCATAAACGCATTGTTAGGTGATCTCATCATTAGGCTGATCTCACACTAGGGTCTATGGAATAGCCTATCACTTCTAGGCTACAAACCTGTACAGCATGTTACTGCGCTGAATACTGTAGGCCAGCGGTCCCCTTCCATGTACTAGCGGCAGAGGGATGGTTTCTGGATGAAACCGTTCCACCTCAGATCATCAGGCATTAGTTAGAGTCTCATAAGGAGCATGCAACCTAGATCCCTCGCGTGCACAGTTCACAACAGGGATTGCACTCCTATGAGAATCTAATGCCTCTGCTAATCTGACAGGAGGCGGAGCTCAGGTGTAATGCTCCCTCGCCTGCTGCTCACCACCTGCTCTGTGGCCCTGTTCCTAATAAGCCACCACAGACCGGTAAGGTCCGTGGCCCGGGGGACCCTGCTATAGGCAATTGTAATGCTATGCTAAGTATATGTATATCTAAACATAAAAAGGTACAGTAAAAATGCAGTGTAAGAGATAAAAACTGGTATACCTTTGTATACTTGGTATACCTTTGTAGGGTACTTACCATCAACGGAGCTTGCAGGACTAGAAGTTTCTCTGGGTGAGTCAATGAGTGAGTGGTGAGTGAATGTGAAGGCCTTGGATGTGACGGTACACTACAGTAGATATACACTTAGGCTACACAAAATTTATTTTAAAAATATTTTTCTTTCTTCAATAATAAATTATCCTTAGCTGACTGTAACTTTTTTTTTTTTTTTTTGAGACGGAGTCTTACTGTTGCCCAGGCTGGAGTGCAGTGGCACGATCTCGGCTCACTGCAAGCTCCGCCTCCCGGGTTCACGCCATTCTCCTGCCTCAGCCTCCCAAGTAGCTAGGACTACAGGTGCCCGCCACCACGCCTGGCTGTTTTGTATTTTTAGTAGAGACGGGATTTCACCGTGTTAGCCAGGACGGTCTTGATCTCCTGACCTTGTGATCCACCCACCTCGGCCTCCCAAAGTGCTGGGATTATAGGCGTGAGCCACTGTGCCTGGCCTACTTTAAAACTTTTAAATTTTTTTAACTCTTTGACTCTTTTGTGATTACACTTAGTTTAAAACACAAACACTTTGTACATCTGTAAAACATATTTTCCTTCTTTATACCCTTATTCTACAAGCTTTTTTTTATTTTAAAAATTTATGTTTTGTTTTTACTTTTTAAACATTGTTGTTAAAAATGAAGATACAAACTCACATATTGGCCTAGGCCTGCACAGATGCTACATACAGTAGGTGTTATTATATTAGCAAAACAGAAGCCCCATGTAGCTGTGCTCGGACCTGTTCTCTGTTCTGGATCTGACCTAATGAGCACACGCATGTCCCTGGCTTCTGCCCTCCTGTTCTGCTGTTCCTGACATTCTCTGGCTGTGGAAGGCAAGGGCGGCCGCCAGCCCCCGGGTGAGGGTATGCTGTTTGTCTCTCTGTGGCTGACTAATGGACAGGGATGTGGGATGTCTAACTAGAGTGCAGCCCAAAGAGGCTTGGCCAACAGGCTCCTGATGTAATCTCCACTGCCATTCTTCTCAGGGAATGTCTAAGATTCTTCAGATGGGAGTGCATAACACCCAGGACTTCCCCTTTGGATATACTGTCTGTCCCAACATCCGAGGCCTCTCCAGAAGCAGAGCTCCTGTCCTTTGCCCTATAAGCGGTAAGTATGATTTTTTTAGTACACAGAGATAACAGTGGGCAGGGAATAATGACCCTCAGTTATGCTCCCGGTCTAGACTGCATTCCCAGGAAGGAGGAGGAGGCCAGGGAGGGTTACAGATGCAACAAGTGGGGTGGAGCCATAGAGGTCATCTGGCCCTGAGTTTTCCAAGTGTGATACATGAGATCATTGTGGATAGTATAGGATTCATTCTGTTATTTTAAATATGTTTGTTTATTTTTGTAGATACTCTGTTTATGTCTGGTTTTCCATTTATCATAGTCATACATGAAGTTTTCTTTTTAATAGGCCTTTTTAAAGAAGAGTGTTAAGCAAATAATGGAACCAATTCTATGCAAATGTAGCAAAAATCACAGATAGTATGCAAACAACTGAAATTTAGAGAACATTGATAGAACAACTCCCCATCTGTCAGATGAGGGCATGGGGGCTTCCCAAGATCACACGGCTGTCTTTTTTTTTTTTCTTTTTCGGCTTCAACATTTATTTCTCACAGTTCTAGAGACTGGAAAGCTCAAGATCGAGGTGCCAGCAGACCCAGTGTCTGGCCTGGGCTCTCTTCCTGGAATTTGGTCAGCTGCCTTTTTTTTTTTTTTTTTTTTTTTTTTTTTTTTTTTTGAGACGGAGTCTTGCTCTGTCACCCAGGCTGGAGTGCAGTGGCACAATCTCGGCTCAATGCAGCCTCTGCCCCCTAAGAATCCAGCAATTCTCCTGCCTCAGCCTTCTGGGTAGCTGGGATTACGGGTGCACACCACCACGCCCGGTTACTTTTTGTATTTTTAGTAGAGACGGGGTTTCACCATGTTGGCCAGGCTGGTCTCAAACTCCTGACCTCAGGTGATCCGCCTGCCTCTGCCTCCCAAAATGCTGGGATTACAGGCATGAGCCACCGTGCCTGGCTGGTCAGCTGCCTTTTTGCTGTTAGTGCAAACCCAGAGGCACCTTGGAGCCCTGATGCATAAAGGCAGTAGGCAAAGAGGACCTGAGAGGCAGTGCTGAGCTGAGCAAGGGTGTAAGAGGAGGAGCCCAGACCCAACTGGGCTCTGTCAATGTCAGGGCTACCTCCAAGACCCCCAGAGCATCTCTCAGGTTGCCTGGCCCCTTTGCCTTGGCACCCTGGCTGTTCTCTGACAAGCATGCTTTAGCCACAGAAAAAAAAGTCACTCATCCTCAAGTGTCTCTCCCTTGTCCCCAACAAGGGCCTTGTTCAGGCTGATGAGAGAAGCAGTGTTGCCTTTGAGGTACTCACTCTCTGCTGCCTCAGTGTCTAAGGCCCAGAACCCTAGGAGGTCATCTCCGATCAATCCCACTTTTCTCGGCTTATCTTCTAAAGGATCCCAAACTCTTAAAAAAATATATCATCTCCATGCAGGGGGCCTCTGAAGGCAATAAGACCTCCCAAACCACTGGCCCAGCCAGGGAGAAGACCCTGTTTCCACAAGGCAGCAAAGAGACCATCTTGGGGTCACCCAGGCATGAGTTTGAATTCCCGCTGAGACACTCACCCATTGTGTGTCTGCAACCATGTGAACTGATCTCTCTTTGTCAATCTACCTACCTATCATATTGGAATAATAACGCCAACCTCAGAGGGTGGTTAGAAAATATGTAACTGCTGTAGCACAGCTCCTGGAACATGGCATGTGGTCAATAAATCAACAGTAAAAGCAGTCACTGTAGCAATTGCACTAGGGTTAGTCATTCTTTTTTTTTTCTTCCATAGCTTCTAGACCCTACACTTCACTCTCTCTTAATTGGTATCCTAGCTGTCTGTGAACAAACTTTTTAGGGGGGGGGGTCTACAGTAGTCTCCCCTTATCTGCCAGAGATATGTTCCAAGACCCCTCCCTATGGATGCCTGAAACTGCAAATAGCACTGAACCTTATCCAATATGTTTTCTCCTGAACATACATGTCTATGCTAAAGTTTAATTTATAAATCAGGCACAGTAAGAGATTAACAACAATAACCAATAATAAAATAGAACAATTATAACAATGTACTATAATAAAAGTTATGTGAATGTGGTCTCTCTCAAAATATCTTACTGCAACTCATCCTTTTTCTTGTGATGATGTGAGGTGATAAAATGCCTATGTGATGAGATGAAGTGAGATGGATGATGGAGGCATTTTGACGTAAATGGAAAACTCCAGAAATAAACAACTCGTAAGTTTTACATTGTGCACCATGCTGAGTAATGTGATGAAATCTCACAGCCTCCTGCTCTGCTTCTCCCAGATTTCTCCCAGATTGCCGTTAGTCACTGAGTAGCCCTCTGGGTTATCAAATAACATTAATCTTACTTAATGCCCCAAAGTGTAAGAGTAGTGATAAAATATTTTTGGACCATGGTTGACTGCAGGTAATTGGGACTTTTGGATAAGAGAGAGTGTGTGTATGTGGCGGGGGAGGGGGTTAGTGTGTATCTTTGTTTTGCTCTATCTCTTCCTGAAACACAATCCCCCTCTTTTCATTTGCCTAAATTTTTTCCATCCTTCATGGCACAGCTTTTTATGGACCTTCCTTAGGGAAGAAATTGAATTGGAATGAAGGAGCCAAGGACCTGGACATTAGTCAGGCAGCAGATGAGGGACTAAAAACCAGGGCATGGAGGCCTGGGAGAACATGAGACCTGAGCACCTATGTACTCATCACCCACCCACTGGCCTACTCACCTCTCACCCAGCCACCTAGAAAATCACCCACTTGCCTGTCTACCTAACCGCCCAGCCACCTGCATCATACCCACGCACTGCCCACTCATCCAGCTGTACATACTTGGGGTAGGCTATCTGCTCAAGCAAGTGGAGTTGTAATATCATCTGTGCTCTGTTTGTTTTTCTCTCTTTTTTTGGTGCCTTCTTTTGGATCGATTTAGAATTTTTCATCTTCTTTGTCAGCTTAGGAGCAGTAACTCTATGCTATTTTAGTTGTCCTTTTGAGTGTAGAGGATACATATAAGATTTGTCATAGTCTGTTTTCAAAGTGATGTCATACCCCTTCATGAACAGGTTAAGACCATGAAATAATATATTTACATTTTTCTCCTCCAGGCCTTTGAGCTATTTTTGTCATACATTTTATTTCTTTATATGTTATAAACTCCACACTACATTGTTTTTATTTTTGCTTTCAAAACATCTTTTAAAAAGATTTTAAAAATAGTTTTTATATTTACCCACATGGTTATTATTTCTGATATTCTTCATTCCTTTAGATCTAAATTTCTAACTGGTATCATTTTTATTTTGCTTGTCAAAGGACTTCTTTTAGTATTTCTTTTTCTTTTTTTAAATTATATTTTAAGTTCTAGGGTACATGTGCACAACGTGCAGGTTTGTTACATGTGTATACATGCGCCATGTTCATGTACTGCACCCATTAACTCATCATTTACATTAGGTGTATCTCCTAATGCTATCCCTCCCTCCTCCCCCAACCCCATGACAGGCCCGGGTGTGTGGTGTTCCCCATCCTGTGTCCAAGTGTTCTCATTGTTCAATTCCCACCTATGAGTGAAAACATGCGGTGTTTGTTTTTTGTCCTTGTGATAGTTTGCTGAGAATGATGGTTTCTAGCTTCGTCCATATCCCTACAAAGGCCATGAACTCATCCTTTTTTATGGCTTCTATCATTGATGGGCATTTGGGTTGGTTCCAAGTCTTTGCTATTGTGAATAGTGCAGCAATAAACGTATGTGTGCATGTGTCTTTATAGCAGCATGATTTATTATCCTTTGGGTATATACCCAGTAATGGGATGGCTGGGTCAAATGGTATTTCTAGCTGTAGATCCTTGAGGAATCACCACACTGTCTTCCACAAAGGTTGAACTAGTTTACAGTCCCACCAACAGTGTAAAAGCGTTCCTATTTCTCCACATCCTCTCTAGCACCTGTTGTTTCCTGCCATTCTAACTGGTGTGAGATGGTATCTCATTGTGGTTTTGATTTGCATTTCTCTGATGACCAGTGATGATGAGCATTTTTTCATGTGTCTGTTGGCTGCGTAAATGTCTTCTTTTGAGAAGTGTCTGTTCATATCCTTCGCCCACTTTTTCATGGGGTTTTTTTCTTGTAAATTTGTTTGAGTTCTTTGTAGATTCTGGATATTAGCCCTTTGTCAGATGAGTAGATTACAAAAATTTTCTCCCATTTTGTAGGTTGCCTGTTCACTCTGATGGTAGCTTCTTTTGCTGTGCAGAAGCTCTTTAGTTTAATTAGATCCCATTTGTCAATTTTGGCTTTTGTTGCCATTGCTTTTGGTGTTTTAGACATGAAGTCCTTGCCCATGCCTATGTCCTGAATGGTATTGCCTAGGTTTTCTTCTAGCGTTTTTATGGTTTTAGGTCTGACATTTAAGTCTTTAATCCATCTTGAATTAATCTTTGTATAAGGTGTAAGGAAGGGATCCAGTTTCAGCTTTCTACATATGGCTAGCCAGTTTTCCCAGCACCATTTATTAAATAGGGAATCCTTTCCCCATTTCTTGTTTTTGCCAGGTTTGTCAAAGATCAGATGGCTGTAGATGTGTGGTATTATTTTTGAGGGCTCTGTTCTGTTCCATTGGTCTATATCTCTGTTTTGGTACCAGTACCATGCTGTTTTGGTTACTGTAGCCTTGTAGTATAGTTTGAAGTGAGGTAGTGTGATGCCTCCAGCTTTGTTCTTTTGGCTTAGGATTGTCTTGGCAATGCGGGCTCTTTTTTCATTCCATATGAACTTTAAAGTAGTTTTTTCCAATTCTGTGAAGAAAGTCATTGGTAGCTTGATTGGGATGGCATTGAGTCTATAAATTACCTTGGGCAGTATGGTCATTTTCACGATATTGATTTTTCCTATCCATGAGCATGGAATGTTCTTCCATTTGTTTGTATCCTCTTTTGTTTCGTTGAGCAGTGGTTTGTAGTTCTCCTTGAAGAGGTCCTTCACATCCCTTGTAAGTTGGATTCCTAGGTATTTTATTCACTTTGAAGCAATTGTGAATGGGAGTTCACTCATGATTTGGCTCTCTGTTTGTCTGTTATTGGTGCATAAGAATGCTTGTGATTTTTGCACATTGATTTTATATCCTGAGACTTTGCTGAAGTTGCTTATCAGCTTAAGGAGATTTTGGTCTGAGATGATGGGGTTTTCTAAATATCATCTGCAAACAGGGACAATTTGACTTCCTCTTTTCCTAATTGAATACCCTTTATTTCTTTCTCCTGCCTGATTGCCCTGGCCAGAACTTCCAACACTATGTTGAATAGGAGTGGTGAGAGAGGGCATGCCCGTCTTATGCCAGTTTTCAAAGAGAATGCTTCCAGGTTTTGCCCGTTTAGTATGATATTGGCTGTGGGTTTGTCATAAATAGCTCTTATTATTTTGAGATACGTCCCATCAATACCTAATTTATTGAGAGTTTTTAGTATGAAGGGCTGTTGAATTTTGTCAAAGGCCTTTTCTGCATCTATTGAGATAATCATGTGGTTTTTGTCTTTGGTTCTGTTTATATGCTGGCTTATGTTTATTGATTTGCATATGTTGAACCTGCCTTGCATCCCAAGGATGAAGCCCACTTGATCATGGTGGATTAGTTTTTTGATGTGCTGCTGAATTCGGTTTGCCAGTATTTTATTGAGAATTTTTGCATCAATGTTCATCAGGGATATTGGTCTAAAATTCTCTTTTTTTGTCATGTCTCTGTCAGGCTTTGGTATCAGGATGATGCTGGCCTCATAAACTGAGTTAGGGAGGATTCCCTCTTTTTCTATTGATTGGAATAGTTTCAGAAGGATTGGTACCAGCTCCTCCTTGTACCTCTGGTAGAATTCAGCTGTGAATCCGTCTGGTCCTGGACTTTTTTTGGTTGGTAGGCTATTGATTATTGCCACAATTTCAGATCCTGTTATTGGTCTATTCAGGGATTCAATTTCTTCCTGGTTTAGTCTTGGGAGGGTGTATGTGTCAAGGAATTTATCCATTTCTTCTAGATTTTCTAGTTTATTTGTGTAGAGGTGTTTATAGTATTCTCTGATGGTAGTTTGTATTTCTGTGGGATTGGTGGTGATATCCCCTTTATCATTTTTTATTGTGTCTATTTGATTCTTCTCTCTTTTCTTCTTTATTAGTCTTGCTAGTGGTCTATCAATTTTGTTGATCTTTTCAAAAAACCAGCTCCTGGATTCACTGATTTTTTGAAGGGTTTTTTGTGTGTCTATCTCCTTCAGTTCTGCTTTGATCTTAGTTATTTCTTCCCTTCTGCTAGTTTTTGAATGTGTTTGCTCTTGCTTCTCTAGTTCTTTTAATTGTGATGTTAGGGTGTCAATTTTAGATCTTTCCTGCTTTCTCTTGTGGGCATTTAGTGCTATAAATTTCCCTCTACACACTGCTTTAAATGTGTCCCAGAGATTTTGGTATGTTGTGCCTTTGTTCTCATTGGTTTCAAAGAACGTCTTTATTTCTGCCTTCATTTCCTTATGTACCCAGTAGTCATTCAGGAGCAGGTTGTTCAGTTTCCATGAGCAGGTTGTTCAGTTTCCATGTAGTTGAGCAGTTTTGAGTGAGTTTCTTAATCCTGAGTTCTAGTTTGATTGCACTGTGGTCTGAAAGACAGTTTGTTATAATTTCTGTTCTTTTACATTTGCTGAGGTGTGCTTTACTTCCAACTATGTGGTCAATTTTGGAATAAGTGTGATGTGGTGCTGAGAAGAATGTATATTCTGTTGATTTCGGGTGGAGAGTTCTGTAGATGTCTATTAGGTCTGCTTGGTGCAGAGCTGAGTTCAAGTCCTGGATATCCTTGTTAACTTTCTGTCTTGTGGATCTGTCTAATGCTGACAGTGGGGTGTTAAAATCTCCCATTATTATTGTGTGGGAGTCTAAGTCTCTTTGTAGGTCTCTAAGGACTTGCTTTATGAATCTGGGTGCTCCTGTATTGGGTGCATATATGTTTAGGATAGTTAGCTCTTCTTGTTGAATTGATCCCTTTACCATTATGTAATGGCCTTCTTGGTCTCTTTTGATCTTTGTTGGTTTAAAGTCTGTTTTATCAGAGACTAGGATTGCAACCCCTGCTTTTTTTTGTTTTCCATTTGCTTGGTAGATCTTCCTCCATCCCTTTATTTTGAGCCTATGTGTGTCTCTGCACATGAAATGGGTCTCCTGAATACAGCACACTGATGGGTCTTGACTCTTTATCCCATTTTCCAGTCTGTGTCTTTTAATTGGAGCATTTAGCCCATTTACATTTAAGGTTCATATTGTTATGTGTGAATTTGATCCTGTCATTACGACGTTAGCTGGTTATTTTGGTTGTCAGTTGATGCAGTTTCTTCCTAGTCTCAATGGTCTTTACAATTTGGCATGTTTTTACAGTGGTTGGTACCGGTTGTTCCTTTCCATGTTTAGTGCTTCCTTCAGGAGCTCTTGTAAGGCAGGCCTGGTGATGACAAAATCTCTCAGCATTTGCTTGTCTGTAAAGGATTTTATTTCTCCTTCACTTAGGAAGCTTAGTTTGGCTGGATATGAAATTCTGGGTTGAAAATTCTTTTCTTTAAGAATGTTGAATATTGGCCCCCACTCTCTTCTGGCTTGTAGAGTTTCTGCTGAGAGATCAGCTGTTAGTCTGATGGGCTTCCCTTTGTGGGTAATCTGACCTTTCTCTCTGGCTGCCCTTAACATTTTTTCCTTCATTTCAACGTTGGTGAATCTGACAATCATGTGTCTTGGAGTTGCTCTTCTTGAGGAGTATCTTTGTGGCATTCTGTGTATTTCCTGAATTTGTTTTTTGTATGTTTTTTTTTTTTTTTTTGAGACGGAGTCTCACTCTGTCGCCCAGGCTGGAGTGCAGTGACACAATCTTGGCTCACTGCAAGCTCCACCTCCGGGGTTCATGCCATTCTCCTGCCTCAGCCTCCCGAGTAACTGGGACTACAGGTGCCTGCCACCACGCCTGGCTAATTTTTTGTATTTTTAGTAGAGACAGAGTTTCACAGTGTTAGCCAGGATGGTCTCTATCTCCTGACCTCATGATCTGCCCGTCTCAGCCTCCCAAAGTGCTGGGATTACAGGCATGAGCCACTGCACCTGGCCTGTATTTCCTTAATTTGAATGTTGGCCTGCCTTGCTAGGTTGGGGAAGTTCTCCTGGATAATATCCTGCAGAGTGTTTTCCAACTTGCTTCCATTCTCCCCGTCACTTTCAGGTACACCAATCAGACGTAGATTTGGTCTTTTCACATAGTCCCATATTTCTTGGAGGTTTGTTTGTTTCTGTTTACTCTTTTTTCTCTATACTTCTCTTCTCACTTTATTTCATGAATTTGATCTTCAATCACTGATATCCTTTCTTCCACTTGATCGAATCGGCTACTGAAGCTTGTGCATTCATCACGTAGTTCTTGTGCCATGGTTTTCGGCTCCATCAGGTCATTTAAGGACTTCTCTACACTGGTTATTCTAGTTAGCCATTTGTCTAATCTTTTTTCAAGGTTTTTAGCTTCTTTGCGATGGGTTCGAACTTCCTCCTTTAGCTCAGAGAAGTTTGATCATCTGAAGCCTTCTTCTCTCACCTTGTCAAAGTCATTCTCCTTCCAGCTTTGTTCCATTGCTGGTGAGGAGCTGCGTTCCTTTGGAGGAGGAGAGGTGCTCTGATTTTCAGAATTTTCAGCTTTTCTGCTCTGTTTTTTCCCCATCTTTGTGGTTTTATCTATCTTTGGTCTTTGAGGATGGTGACGTACAGATGGGATTTTGGTGTGGATGTCTTTTCTGTTTGTTAGTTTTCCTTCTAACAGTCAGGACCCTCAGCTGCAGGTCTGTTGGAGTTTGCTAGAGGTCCACTCCAGACCCTGTTTGCCTAGGTATCAGTAGCGGAGGCTGCAGAATAGTGAATATTGCTGAACAGCAAATGTTGCTGCCTGATGGTTCCTCTGGAAGCTTTGTCTCAGAGGGGTACCTGGCCGTGTGAGGTGTCAGTCTGCTCCTACTGGGGGGTGCCTCCCAGTTAGGCTACTCAGGGGTCAGGGACACATATGAGGAGGCAGTCTGTCCGTTCTCAGATCTCAAACTCCGTACTGGGAGAACCACTACTCACCTCAAAGCTGTCAGACAGGGACATTTAAGTCTGCAAAGGTTTCTGCTGCCTTTTGTTTGGCTATGCCCTGCCCCCAGAGGTGGAGTCTACAGAGGCAGGCAGGCCTCCTTGAGCTGCGGGGGGCTCCACCCAGTTTGAGCTTCCCAGCCACTTTGTTACCTACTCAAGCCTCAGCAATGGTGGGTGCCCCTCCCCCAGCCTCGCTGCCACCTTGCAGTTAGATCTCAGATTGCTGTGCTAGCAATGAGTGAGGCTCTGTGGGCGTGGGACCCTCCGAGCCAGGCATGGGATATAATCTCCTGATGTGCCGTTTGCTAAGACCGTTGGAAAAGCGCAGTATTAGGGTCAGAGTGATCCAATTTTCCAAGTGCTGTCCATCACCACTTCCCTTGGCTAGGAAAGGGAATTCCCTGACCCCTTGCACTTCCCAGGTAAGGCAATGCCTTGCCCTGCTTTGGCTTACGCTTGGTGGGCTGTACCCACTGTCCTGCCCTCACTGTCTGACAAGCCCCAGTGAGATTAACCTGGTACCTCAGTTGGAAATGCAGAAATCATCCGTCTTCTGCGTCGCTTATGCTGGGAGCTGTAGACTGGAGCTATTCCTATTCGGCCATCTTGGAACACTTTTAGTATTTCTTGTAGCGCAGGTCTGTTGGTGATTCATTCTTTTTGGACTTTTATACCTAAAAAAAGTCTTAATCTCACCACTTTTGGAAGATATTTTTACTAAGTAAGAGTCTAGGGTGTCAATTCTTATCTCTCAGTGCTTTAAAAATGTTGTTAGACAATTTTTGGTTTACATTTATTCCAACAAGAAATCTACTGTCTTTTTTTCCCTCTGGCTACTTTTCAGATTTTCTCTTCATCTCTTGTTTTGTGCAATTCAATTAAGTATTTTGGTGCAGTTTTCTTCTTGTTTTTGGTGCATGGGGTTTGTTGTGTTTCTTGAATATCTGGGCTTATAGTTTTTGTCTAATTTAGAAAATTTTTTTTCTTAAAAATAATTTGTGTCTTCACCCCTTTTTCGTTTTCAAGAACTCCAGTTCTGTGTATATTAGGGTGCCTGAAGTTGTCCCACAGCTCACTCATTCTCTTTATTTTATTATTACTTTTTGGAGTATCTTCCTCTTTGTAGTTCACTGTGGATGATTTTTATTTTTCTGTCTTCAAATTTATTAGTTTTCTCTTCTGCCATATCTAATCTGCCCTTTATAACATCCAATGCACTTTTTTATCTTAGGCATTATAGTTTTCATATCTATAAGTTCAACTTCGATCTTCTTATATTTTCTGTATCTCTACTTAATACATTCAATTGTTCATCAATCTTCCTGAACATACATAGTTGGAATAACTGTGTTAAGGTCCCAGCCTACGAATTCTATCATCTATGTAATTTCTGGGTTAGTTTCTACTGATTAATTTTTCTCTTCATTATAGATCATATCTTTCTGCCTTTTTTTTTTTTTCAAAGAGACAGAGTCTTCTTGCTCTGTCACCCAAACTGGACAGTGGTGTCATCATGGCTCACTGCAGCCTTGACCTCCTGGGCTCAATCCTCCCACCTCAACCTCTTGAGTTGCTAGGACTACAGATGCACACACAACACCTGGCTAATTTTTAAATTTTTTGTAGATACAGATCTTGCTATGCTGCCCAGGCTGGTCTTGAACACCTGGCCTCAAGAGATCCTCCTGCCTCAGCCTCTCTGAGTGTTGGGATTATAGGTGTGAACCATCATGCCTGGCCTTACTTCTTTTCATATCTGGTAATCTTTGAGAGTATGCCACCCATTTAAATTTTACCTTATTGAGGACTAGATGTTTTTGTAATCCTATAAATATTCTTGTCCATTGTTATGGAGTATGATTAAGTTACTTAGAGCCCATTTAATTCTTTTAGGATTTGCTTTTGGGCTTTTGTTGTTATATAGGACCAGAATAGTATTTAGTCTGGAGCTAGTTTTTCCCCATTACTGAGGCAAAGTTTTCTACATATTCTACTGGATGCCCTGTGAATTATGAAATTTTCCACTCCAGATGGTGAGAAGAGGCATCATTTCTTTCCCAGTGTGAGCTATAGGAATTTTCCCTGATTTTTTTCAGATGATGCACTTCCCTGACTTGTGAAATTTCTTCATACACATGCACTTGTGTCAGTACTCAGTTGAATACTTCAGGGACCTTCCATAGATTTCTACAGTTTTCTCTCTGTGCAACTCCTCCTCTCTGATCTCCCCTGCAAACTCAAGCCGCCTTGGCCTCCCAGCTCCATCTTTTCAAAGTGGAGACTTCTAAGCTCTCCCTAGACTCCCCTCTAGGCATTAACCTGGGGCATGATAGGGCTCACTTCATTTATTTTCCATCTCTTAGGGATCACAGTTCTTTATTGTCTAATGTTCAATGTCTTAAGAACCATTGTTTTGTATCCATGTTCAGTTTACCAGTTGTTTTGGATAAAAGTAAGCCTGGCCAATTAATCCATCTTGTTCAGGATTAGAAGTCTCAGATGTTCACCTTTTAATATTGTAAGTTTGAAATTACTATTAGTCATCCAAGTGAAGATGAACATCCAAAGATTTTATGAGTCAAAGACTTTGTACAGAGTCAACATGTTCAGTCCATTATGAGTTGTCTGTTTCCTTGGAACTTCCTGCAAACGTCGTGGCTGCTGACAGATAAGAGAAGATCCCAGGATGTTCTGTGCTTGGAGGAATGTGGGGTCCAGGCTTGCTTCTCACTTTGCTACACTGCCACTCTGCTGATTGTTTTGTTTTGAACAATCAAGGCCATTTTTTTGTCCAGGCTTGTGGTAGCTTATAAAATATAATTCCTTCAAACACTTACTGCGTTGCTAATCTCTTTGCTTTCAGTTCCATGTATTAATCATAACCAAAGTTCTTTCCTGGTCATAGTTCTCAAATCTTGAAATTTGCTTTCTCACCCACTCCTCTGCATTTCTCTCAATGTAAAGCTGAAGGGAGAGAAAAAAGGGGATGCCAGAAGGGAGACATATCTTATGCCCATCTAAGATGAGCTTGGCATGACCTGATGGACAACTCCAGGAGAAGGGGAAAAGTTGCTTGGCATCATAATCTAGACTGCAAGTGTGTACTTGATCATCCCATAGCCAAATCCTACAGAAATGAATTCTTCCCTCTGGCTTCCAGTGTTCAGGGCATAGCAAAGAAGTCACTAGAGTAATTTTGCTAGCATTCAATCTGGTGATGCCAGACTCAGAGAAGAGTCCAAGCAAGTCCCTTGGTGCCATGATGAGTTCTATCTGGAAACCTTTTACTGCTTGGGTGGCATCACAAGACACAAAGAGCTTACAAGAACCACCTGAAGGAAGACTTCTTCAACGGAGGAGCCACTGTCCCAGGAAGGGCCAGGGCAGCCTATCTCTCCTCTGGCACTTGAAGCAACACTGCATGTGTCCCTGACCACACAGAATCCCCCAGCAACACCAAAAGAATGTGGATGGCTGACTTAGTCCATTTGTGCTGCTATACCAAAATACTCAAGACTGGGTAATTTACAATTGACAGACATTTACTTCTCACAGTTCTGGAGGCTGGGAAGTCCAAGAACAATGTGCCTGCAAAATCAGTGTCTTGGGAGGGCTGTTCTCTGCTTGCAAGGTGATGCCTTGTTGCTTCTGTGTCCTCCAGAGAGGACAAATGCTGGAGGAACACATGGCTGAAGGAACAGAAGGCAGAAAGGGCCAAGCTAGTTTCTGCCATCCCTTTCATAAGGTCACTAATCCCATTCATTGGGGCTCTGAGAGTCACAGGGGCTCTGCCTTCATGACTTAATCATCTCCTAAAGGCCCCACCTCTTAACACTACTTCATTGGCAATTATGTTTTAACATGTGAATTTTGTGGGACACATTCAGATCATAGCAGTGGCTATAGTGGGGGTATGACTGGCTTTAACATGTTGCATTGGGAGAAAGCTTTTGTAATACAGACAAGTGTTTGCACTTTGGGTACTGCTGAGAGAAAAAAGGAGACACCCACAGCTTTACTTCTATGATTTGGTGGGAGTCAGGACATCAGTGAAAAAAATCTCCAGAAGTTCCAGGAACTAGAATGATCTGTCATCCATCCCTTGCATGGCACCAAGCCCTGACTGAGGTCTCAAATATGAGTGAGGGCTAAGATATAAGTCCCCTGTGTAAAAGGGCTTTCTTTGACAAAATCCCACTGGGGCATGCTGGGACTGACTTCAGACTGAGACCCAGGGTGACTCTCCACTTGGTGAGTCGGTAGTCACTGGGAGGTTGCCCTATTCCTCTAGTTCCCAGGACCATGGCCCTTTCCCTGCAGTAACTGCCTCTCTGCCTCCACACTTCATCCCTGTGTCAGCCTCAGTTTCATTCTGGTGCAAGTATCAGTTGCTCCACCTTCCAAAGGGCTGCCTCAAGGCTGTGGTGCCCACTGAGAGCATATACCGTCCTGCACACACAGGTGAGACTGGCTGGCTCTATCTTAGCCTGCTGAGAAAAGGTTCCCATGGAGACCTCATGAGCTAAAAAGCCAAACAAAATAAAACAAAACAAAACAAGAAAACCCAGGGCAGTATGCAGCAAAACCCAAAGATCCTCCAAAGCATGCATCCTAAATGTTAATGTGCAGACAAATCTGACTACAAATCACAAAGATCTTGTTAAAATGCAGATTGGGATTCAAAAGGAACACCCAGGTGATGCTGACACTGCCAGATTGCATACCACAAAGGAACAATCCTAAGGAAAAGCAAAGCAGGCAGCTGGGAGCATAGCAGGGCCTCCCTCCAAAGTTACGGCTGGACAGGGCCCTTCTCTGAGCTTAGACAGATGCCACCAGGTGGGCAACAGCCCAGGCAAAGGGGCCACAGGTCCCATTTGGAGGGGTGTTCTTTAGGGGGCTGGGTCCTGTTGCTCATAGAACCCAGCTCTCTACTGATACCCACTCCTCAGCCTCTTCTAGTCTGAATTCACTTTCCTTAAAACGAATTCTGGTGGGGAAACTTTTCTGTCCCCATTTTTTCTACCCTCTGCCTCTCTTCCCTGATTATTAGCAACTCAAAAAGAGAGACAGATTTACCGATCTGATTGACCATAACTCAGACTACTCATTAACCTTCAAGGTCAACTTTGGCTGTGCTGTTTCCTCCATGCCCCTGGCATGAAGGAAACTGGACACTTCTCTTTTCAGTGCGAGTCTGGCCATGACTATCTTTCTGTTTCATTTCCTCTGCACTTGTAGTGGGGCTGGGGAGTTATCTGGGCCTGTTCTGCATGCCCAGATATCTTACATTCACTTGGACCTTGAGGCTGAATCTTCCTTCTCCAACCTTCTTTTCTTAAAAGGCCTTGCACTAGGGTGTACCAGGTATTTTTCCAGTGGTTTTTCGGGGCTTTTTTTGTTGTAAGTGACAAAATAAAACAAACAATCAAACAAACAAAACCTGACTCACCTGGTATAAATAATCCAAGGAACTGTATTGGATAACAAATCAAAATGTCTAGAGGTAGGACTGGCCCTGGAATTAGGGAAGGACACCAGGACTGAGGGACAGAACACAGAACAGGGAATGGAGAGCTGCTGATGGACAGGAGAGCATACTGGAAATTTTTAGGAACATGCCCAGTGATGGAGACTGCCAGGCTACATAATGTGTGGAAGGTGAACTAGCCAAGGGTAAGGGGACAGACACCCAGGGCACCAGCTCCATGGCCTCAGCTACTCTGCCTTGCCTCCCCCAACTGCCCATGGGCACCTGGATCCAGCTCTGCTCCACTCCATATGTGCTGTTCCCTCAACCTAAAAGCCCTTCCTGTCCCATCCTCCTTTTCTCTGGCAACACTGTCTCACCTTTAAGGCCTCCCTCATGTTCTTCCCTGATCCCCCAGGGAGCACTTGGGGCTCAGTCAGCTGCCCACAACCATTCACACCTCCAGTATCATCTGCCCTGCAGGTCGAGGCTGTATCACACTGTGGATCATCAACAGTAAGCCTCCTTCACCACAGCTGGCTCTTCCAGTCAGTCAGCATGTTTAATTGACTCCTGAACCCCAAGGCTTGGTACACAAACAGGCACATGTCCATGCAGTAATGAGTGGACAAGGCAAGGATCCAATCATAACTCTAATTCCCTAATCAATAAAATGGACGCATTGATATTTTGCATGTCTATTTCTCAGGGTTCTTTCAATAAACAAAAGAGGTTGTATCTATGAAGGTACAGTGTAGATGGAAGGCATTTTTTGTAATGATTAGAATATAGGTGAGAGAGTTTAATAAAACTACCCCACATTGGTTTCTGGTCCAAGGCCCCAGTCTCATTTCTCCCCAGTCTCTACCTCTTCCTTTCCAGACTGACTCTGATTATCTAATGTGCAAATGTTCCAAAGATCAGAAGTGAAGGTGTTGGTTCTGTGGCACACAAGATCTTAAGCTATAAAAGGAAGTGGAGATAAAAAAGAAAGTACAAACTGTATTGTTTTGATCCTAATTATACAGACAATCGAATCCAAGCAGTAAGAGTATGATTAAACCCATAGTGTCACAGGGTCATCAGCTATCAAGAACTATCAGGATGGGAGATGGCATTTGTTGTGATGATTCTTTGCTGCCATGTTAGGAAAATTCTTGAAAGCTTTGCTGAGCCAAATCTCTATCCATCATCTCTCCTCCTTACCCTCGACTCCAAGGCTCACAAGGCAGCAGACATTGTTCTGGCCAGCAAATCTGGCTTAACTAAATGTGGCAGAGTCAAGTTAAGGGGTGTGTGTGTGTGTGTGTGTGTGTGTGTGTGTGTGTGTAACAGACACAGACATAAAGACAGAAACAGAGATTAAGGGGTGGAGATAAGAAATGGAAATAGATTCCCAAGATAGCTAGGTAGCAAGAAACATTTGAAGAGATAGCATGTATTTGGGAAAGACAACACACACACACACACACACACACACACACACACACACACACACACAGATGGAGAGAGAGAGAGAAAGAGAGCGCTTTACTATGTTGATATCCACAAGTCAAAGACCACCAGGAGCACAGGTTTCGTTGAACAAAATTATTGGTCTTTGTTGCAACAAGGGAGACCACATACCATGGGGAACTTTGGGGTGTTGCCCTTGTTGCAATAAGTACCAATAAACCAAACTTTGTTTGACGACAAGCCTATTTCTGTTGGTCTTTGGCTGGTAGGCATCAACAACTGTAATGAGATATTAATAATCATGATAAATGTAACTGGGATAAATTCACCTATTTTAAAAAGGCTATTGGGTTACATTTTTAAAATTAAAATTACATAGTTTTGAAAACATAGCCTGCTAAAACAATCAAGGATAGGTAAAGATATAACATGCAAACGCTAAGAGGAAGGCAAGTATAGCATTATTAGTATCAGTCAAAACAGTAAAAATCACAAACTGGGGCAGAGGAGGATATTTGATAAGAGGTATAATAAGAGGTACTTGATAAGAAGTACAATAAAAGGATTATACCCCTTATTAATAAGAAAACATGGCAGTCATAAACCTTTATGCACCAAACATGTTTTGCAATACGTGAAATAAAAACTGGCAGGTATAAAAGGCCAAATTTACATATCTATTATCATAGTGATAATAGATATGTCCCAAAAATCTGAGTCCCAAAAATATTCCTCAGTTTCTCTTAGAAACTGGTCAATCATGTGGTTGAAAATTATAAATAATAATATAGAGAATTTAAAAAGCAAAATTAAGAAGCTTAGTACAAAAGATAAAGTTAGAACTTTGTACTCAAAAAACAGAATACACATAGAACTTCCACAAAAGCTTACCAGGTAATAGGCCACAAAGGAAATCTCCAAAAGTTCTCAGAATAAGAAACACATATGCCATATTTGCTAACCATAATTCAGTATAATTAGAAAATAGTAATCACACAGACAAACACACACACACGCCTACTTGAAAATAATTCAATTTTCTTTTCTTTTCTTTTTTATTTTTATTTTTTAAGACTGTCTCGTTCTGTCACCCAGGCTGGAGTGCAGTGGCACAATCTCGGCTCACTGCAACCTCTGCCTCCCAGGTTCAAGGGATTCTCCTGCCTCAGCCTCCCAAGTAGCTGGGACTACAGGCACGTGGCACCACACCTGGATAATGTTTTGTATTTTTAGTAGAGACAGGGTTTCACCATGTTAGCCAGGATAGTCTCGATTTCCTGACCTCGTGATCTGCCTGCCTCCGCCTCCCAAAGTGCTGGGATGACAGGCATGAGACACCGCGCCCAGCCAAGAATTCAATTTCCTAAATTATTTGAGGTTTATAAGAACATTCAATCAAAGTCATACCTTAAACTATTTAGAAATGAGGAAAGTGACATCAGCAAGATGATAGGCTAGGAAGCTACAGACCCTCTTTCCCACACAGATATACTGAGTTATCAACAATATATGAAACAGAATACCTCTGTGAGAACTCCAGAGACCAACTGAAAAGCTACAGCACCCACGCCATTGTAAAACCAAAAAGGGATTCCAGTGAAAGCTGTAGGAAATTTGCAGTGTTTGGTGGGCTATTCATGCCCTTCCCCCTGCATAGCACAGAGCAAGCAGGAGGAATCCCCCTCAACTGTCACCATACAAGAGCTCCTCCCTTAGAATAAAAACAAAAGATCAGGGCTGGGTATGGTGGCTCAAGCCTGTAATCCCAGCACTTTGGGAGGCTGAGGCGGGCAGATCATTTGAGGTCAGGAGTTTGAGACCAGCCTGACCAACATGGTGAAACCCCATCTCTACTAAAAATACAAAAAAATTAGCCAGGTGTGGTGGCATACTCCTGTAGTCTCAGCTACTTGGGAGGCTGAGGCAGGAGAATCGCTTGAACAGAAGAGGCGGAGGCTGCAGTGAGCCGAGATCAAGCCACTGCACTCCAGCCTGGGTGACAGAGCGAGACTCCATCTGAAAAAAAAAAAAAAATAGATCAGAACATATGTCCAATATTATAGCTTTTCTGGGCCTGCCCAAGGGACTGGTTTCTGTCTCACCTGACTCAGAGTGCTGACAAACTGGAGCAAGATTTTGGAAACCACTGTAAACAGAGGCAAGCATCACATTAGAGCTATAGCTCTACAGGTAGATACCAGGAATAGCAAGAGATCAGAAATTATTTGAGAGGTCCAGCTGGGCTGAATGATGAAGACCTTCCTCTGCCTAATGCTGATACAAAGCCTGGAAGAGGTGTTTGTTTTTTTTAAATGCCCAAATCTCAGCAAAAAATTACAAGACACACAAAGAAACAGGGAAACATGGCCCAATCAAAGTAACAAAATAAACCTCCCCCAAAAAGCCTAAAGGAAAGCACATCTATGAGTTGCCTGACAAAGAATTTATAATGACTGTCATATACAGAACATTTACCCAACAAAAACAGAATATACATTATTCTCAAGTGTACATAGAACATTCTCCAACATAGATCACGTAATAGGCCACAAAACAAATCTTAACAAATTCAAGAAGGTTGAAATCACACAAGATATCTTTTTAAACACAACGGAATGAAACTAGAAGTCAATAGAACAAGGAAAACAGTAAGTCCACAAATGTGAAAATTCACACACTCTTAAACAACCAATGTGTCAAAGACAAGGTCAAAAGAGAAATTAGAAACTATTAAAAATAAGAACACAACATACCAACACTTATGGAATGCAGTGAAAGTGCTATGAGGGAATTTCATAGCTGTAAACATGTATATTAAAAAGAAGAAAGATCTCAATTCAGAAAGCCTAATTATATACCTTAAGAAACTAAAATGAAGAACACACTAAACCCAAAGCCAGCAAAGGAAGAAAATGAGTTGGTTTTTTGAAAGATCAACAAAATTGACAAAACTTAACTAGATTAAGAAAAAGAGAGAAGACTCAAATCACTAAAATCAGAAGTTAAAGGGAGACATTACAACCATTGCCACAGAAATAAAAAAAAAATTATTGGGAATATTATGAACAATTATACACTAAGAAATTGGATAACCTAGAAGAAATGGATAAATTCCTAGAAACACACAAACCACCAAGACAGAATCATAAAGAAACAAAATTTAATCAGACCAATAAAGAATAAAGAGATTAAATGAGTAAATCAAAAAACTCCCAAAACTTCCCAATACCAGATGGCTTCAGTGAAGAATTCTAGCAAACATTTAAAGAATTGGCATCAATCCTCTGGAAACTCTTTCAATGAATTGAAGAGGGAGGAACTCTTACAAGCTCATTCTATAAAGCCAGCAGTAACCTGATACCAAAGTCAGACAAAGACACTATGAGAAAACTACGGATCACTATCCCCGATGAATATTGTTGCAAAAATCCTTGGCAAATACTATCAAACTGAACACAACAGCACATTAAAATGATCATATGCCATGATTAAGTGGGATTTATCACTGAGATGGAAGGATGGTTTAACACATACCAATCAATAAATGTGATGCACCATATTAGCAGAATGAAGGATAAAATCATATGATCATCTCAATAGTTGCAGAAAAAGCATTTGAAAATATTTAATATCCTTTCATGATTCAAATAATTCACCAAACTAGGAATAAAAGGAAAATACCTCAACATAATAAAGGGCATTTATGAAAAACTCACAGTAAACATCATACCCAATGGCAAAAGACTAGAAGTTTTTCCTCTAACATCAGGAAAAAGACAAAGGTGCCCACTCTCACGACTTCTATTTGACATAGTATGAGAAGTCATCTCCAGAACAATTAGATAAGAAAAAGAAAAATGGCATCCAAATTGGAAAGGAAGAAGTTAAACTGTCTGTTTGCAGATGATATGATATTATATGCAAAAAACCTGAAAGATTCCACTAAAAAAATCTATTAGAACTAGTAAGCTAATTCAGCAAAGTTCCAGGATACAAAATCAACATACAAAAATCAGTTGTGTTTCTATACACTAATAATGAACAATCCAAAAGGAAATTAAGCAAACCATTCCATTTACAATGGCATCAAAAAGAATAAAATACTTAGAAATAAGCCTAAGCAAGGAGGTGAAAGACTTATACACTAAAAATTACAAAACATTGCTGAAAGAAATTAAAGAAAACACAAATAAATGAAAAACATCTTACGTTTTTGGGTAGGAAAACTTAATTTTTAAAAAATGTCCACACTACCCAAAGCGATCTACAGACTCAAAACAAATCTTATCAAAGTCCCAATAGTTTTGTTTTTACAGATATATAAAACATTATCCTAAAATTCATACAGAATCTCAAGGAACCCTGAATAGCCAAAAGAATTTTGAAAAAGGAAAAAAAAAAAGTTGGAGCACTCACACTTCCTGATTTCAAACTATGACAAAGCAAAATAATAACAAAAAGTGTACTGCCATACTGATATAAAGACAAATAGACCAATGAATAGAATAGTCTGTCATAAAGACAAATAGACTAATGGTACTGCCATAAAGACAAAATAGACTAATAAACAGAATAGAGATCCCAGAAATAAACCCGTGCACATAAAGTTAAATGATCTTCAACAAGTGTGCTAAGGCCACACTCAATGGAAAAAGAAGTCTCTTCAATGAATAATTCTGGGAAAATTGGATATCTGCATGCAAAGGAATAAAGTTGGGCTCTTATACCATATAGTATTCCCCCCTTATTTAAGGTTTTGCTTTCTGTGGTTTTAGTTACCTATAATCAACAGTGGTTTAAAAATATTAAATGGAAAACTCCAGATATGGACAATTTATAAGTTTTAAATTGCACATTTTTCTGAGTAGCATGATGAAATCTTATGCTGTCCCACTCTATCCCACCTGGGACATAAATTATCTCTTTGTCCAGTGTATCTACACTATATGTGCTACCCATTCATTAGTCACTTAGTAGCCATCTCAGTTATCAGATTGCCTCTTGCAATATCACAGTGTGTGTATTTGAGTACCCTGTATGTTACTTAATAATGGTCCCAAAGTGCAAGATTAGAGATACTGGCAATTTGGATATGCCAAAGAGAAGCTGTAAAATACTTCATTTAAGTGAACAGGTAAAAGTTTTCAACAACAAAACAACAATAGTAAGTCCTCACATATAAAATTATTTTAAATGTAAGTGGATCAAATTATCCAATCAAAAGACAGAGTGGCCAAATGGATTTTTTAAAAAATTCCAACCATATGCTGCCTAAGGAGACTCACTTTAGCCTTAAGGTATACACACAGACTGAAAGCAAAGGAACAGAGAAACTGAAACGCTTTACGCTGTTGGTGGAAATGTAAAATGGTAGAGCCATTATGAAAAACAGTATGGAGGTGCCTCAAAAAAATTAAAATTAGAACTACCATATGATCCAGTAACCCCACTTCTGGGCATATATCCAAAGGAAATGAAATCAGGATCTCAAAGAGATTATATGCACCCCCACCCCCACCCCCATTCACTGCAGCATTATTTACAATTGCCAACATATGGAAATAATCTAATTGTCCACTGACAGGTGAACAGATCTTAAAATTGTGGTACGAATATACAATGAAATATTTTTCAGCCATAAAAAAGAAATCCAGTAATTTGCAACATGAATGAAATTGAAGGACATTATATGTTAGGTGAAATAAGCCAGATACAGAAAGACAAATATTGTATGATCTTAATATGTTGTCTTGTAACATATAAGTGGTGATGCTATAAAAGAATACCTGAGACTGGGTAAATTATGAAGTGAAGAGGTTTATTTGGGTCTAGTTGTAAAGTCCAAGATTGGGTAGCCTATCTGGTGAGGGTCTCATGCTGCTTCAAATCATGGTAGAAAATAGAAGAGGAAGTGGGTATGTACAAAGAGACCAAATGTGAGAAGGAACAACCCATTCTTGAGGTGACTAACCCAGTCCCACAAAGACAAGAACTCACTGTCAAGAGACTGCATTAATCTATTAATGAGAGATCTGTTTTCATGATCTAACAACACCCTGTAGGGTCCAACTTCCCAATGCTGCCACATTGAAAATCAAATTTCAACATGAGTTTTGGTGGGGGACAAAACACATCAAAATCACAGCATATGTGATCTATAAAAAAGTTGAACTCATGGGAACAGAGGGTAGAACAGTCGTTGCCAGGGGATAGGGGTCAGGGGAAATGGGGAAATGTTGGTCAAAGGGTTTAACTTTTCAGCTATAAGATTTATAGGTTCTGGGGGTCTAATGTACAGCATGTATAGTGATAGATTTGTTAATTTGATTGTGGTAATTATTATATAATATATACATATATCAAATCATACATTATATACCTTGAATATATTCAACATTTATTTGACAAATAAATATTTTAAATTAAAAAGAAATGTAAATCAAAACAATGAAATATTACCTCACACCCATTAGGATGGCAACTATGAAAAACACAGGAAATAAGTTTTGGTTAGGATACAGAGAAATTGAAACCTTTGTGCACTGTTGGCGGGATTGTAAACTGGTCTAAACACTATGGAAAGAGTGTGACCGTTCCTCAAAAAATTAAAAATAGAATTACCATATGATCCAAGAATCCTACTTCTGGGTACAGGTCAAAATAATTGATTGGGAGGCCGAGGCAGGCAGATCACCTGAGGTCAGGAGTTCGAGACCAGCCTGGCCAACATGGTGAAACCCCATCTCTGCTAAAATTACAAAAATTCACCCAGTGTGGTGGCATGTGCCTGTAATCCCAGTTACCCAGGAGGCTGAGGCAGGAGAATCACTGGAACCCAGGAGGCAGAGGCTGCAGTGAGCTGAGATTGCACTACTGTACTCCAGCCTGGGCGACAGAGCCAGATGCTGTCTAAAAAAAAAAAAAAAAAAAAAAAAAAGAAAGCATAATTTAAAGGGATATTTGCACACTCAGGTTCATAGCAGCACTATTCGCAATAGTCAAGAAGTGGAAACAGCCCAGTGGATGAATAGATAAACAAATGTAGTAATATACACAATATTTTTCAGCCTTAAAAGAGAAGAAAATTCTGTCATATGCTAAAAACACAAATGAAACTTGAGGAAATTGTACGAAGTAGAATAAACCAGTCACAAAAGCACAAATTCTGTATGATTCCATTTATATGAGGTATCTAAAGTAGTCAAATTTAAAGAAAAAGAATGTAGGATGGTGATTACCTGGAGCTGTGGGGAGAGGAAAAAGGGGAATTGTTTAATGAGTATAGAGTTTCAAATTTGCAAGATAAAAAAAGTTCCGGAGATCTGTTTCAAAACAATGTCAATATACTTAACACTACTAACTGTACATTTGAAAATGGTTAAGATGATACACTTTATGTACATGTTTTTTGCTTCAATTGAAAAAAACTATTTACAAATGAATAAAAATGAGAGCACTCACAAGATTATAAAACCTATGATTTGCAGCCAAAATATATTGAAAGGAAAATTTGTAGTCTTAAATGCACTGATTAGAAAGAAAGTTTGAAAATCAATGAACTAGGCTCTAAACTCAATAAAAAAGCTAAAAAAGAAATAATAACATAAACCCAATATAATAGAAGAAACATACTAAAGTGAATAAAAGCAGAAACAAATTAAAAAGAAAAAATTTAAAAACAGAAATGCTCAATAAAACTAAAAACTGGTTGTTTTAAAAAGACCAATAATAAAAGACAAATCTTTAGCTACTACGACCAAAGGAAAAAAATGAGAAAACAATTTTAAAAACAGTATCAAGAACAAGATATGAAACATAATTTGTAAAGATAAAAATATTAAAAAATTATTAAAGTATTCTAAGTATGATCATATATCAAAATCAATGAGTAAACCTTTTTGGAAAACATTTTGAGTAATAATTACACAAGTGTATATATACTTATTAAAACTCATCAAAATAAACCCCTAAAATCTTTAAATTATACTTTAATTTAAAAAACATAAATAATAAAAATTTATTATCCTTCAGCTCTTTCCCTCTACAAAAAGCACTAGGCTCACTACACAGAGAAAAATCTACCAAACTCAAAACAACAGATGACAATAACTATGAGCTTACAAAGTTATTTAAAATGTTTCAAATTTCTCAATACAGCTTGAATATCCCTTATCCAGAATGCTTGGAACCAGAAGCATTTTGGATTTGGGATTTTGGAATATTTGCATTATACTGCTTAAGCATTCCAAATCCCCAAATCCAAAATCTTTCAGCTCCAATGAGCATTTCCTTTGTGGGTCCTGATAGTACTCAAAAAGTTTCAGATTTTGGATTTGGGGTTTTTAGATTTGGGATGCTCTACCTATATAACCCTGAAACCAAAAATAGCAAGTGTAGTTCAATAGAACGTGAGCATAGAGTAAGTGCACTTATGAACTTAGATTAAATGTTTTAATTGTTAAGAAATAAAATCTGGGATTATATAAAAATAAAAAATAAATTATGACCAAGCAGAGTTACTCCAGAAATATATAAGTGGTTCAAAATTAAATAATTTAAAAATCAACTTACTCTATTAAGAGATAGAAGAATAAAGAGGAAGTGCTCTTCTCAATAGATGCTGTAAACTCGTTTTATTTATTTTTTTACATTTACTTTTTATTGGTGGGTTTCTTTTTTTAAAAAAGTTGTTTATTTTAAAAATAAACACTTTGGGAGGCCGAGGCAGGAAGATCACGAGGTCAGGAGTTCAAGACCAGCCTGGCCAACATGGCAAAACCCCATCTCTATTAAAAATACAAAAATTAGCCGGGCATGGTGGTGGGTGCCTGTAATCCCAGCTACTTGGGAGGCTGAGGCAGGAGAATTGCTTGAACCCAGGAGGCGGAGGTTGCAGTGAGTCAAGATTGCACCACTGCACTCCAGCCTGGGTGACAGAGCAACATTCTGTCTCAAAAAAAAAAAAAAAAAAAAAAAAAAACCCACAAAACTTGTTTATTTAAAAAAATTTTAAGTTCATTTTTATTTCAATTTTTATATATGTAGGAGATATGAGTGCAGATTTTTACATACATATATTGCATAACGGTGATGTCTGGGTTTTTAGTGTACCACATCACCTGAATAGTGAACACTGTATCCAACAGGTAGTTTTTCAACCCTCATCCCCCTCCAAACCTCCTACATTTTGGAGTCTCCAGTGTCTATTATTCCACTCTGCATATCCGTGTGAACCTACTATTTAGCTCTCATTTAAAAGTGAAAACGTGAGGTATTTGACTTTCTGTTTCTGAGTTATTTCAGTTGTGATAATCGCCTCCAGTTGTATCCATGTTGCTGCAAAAGACATGATTTCATTCTTTTTTATGGCGGAATAGTATTCCATAATACATAATACCACATTTTCTTTAATCCTCCATTGATAGACACTTAGGTTGATATCTTTGCTGCAATAAACATGAGAGCAGATATCTTTTTGATACTATGATTTCTTTCCCTTTGGGTATATATTCAGTAGTGAGATTGCTGGATTGAATGGTAGTTCTATTTTTGGTTCTTTAAAATGTCTCCATACTGTTTTCCACAAAGCTTGTACTAATTTATATTCCCACCAGCAACGTATAAGCATTCCTTTTTCTCAGCATCCTCACCAACATCTGTTATATTTTGACTTTTTAATAATCACCATTCTGACTGGTGTAAGACAGTATCTCATTATGGTTTTAATTTGCATTTCTCTGGTGATTATTGATGTTGAGCATTTTTAAATGTTTGTTGGCCACTTGTATGTCTTCTTTTGAACAATGTATGTTCATGTCCTGTGATTACTTTTTAATGGGATGATTTGGTTTTTTTCTTCTTGAGCTGTTTGAATTCATTTTAGATTCTGGATATTAGCCCTTTGTCAGATGCATAGTTGACAAAATTTGTTTCCATTCTGCAGGTTGTCTGTTTACTCTGTAGATTGTTTCTCTTGCTATCCAGAAGCATTTTAGTTTAATTAAGTCCCATTTGTCTATTTTTGTTGTGTTGTGTTTGCTTTTGAGGACTTGGTCATAAATTCTTTGCCTAGGCCAATGTCCGTAAGTTTTCTCTAGGTTTTCTGCTAGGATTTTTATACTTTCAGGTCTTACATTTAGGTCTTTAATCCATCTTGAGTTAATTTTTGTATATGATGAGAGGTATTGGTCCAGTTTCACTCTTCTGCATATGGTTATCCAATTTTCCCAGCAGCATTTATTACTTAGGGTGTCCTTTCTCTAGTGTACATTTTTGTTGACTTTGTTGAAGATCAATTGGTTGTAGGTGTGTGGCTTTATTTCTGGGTTCTCTATTCTGTTCCATTAATTTGTGTGTCTATTTTTATATGAGTACCATGCTGTCTTGGTTACTACAGCCTTGTAGTATAATTTGAAGTCAGGTAATGTGATGCCTCCAGCTTTGTTCTTTTTGCTTAGGATTCCATTGGCTATTTGGGCTCTTTTTTGGTTCCATATGAGTTTTAGAATTGTTTTTTCTAATTCTGTGAAAAATGATGTTGGTAATTTGATAGGATTGTTTTGAATTTGCAGATTGCTCTGGACAGTATGGTCATTTTCATTATATTGATTCTTCCAATCCATGAGCATTGGATGTTTTTCCATTTGTTTATGTCATCTATGATTTCTTTCATCAGTGTTTTTTAGTTCTCCTTATAAAGATCTTTCACCTCCTTGGTTAAATATATTCCTAGGTATTTTATCATTTTTTTGTAGCTACTGTAGGCGGGATTGCCTTCTTGATTTGGTCCTCAGATAGATTATTATTGGTATATAGAAATACTACTGATTTCTTTATACTACTTTTGTATCATGAAACTTCACTAAATTCATTTGTGAAATTTAAGAGGTTTTTTTTGGTGAAGACTTTAGGCTTTTCTAGATATAAGATCATCAGTGAACAGGGATAATTTTACTTTCTCTTTTCCAATTTCGATGGCTTTTATTTCCTCTTGCCTGATTTCTCTGGCAAGTACTTCCAGTACTATGTTGAATAAGAGTGGTAAAAGTGAGCTTCTTTGTCTCGTTCCAGTTCTTAGAGGAAATGCTTTCAACTTTTCCCATTAAGTATAATGTTGGCTGTGTGTTTGTCATATATTGCCTGTATTATAATGAGGTATATTCCTTCTATGCCTAGTTTGTCAAGGATTTTTATCATGAAAAGATGCTGAATTTTATCAAAAGCTTTTTCTGCATCTACTGAGATGATCATGTAGTTTTTGTCCTTAATTCTGTTTGTGTGATGTATCATATTTATTTATTTGTGTATGTTGAACCATCCTTGCATTCCTGGGATAAATCCCACCTGATAGTATTTTGTTGAGGATATTTGCATTGATGTTCATCAGGGTTACTGGTCTGTAGTTTTCTATTTGTGTTGTGTTCTTGTCTGGTTTTGGTATCAGAGTGATACTGGCTTCATAGAATGAGTTAGGGAGAAACCTATCCTCCCTGATTTATTAGTATAGATTCAGGAAGATTGGTATTAGCTCTTTGTATATTTGGTAGAATTCAGTTGTGAATCCATCTGGTCCCAGGCTTTTTTTGTGTGAGGAAATTTTTCTGTTACTGATTCAATCTTTCTACTCATTATTGGTCTCTTCAGGAGTTCTATTTCTTCCTGGTTCAATCTCAGGATGTTGTACATTTCCAGGAATTTATCCATTTTCTCTAGATTATCTAGTTTGTGAGTGTATCATTGTTCATAATCGTCTCTGGTGATATTTTGTATTTCTGTGATATCAGTTGGAATGTCTCCTTTTCCAATTCTGATTGTGTTTGTTTGGATCTTCTCTCTTCTTTTCTTGGTTAGTCTAGGTAGTGGTTTATCAATTTGTTTACCTTTTTGAAGAACCAACTTTTCATTTTGTCGATCCCTTGTATTGTTTTTTGGTCTCTACTTCGTTTAGTTCTGCTCTGATCTTTGTTATTTCTTTTCCTCTGCTATCTTTGGGTTTGTACTTGTTCCTCTAGTTCCTTGAGGTGCAATGTTTGGTTGTTAATTCATGCTCTTTCTACTTATTTGATATAGGCATTTAATGTCATAAAATTCCCTCTTAGCACTGCTTTTGCTTTGTCCCAGAGGTTTTGGTATATTGTGTTTCCATTTTCATTCGTTTCAATTTTTTAAATTTCCATCATAATTTCTTCATTGACTCAGAGACAGTTCAGGAGCATGCTGTCTAAGTTTCATGTATTTGTATAGTTTCTGAAGTTCCTCTTGGTATTGATTTCTACCTTTATCCCCCTGTGGTCTGAGGAGATACTTGATATAATTATGATTTAAAAAATTTCTTAAGACTTGTTTTGTGGCCTAACATGTGGTCTATCTTGCAGAATGTTACATGGGCTGATGAAAAGAATGTATATTCTGTACTTGTTGGGTAGAATGTTCTGTAAATGACTGTTAAGTCTATTTGGTCTCAAGTCTAATTTAAGTCCAATGTTTCTTCGTTAACTCTCTGTCTTGATGATCTGTTTATTGTTGTGAGTGGGATGTTGAAGTCCCCTACCATTATTTGATTGCTGTTTATCTCTTTCTTTAGGTCTAGTAACACTTGTTTTGTGAATTTGGGTGCTCTGATGTTGGAGATATATATATCCAACACATACACATATATATGATTGTTATATCCTCTTGCTGAATTGATACCTTTATCATTATATAATGATTTTGTCTTTTATTGCCATATTTAATTTAAAGTCTGTTTTATCTGTAAGTATAGCTACTCCTGCTTGCTTTTGGTTTCCATTTGTGTGGAATATCTTTTTCTACCCCTTTACTTTGTCTATATATGTCTTTATGGGTAGGGTGAGTTTCTGGTAGGCAGTATATAGTTGCATTATTATTTTTTAAAAATACATTCTGCCCATTTCTATCTTTTAAGTAAGCATTTAATCTATTTACAATCAAGGTTAATCTTGATATGTGAGGCTTTATTCTTGTCATATCATGAATTGTTTTCAAGTTGTTTTATAAATGCTTGTTTCATTTTTTTTCTCTTTTTGCCTTTGTGGTTTAATGAAATTTGGTCATGTTGCCATTAAATTCCTTTCTCTTCCTCCTTATTGTAGTTGTTTTATAAGAATTGTGAGTTTTATATTATGTGTTTTCATAATGGTGAACATTGACCTTTAATTTCCATGTTTTAGACCCCTTTAAGCATTTCCTGTAGGGCCTCTCTAGTGGTGACAAATTCCCTCAGCATTTGCTTGTCTGGGAAAGACTTTTTTTCTCCTTCATTTACGAAGCTTATTCTGGCAGGGTATAAAGTTCTTTGCTGATTTTTTTTTTCTTTCAGCACTTTGAAAATGCCATCCCATTCTCTTCTGGCCTGTGAGGTTACTGCTGAAAAGTCCACTGTGAGTCTGATGAGGTTGTCTTTATAGGTGACTAGGTGCTCTTCTTTTTGTAATTTAAAACTCTTTCTTTCACTTTAACTCTAGACTGAGTTAGGGAGAATGTTATATATTCTGAATATAATATTGCATGGTGAAGTCCTTTTTGCAATGTATTTGCCTGGGGATTCCTAGGCCTTGTGTATCTGGATGTCTGTCTTGTTAGACTTTGGAAGTTTTCATCAATTACTTCCTTAAATAGATTTCCTAAACTTTTTTATCTCTCTTCCCCATTTGGAATACCAATAATTCATTAGTTTGGTCACTGCATGCAGTCCTAGACATCTCAAAGGCTTTGTTCATTCTTTTTTATTATTTTCTTCCTTATTTTTCTCCGACTAGATTATTTCAAAATATTTGTCTTCAAGTTGTGACATTCTTTCTTCTGGTCTAGTTTATTACTAAGGTTTTAAGTGTATTTCATATTTCCTTCAATGAATTCTTTAATTCCAAAATTTCCACTTTTTTTAAAAGAGATAATTTCTTGGTAAATTTCTCATTCATATCTTGAATTTATATTCTGATTGCTTTGTATTGATTTTCAGATTTCTCTTGCATCCCATTAAGCTTCTTTAAAATCAGTGGTTTGAATTATTTACCTGGCATTTTGAGAAATTCTTTTTTATTAAGATCTATTGCTGGACAATTGTTGTAGTCCTTTGGTGCTGTCATATTTCCCTGCTTTTTCATGTTTCCTGTGTCCTTCCATTGATATCTGCACATCTGGTGTAGCAGTCTCTTGTTCCAGCTTTTGAAATTGCTTTCATAGGGTAGAAATTTTTCCTGAACACGTATGTATGTAGTTGGTTGAATATGATGATACTTTGGCTTTGATTTTGGGTGCCTGTGATAGTGTGATCTTAGTATGACTTCTCTGGCAGCACACAGGGTCCATGGTATCTGTGACTTCCTTAGTGGCTTCAGGAACAGTGATTAGCTGAGGTTGTGGTGAAATTTTCTGGGGACTTCAGTGACAACTGCACTAGTCTTCACCCAACAGCAGCAGCAGTGGGGTGAATGTGACTGTTTGTAGGCTCCAGAGCAACTTGCACTGGCTCCAGTATTAGTGGGTTCTAGAGAGCTGATTCTTGGGCCTCCAGGCGGCTTGTTTAGAAGTTAGTAGTGACAGTGGTGGGCCAGGTGTGTGGGTGGGTTCTCAGTCCAATGGGCAGCTGGTGTTGTGTGGGTGGTGACAGTAGTGGTGGTGGAACATCCAAATGGGATCCAAGCAGTCTGTGTTGTTGCTGGAAGCTGTTACGGGTTGGGTGGGCTAGTCCCCAGGTCCTCAGCCTCCTGCAGCAGGGCAGTGGATATTGTCCTGAATGTTCTTAGAAGAGCTTAATCTCTCCTGTCCCTTTCCCAGATGGGAGGCAGCTGCAGTACATCACTTATAACTCGGCTCAAGGATGGGCCCATCCTTAAACTCATTAAACTCATTAAACTCAAAATGGTGCCACCTATGAGTTTCTGAACAGATAGGGTGGGCAGCATGGGCTAGAAGCTGTGGACAGTGCGTCACACTCAAGTCTCAGTCTCACAGCAGCCTATAGCAGGGTGGTGGATATTGTCCTAGGAACATGTAGGAGAGCTTGGTTTTCTTGTCCCTCCTCAGATGGGTGGCAGCTGCAGCTTCATCAACTTGAACTCCGCCTGAGGGCAGGGCATAGCCCAACGTTAAACTCTCAAAATGGTGTCAGCTGTGGGCTTGTGACCAGAGACGGCGGGGCTTCTCTCAGGCAAACAGCAGAAGCAAGAAGCTGTGAAAGCGCAGTACCATTCGTGTCTCAGTTTCACAGCCGCCTATTGTAGGGCAGTGGGTTTTGTCCTAGATGTGCATAGGAGGGCCTGGTTTCCCCGACCCTCCTTGGCCAGGCAACAGTTACTGCCAGGTAAGCCTGAATTCAGCCTTAGGGTGAGGCACAGCCCAGTGTCAAACCCTCAAGGTGGCACCTTGGGCCTGAGACTAGAGAAGGCGGGGTCCCTCCCAAGCAAGCAGCTGTAAGGAGTGCAGTCTGCTCACATTCCATTCTCAACAGCAGCCTCAGTAGGGTGATGGAGACCCTCCCAATGGTGCATGGGAGTGCCTAGTTTCCCTCGCACCCTCCTTGGAGCAATGCAGTGGCAACAGCCATCATATGTAGATCCCCCGTATCTAAGCTCTCAAAATGGCGCCCAGCTGAGGCTGCTCAGGGCTCAGATGCCTGTGAGAGTTCCCTCTCTGGAGCAACATCTCTCTGCAATCTTTAGGCAGCTCCTTATGTTATGCCCAATTTCATAGTGGGTTTCTCCTGTGGCCAAGATTGTAAAAGCCAAGCCCTGGGGGTTTCCGTCTTATTGCTTCCCTGCATCCAGGAGCCTCTCATGATTCTGTCAGTCCTCTGCCAGGCAAGCTGCTTGCCTCCAACCCTCTCCTTACTTCTGGTGATTCCTATCTCTTCTCTGGTGAATCCTAGCATTCTCTTCTAGATGCTCTGCTTGAAATGTGAGTATTGTACTATTCTGCTTCCTCTCCTTAGAGGAGGTACGTACTACCTGCGTCTAGCAGCCATCTTGATCCCTCTCCTGTAAGAACATTTTTAAAATTCAAAATCTGTTTCTGATGGAAACTTTATGATAGTAAGAATGATGAAATTGGAAAAAAAAAAAAGGGATTTCCCAGAAAACTACAGAAGACATCATAGTAAGTGGTGAAACTGTGGAAGTGTTCCCACTAATGTAAAGAACAATGCCAGGATGAAAGTTATCACTGCCAATATTAAAGATTGTCCTGAATGTATTTGCCAAGAGAGAAAAAAGAAATAACATATAAATCCAGACAAAATATAAACAGACAAAACTGTTATCTGTTGGCAACATAACCATATACATTGAAAATTCTATAAAACCAACTGTTAAATTGTTAGGACAAGTAAGAGAGTATAGCGAGGGAGCTTAGTATCAAATGTAAGAGTCAGTTATTTACTTTTATATCGGCAAAACCAATTTTGGGGCAACGACTTTTTAAATCCGCATTCATTTTTTCAAAAATCTATAAAATTTCTATTTCTAGGTTCATAATGTATTAGTATAATATAACAATAGCTAATAATAAAATTTGGAATTATTAAGGACCTATATAAAGCAAACAATAAAATTTTGGAGAACATTCAAAAGTTCATTATCATGGGAAAATATGCTGTGATACTGAATAGGATGATTCTAATTGTTAACATGTCAATTCTCTAAAATGTAATTATTATCTACAATTACAATAGAAATGTTTAAATAAATTTTATAAGAGATTCCAAAACTCATCTGAAAAACAAAATGTGCAAGAATAGCCAAAATTATTTGAAAAGAAAAGAAAAAAGCAGTAAGAGAGGAATATATTCTATAATATTAAAAAATATACTATCAAACTATAATTATAACTACATGGTACTGATTTGGGTATAAATAAGTAGATAAACTAAATACAAAATAGATAATAAAACTCATACATGTATGGAAATTGAGTATAGTAAAAGCAGCATTGCAAATGAGTTTTTAAAAGGATGGAATATTCAGTCAATGATTTGGGGAGAAATAGCTATCTATTGTAGAAGAACAAAACAGAATCAACTTACCTTTTCTCCTCACAAATATAAATTGTGGGTAGATTAAAAAGCTAAATATAAAACAAATAAAACATGTATGAAAGTACAGGGAGAAAAGTTAGGCTGTGTTTATAATCAGCAGAGAAGGAGGAGTTCTTAGGACATAGTGCAAAAACCACAAAAAGAAAAAAACTGAAAAATTTGACCATAACAAAACTAAGTAAAAAAAAAAAACTAATCATAGACTGAAAATATTTGCATAAGTACAAATACATGCTAGACAATAAATAACATTCAGAACATATAATGAACTGCAGTGAAAATAAGAGACAAAAGAAATAAGCCACCCAATAGAAAAAAAGGCAAAGGTTATGCATAGAAAACTCCAGGAAAGGATATTTAGATAAGCCTACAACTTTGAAGTGAGGAGCCTTACTCTTTTATTAGAATATCTATGGTCCCAAAAGTGTCCCAAGAGGGTGAGGCAAACTCCTATCATTGTTGTTGTTTTCTTTCTGTCCTCCTGCCACTTGGCCTAAGATTTTGATGCAGTTATGGGAAGCAGGATAACTAAAGCCCTAGTGTTAGTTTCCTAGCCAGACAAGCAGAATGAGGAATCCCGGGGAAACAGGAAGTATAAAAGAGATTGCAGAGAGGTAGGAACTTGGGAAATTAACCCCATAGAGTTGTTTATGAAATCTTGGGTTCACCTCTAACTGTGCATGCACGGTTTTTATTTTATGTGTATTTTGCCACAATAAACAGCTTACCAAAAAATTTGAGAACTAAATTAGGAGATAGACTGCTTCCCAGGACCCAGACTGCCCACTGGGTGGCATACATGCAGGACAAATCTGAATAGCCCTGCAAAGGTTTTGTAAATAGCACTCATTTGAAACCACCAACTACAGAAGCCTGGTTAAAACCTGCAGCCTGAACTCAATTGAGTTGACTGCCCCTAAAAACAAAGTATCAATATTTTCCAGAGAATTTAAATAAGACTCAGAATTCCATAACATAATATTGAAAATGGCCAGGACACAATCAAAATCACTTGGCATACGAAAAAACTGGAACATCTCAACTCTCATGAAAAAAGGCAGTCAACAGATGCCAACATCAATATGACATAAATATTAAGATTATCTGACAAAAACCTTAAAATAGCTATTATAATATGCTATAAAAGGATAAACACTCTTAAAATGAATGGAAGATAGTCTCAACAACGACAAAAAAGTAGCAGATATAAAGAACCACATGGATAGTCGAGCTAAACAATACAAGAACCAACAATACAATAACAGAACTAAACCTTGTTCTGGGTTTAGTAACAGAATGGAGAGGACAGAGAGAAAAAGCAGAGACCTTGAAGATAGGTCAGTAGAAATTATCCAATCTGAAAAACATAGAGAAAAAAAATGGAAAAAAGTATATAGAAAAAAAGTACAGAGGCTGGGTGAGGTAGTTCACCCCTCTAATCCTAGCACTTTGGGAAGCCAAGGTTGGAGTATCACTTGAAGCCAAGAGTTCAAGACCAGCCTGGGCAACAAATGCTGCATGATTCCAATTATATGAGGTACCTAGAGTAGTCAAAATTACAGAGACAGAAAGTAGAACAGTAGTTTTCAGGGAATGGAGGGAGGAGAGAATGAATGGTGGAGGGTTATTTAATGGATGTAGATTTTCAGCTTTGCAAGATGAAAAGAGTTCTGGAGATGGATGGTGATGCTGGTTGCACAATAATATGAATATACTTAATACCACTTAACTGTACACTTAAAACTGGTTAAGATAGTAAATTTTATGTTATGTGTATTTTGCCATAGTAATTTTTTTATATAATGTGTTGATGGAAAAGATGAAACAAGATTGTCATTATTTGCAGATAATATTATTTATATGGAAAATCTAAAAGAATCTATAGAAAAAGTAATACAATTAATAAGAGAGTTCAGCAAATTTGCTGGGTCCAAACTCAGTATAAAAAATCAATTACACTTCTCTAGCAAAGTTGCTGGATACAAGATCAATGTACAAAAATCAATTTCATCTCTATACACTAGCAATAAATAATCTGAAAATGAAATTAAGAAAATAATTCCAGGAGGCTAAGGTAGGAGGAGTGCTTGAGCCTGGGAAGTTGAGGCTGCAGTGAGCCATGATTGCATCACAGCACTCCAGCCTGGGCCATAAAGTGAGACCCTGTCTCAAAAAAAAAAAAAAAAAAAAAATTAACTCAGTTTGGATGACAGATGTAAATATTAAGAACTAAAACTATAAAATTCTTGGAAGGAAGCACAGAAGTAAATCTTTGCAATCATGGGTGAGGCAGTGATTTCTTATATACAGTGAAAAGCACAGTTATTAAAAGATAAGATTGATAAGTTGGACTTCCTCAAATTTTAAAACTTTTGTTTTCAAAGAACATAAGTAGAAAAGCAAACATAGATTGAAAAAATATTTGCAAATTATATATCTGATAAAAATCTACTATACAGAATATATAAAGAACTCTTAAAACTCAATAATAAAAAGACAACCCAATTTAAAAATGGGCAAAGATTTGAAGAGAAACTTCTTGAAGAAAGATATACAAATGGCTCATAAGCACATGAAAAAGATGCTCATCATTATTAGCTATTAGGGGAATGTAGATCATTTTTTAAATTTTTTATTTTTTGAGACAGGATCTCTCTTCATCAACTAGGCTGGAGTGCAGTGGTACAATCATGGCTCACTGCAACCTCCACCTCCTAGGATCAAGCAATCCTCTCACCTCAGCCTCCTGAGAAGCTGGAACCACAGGCATGCAACACCATGTCTGGCTAATTTTTTTGATTTTTTTTGTAGAGATGGGGTTTCACTATGTTGCCCAGGCTGGTCTCCAACTCCTGGACTCAAGGGATTCTCCAGCCTCAGCCTCCCAAAGTGCTGGGATTTTAGGGGGAAATGTTAATCAATCCCACAATAAGATACCACTTCATACCCCCTATCATATGGGTATGATGGAAAAAAAAAAAGAAAGCCAATAACAAGCATTGGCAAGGATGTGAAGAAACTGGAAACCTTATACATAGTGGGAATGTAAAATGGTGCAGCCACTTTGGAAAACATTTTGGCAATCCCTCAAAATGCCAAGAGTTACCACATGAGCCAGAAATTCCATTCCTATATACCTACCCTAAAGAAATAAAAACGTATGTCCACAAAAGAACTTATACATAAATGCTTATAGTAGCATTATTCATAACAGCCAAAAGCACAACCAACCAAAATGTCCATCGAATGATGAATGGATAAACAAAATGTAGTAGATCCATACAGAGGAATATTACTCAGCTATAAAAAGGAATGAGTTACTGATACATGTTACAAATGGATGAACCTTAAAAGCATTATGCTAAGAGAAAGAAGGCAGTTATATATTGTATTAGTGATTCCCAATCTCTGCCACCAGGGACAGGTTTCATGGAAGTCAGTTTTTCCACAGATGGTGTGGTGTGTAGCGGGGTGGTTTCAGGATTCAAGCAAATTACATTTATTGTGCACTTTATTTCTATTATTATTACATTGTAACATATGTACAATGTAATACTCACCATAATGTAGAATCAGTGGGAGCCCTGAGCTTATTTTCCAGCAACTAGACACTCCCAGTCTGGGGTGATGGGAGACAGTGACAGATCATCAGGCTTTAGATTCTCATAAGGAGCATGCAGCCTAGATCCCTCGCATGTGCGGTTCACAATAGGGATCATGTTTTTATGAGAATCTAATGCCACCGCTGATCTGATGGGAGGTGGAGCTCAGGTGGTGCTGCAACTGATAGGGAGCAGCTATAAATACAGATGAAGCTTTGTTCCTTCCTGCTGTGTGGCCCAGTTCCTAACATGCCATTGGACTAGTATCAGTTCATGGTTCAGGGGTTGGGGATGCCTGTAGAGTATGATCCCATTGATATGAAATGTCCAGAATAGGCAGATCTGTAGAGACAAAAAGTAGATTAGTGGTTGTCTGTGAGGGAGAAGAATGGGGAATGATTGCTAATGGGTAATAAAGATTATCTCCTCAACCAAACTCTCTAGTCAGGCTCCTCTGAGCCCTCTTCTCAACTAGGCATCCACCTTGGCCTATACAGACTTGAATTAAACACTAACATGGTTTCCAACAGCTCAAGGCCACATCTCTAGGATGACCCTGCACCCCCTTATAAAGTGTCTGCTTGAGAAAAGTCAAGGCTGCCAAACAAATTTACTGTTGTTGCAGCAACACCTGAAGATACAGCCCCTGTCTCCCAGACTCTGTGGAAGGGTAGGAATCTAACTTGTTCAATAAGTGCCAGTTAGCAAACCCAGATGAGTTTCACATGGACCAAGTGCCCCTTCCAGCTTTTTGTAATTTTTCACTTCCCTGACTCTACTGAGTTCCCCCTTCCCTGTTCTGTCATTGTTCTTTAAAATGCCCAGTCACCTCTGTTACAAGTTTTTAGTTCACACTGGACTCTTCCCTATTACAATAGTTATTACTGATTAAAACTTGTCCTTACCACTTTAACTACTGTCTAGCTTTGTTTGTCTTTGACATAGATACAAAGTTTCTTTCTGGTACAGTGAAAATATTCTAAGATTATAGTGATGGCTATACAACTCTGTAAATAGAACAAAATTACTGAATTGCACACTTCAAATAGATTAATTTTATAGTATGTAAATATCAATAAAGCTGTTAAAAATCAATATTTTTATATTCCAGCAATAGTTAAACTTTGAAAGAAGATATATTTATAATAACACACAAATATCAAGTACCTAGGAATAAATCTAATAGAAGATTTGCAAGACTCTTTAGAGAAAATAATAAAACTTTTTAAAGAGAAATTCAGAAGACCTGAACAGAAATGCCATGTTCACTGGCTGGAAAACACATATTAAAAGGATGAACCTCCAGTTTCTGGTTTGTCATACAAAGAGCTTGGAAGTTGTCACCCCATCCTCACACAAGAAAAAAAGTTGAACAAACTCAAAATCAACAACTCTTCTTAGATTCCTCAGAGAATTGAGGTCACAGGGCAAACTGCTACCCTGAAAACTAGAGAGATAGACAGGTGGATACAGAGAACCACAGCTCACCAGGAGAAGCTCAGAAGGAGAAGCCTGCAGCTGGAGGCAACACTGATAGGAATCCAGATGCTCCTCAACTCAGATATGGCAGAGATGTTGGCATTATCAGAGCAGAAATTTAAAGTAACTATGATTAATATGTTGAGGGCTCTAATGGGAAAAATGGACAAGATGCAAGAACAGATGGGTAATGTAAGCAGAGAGATGGAAACTGTAAGATAGTAATAAAAGGAAATGCTACAGATTAAAAACACTACAACAGACATGAAGAATGCCTTTGATTGGCTCATCATTAGACTGGACATGGCTGAGGAAAAAATCAGTGAGCTTTGCAACATATGTGTAACAGGAATACCAGAAGAAGAAAGAAAGAAATGAAATATTTGAGATATGTATGGAATGTCCATTCTTATCAAGGAACCTGCCCCTGATAGTCACGTAGGTTCTTTTCTATTTTCCCTAAGCATCGGCTGGGTTGAGAAATAAAGGGACAGAGTACGAAAGAGAGAAATTTTAAAGCTGGGTGTCCAGGGGAGACATCACATGTCGGTAGGTTCCGTGATGCCCCAAAAGTCGCAAAACCAGCAAGTTTTTATTAGTGATTTTCAAAGGGGAGGGAGTGTACGAATAGGGTGTGGGTCACAGAGATCACATGCTTCACAAGGTAATAGAATATCACAAGGCAAATGGAGGCAGGGCGAGATCACAGGACCACAGGACCGGGGCAAAATTAAAATTGCTAATGAAGTTTCAGGCACCATTGTCATTGATAACATCTTATCAGGAGACAGGATTTGAGAGCAACTGGTCTGACCAAAATTTATTAGGCAGGAATTTCCTCGTCCTAATAAGCCTGGGAGCACTATGGGAGACTGGGGCTTATTTCATCCCTACAGCTTCGACCACAGAAGACGGCCACACCCAAGGGGGCCATTTTAGAGGCCCACCATCAGGGGTGCATTCTCTTTCTCAGGGATGTTCCTTGCTGAGAAAAAGAATTCAGTGATATTTCTCCCATTTGCTTTTGAAAGAAGAGAAATATGGCTCTGTTCCACCCGGCTCACCAGTGGTCAGAGTTTAAGGTTATCTCTCTTGTTCCCTGAACCTTGCTGTTATCTTGTTCTTTTTTCAAGGTGCCCAGATTTCATATTGTTCAAGCACACATGCTCTACAATTTGTGCAGTTAATGCAATCATCACAGGGTCCTGAGGCGACATACATCCTCCTCAGCTTACGAGATGACAGGATTAAGAGATTAAAGTAAAGACAGGCATAGGAAATCACAAGGGTATTGATTGGGGAAGTGATAAGTGTCCATGAAATCTTCACAATTTATGTTTAGAGATTGCAGTAAAGACAGGCATAAGAAATTATAAAAGTATTAATTTGGGGAACTAATAAATGTCCATGAAATCTTCACAATCCATGTTCTTCTGCCATGGCTTCAGCCGGTCCCTCCATTCGGGGTCCCTGACTTCCACAACACATTCTCCCCAATTTGATCTCTAGATTCATATGTTCTCAACCAAAATGTACCATAGAGTTTTTAAAAATGTTGTTTTGTAGAACTTGACAAGCTGATTCTAAAATGCACACAGAAAATACAAAGGGCTATGTAGAGCCAAGATCTCTTAAAGAAGACAAAGTGTATAAAACACTTGCTCTATCAGATAGTAAGACACTACAAAGCAATAACAGTACAGACAATGTGGCATAAGCACAAGCCAGTGGAATGGAATACCGAGCCAAAAAACATATATAGGTAGATTAGATTCCAGACAAATGTGGCACCACAAAACAATGGAGAATGAATGGCCTTTTTTGGTAAATTATTCTGGAACTATAAGATACCATATGAATTACAAATGAAATTTAACTCCTATATCAAACCATGCACAAAAATCAATTCCAGGTGGAATATGGACCTAAATGTAAAATGTAAAACAATAGAGATTTTAGAAGGTAATATAGAAGAATATAACTGTGGATAAAGATTTTTATAGCACAAAAAGCACTACCATAACAGCAAAGATTGATATATTTGACTACCTTAAGGAAAGAAATTTGTTCAGCCAAAGATGCCATCAAGGAAATGAAATGGCAAGCACAGTATAGCAGAAAATATCTGTAGTACATATAACTGGCAAAGGGATTGCATATCTGATATAGAATTCCTATAATTCATAAAGGAAAAGGCAGACAACAGAAAAAGGAGCAAAAGGGGCAAATGGGCATTTAAAAGAGGATATTGAAATGACAGAAAAAGAGACAAAAAGGTTTCTGACCTCATTAGTAAACACAGTGAGATATTACTATAACCCCACATGACTGGTTGAAATATAAAAGTTTCACAAGACCACGGAGAAAGAGAGAATCACCAGTGCATGGTAGAATGTGAAAAGATCAAGCTGCAGGACAGAAGACATACTAAACAAACAATGGTGATAACGTAGGATGGCAGAGATCAGGCCATGCTGTAATAACTCATGGGCTTACAGCCAGTCTGCCTAACTGTAGAGAGCCATGTTATCCCACGTGAATACAGATGCAAGTGTAAACAGCACTTCAGGAAGTGGTTTCTGGAAACAACATCTGAAGACTGAAGTGGAGAGCCCTGAAATCCCTTCCCATGGGTTCTCCCCAGAGCCCTTGATTCAGCCTCCAAGAAGGGTGTGGAAATTCTCCTGACATGGGCACTGGGAAGGGTTCTCTCCTTCTTTGCCCCAGGCACTGAGATGAGCCCTTCACGGTGGGAGGCAGGGAGGACCAGGTAGCCTTTTATTAACTGCTTAAAACCAATTCGTTCTCTGAGCAAAACTCCTGCTCAAAATGTATGATGAGTTGATGATTGTTACTAATTGAAATATAATGGGAGAAGGGCTTGCAATGGTTATTTTTTGTGTGCTAAGGCAATCTACAAAGAAACCAGTGGAACAAGTTGTTTTGCATTTTAATCCAAGCAAATGGACAACTTGTCATGCAATATGAAGCACTGTTATCTCTTCCTATAAGTGTGTGTGTAGAAGGGTCGGGGGTATTTAAACACTCTGGTAGAAGTTTCCTACTTTTGGAAGCTAGGGACGAATGTGGGCTTCCTGGTAGGGACCTGGACCAGTAGGAGGCAGGAAATTCTAGAATAGGCAAGAGAGCAGAAAAAAGCCTTCCCATAGCACAGGGTGTAATGGGCACTCAATGAATGGCAGTGATGATGATGGTAGTGCTGTGATGATGCTAATCAATGGTGGGGGTGTGGGAAGAGAAGAGAACTGGTAGAGATGATAGCGGCAATGGTTAATGGTGATAGTGATCAACAAAGTTGATCATGACAATGATGGCATGTTGTAGGAGTGGAGGCAAGTGAGGGCAGGTGGTTGATGGTGATGGTGATGGAAAAGTCTTTACCTCTGGTAGGAAAATTGTGACTGGGTCCATCAAGGCCACAATGGCTAGGACAAAGAAACCCAGAGAGATCCATGCCACCCTGCCAGGGAGCTAAGTATAGGCTCTTAGTTCAGGCCTCACTGTCATTCACACTGGCACCCATCCCCTATGGTATCCCTCTGCTTGCATGGTTCATAACCCTCCAAACTGCAGTCCCACACAGCTAGGCATCCAACTATCTTAGCCAGGAGGCATTCAGAATCATCTGGAGAGTGAAGGGAACCCCTGGCACTAGGGTCCTCTGACACTTGCCTGGGAAGAAACAAGAATGCCTGGTGCTTCTTAAGTGTCCCACCATGAGTCACAGACTTCAAAGTACAAAGGGCCTTGGAGGAAGTAGTCTGAGACTCCAGGCCCTGACTGGGCCTTGCCCCACAAGGCCATTACCTCACTGTGTAGGAACACCTTTTTACAAAACTGCATGGCCTAGCACAGCATGAACCTAGCTCAGCCCTCCTGGGCTACATGGAATTGGCCTGCTAATCCCACAGAAGCACGCTGCTGCAGCTGAAAGGAGGAGGAGGGGTTCAGTCTCAGGGCTTGGTGCTAGCAGATGCGACATTCAGGAGCTGGAACTGCCAGGCTGCCCTGCATACCTGGCACGGCAAGGCTGTGTCAGCTCCAGGGAGGGCTGGGGGTCCTGAGTGAGCAGAATGAGGAGCTCTGCACCATCCTTCAAGGCCTGGCCACACCGCCCAGGAAGTATCACTGATCTGCTCACCTGGGTCCTGTTCCACCTCTCAAGTAAAACTTGGCCAGTCTCTCTCTCTCTCACACCACTCTCTTCTGGGTTGTAGCAATAAAAGTCAGTAACATGATGGCATTTTATTGCGTACTAAGGCCCTCCCATCACTGAGCTCCTGGACTGGGCTGCCCACATCCCAGGGCCCTCCCCCAGCTCCATGCCCAGAGCACTTTTAATTTTGACATCAGTTTTTGCTCAAAGATTTGGGAGGAGGACAAAGTTATGTGACATTTTAATGTTAAATACAGATGTAATATGAAGTAAAAGCAAACTTCCTTAAAGCAGAGGCTTTGAGAATTCTCAAGCTTGCCAGGGACTCTTAGCTGTACACCTCCTCACCCCCAAGGGCTTACCCCACTGTTCTTGGGCTGCTTCCAAGGAAAAGTATGACAGTGCTGTTTGACACCATCACACCAAATCCTATTAAAAATCCAGATGATTTGCATCACTATATCCATTCTCACAGTGAGGATGCTTGGGGTGGTCATGGGATTTGCCCAAGCTCCCAGAGCCAGCAGAGAGTCATGACTGGTCTGCAAGCCTCCTCATCCAGCCTCCTTCCAGGCTTCCGGCTGGCCTCCAGCAGAGCAGGCCCTCACCAGCTCCACCCATGGCTAAGTCCCACAGCCAACTCAGGAGCTGTCACATCTACTATCTTCAGGCCAAGGTTGGGCTAAGGGTCAGTGGCAAAGGGCAGCTAGATGGCCTCAAGCTCCCTATCTCCATAATGCCTCCCAATTAATCTCAAATAAAAATAATCATATGTGACAACGGATGTTTTCTCAGTGTTATGGGCAGCATGAGATACCTTTAGAAATCCTGGCTATGTTTGTGGATCTGTGCTTCTTTGTGAATCAAAGAAAGAGAATGCTGCTACGTGAACCCAGTTTCATGACCAGTCCCCCAGTCCATTCAGATGCCACCCAGACCTTCTGTGCTGATATGGGTGAGTGAGATCATTCCATTTTTTGTCCTCAGAGCACTGCATACTTTTCAGTGGTGTTTATTACTTGTTATAATTAATTACCCCTTACTTTGAACAAGTGGGACAACAGAGGGTACAAGCAGAAAACATTTTTATTCCTGCCCCTAAATCTCCAGTAGTCCCATGGCTTTCCAAACCACTCTTGAATAAAAAGCCTTCCAGTCCCTTCTAATCTCAAAATCCTACAATAAAGATGACCAGTCGAGTGCAATCATCAAAACTCCAAACTCTGTTAAAGGATAAGGCTTCTCTCCTCCTCAGCTCAGGCCTGCTGCAGCCTGAGGAGCCTGCAGTGGGTCCAGGTCTCTTTACTGTCAGCTTCTCCTACGCTGCCTGGCAAAAACTGGTGTTCTGGAAGTGTTTTGTGGGATGGATTCTCCATTCTCTAACCTGCAAAATGGAGGTATTACCACTTGCACTGCTTATCTCACAGGGTTGAGATGTAAAATAAGGAGGATAAAGTGACTGAGCAAGTCATTTCCTGAATATGTACCCTGCGACATCTCTCCAGAACTCTGTAGTATGCTCTCCAGCTGGAAGACTACTCCCAAACCCCTTTCTCCTGGCCAACTCCACTCTCTCTAAAAATTCAGCTCTTGGAAAGCCTTCCTGACAACCCCATGCTGAGTCTGGAGTCCCACTACCCACCATGCTGCTTGACCACTGTTTGTGCTTGTGTTTTCTTATTCTCTGAGATCCACCATCACATTCAGAAGTGGTGTTTGTTGAATAAAAGGAAGGGAAGAAGGAAGGGAGGAAGGAAGGGAGGAAGGAAGGGTGGAAGGGAGAAAGGAAGGAAAAAAGAAAGGAAGAAAGGAAGGGAAGGAGGGGAGGAGAAAGGAGTATAACTGTCTTGTATCAATGGTGATGAGAATTTACCAATGTGAGGTTGGTATTATGTGCAATAAATAAGAAAGGGCAGAGGCAAGAAATAAAAGCAGAAAAAGGGAAGGGGCAGGGTAGGAGAGAAAGGGGAAGTGGAGAACCAGAGACAACCATTTTGTGCAGAAGAGACGGTGAAGGGCAATCTACCAGGATCCACAAGCTTAAAGTGAGAATACACAGAGCAGAGTGGGTGGGGACCAGCTGCTCCCTGGATCTTCTAATGACCAGCAGTAGGAAAGGGGACGGAGAGCGGGGAAAGACTGGGGTTAGAGGGCTGGTCAGATTCTTACTTTCTCTGCTTCTCACCCTCCCTCTTGCTCACTGGCCTCAGTCCTTTTGGGGCTGGCATGTAGGCAAGTGGGTGGGAATTCAGAACAAGATTACCTCTAAAGAAATCCTCCAAATGCCTTCTTTCTCACCCTTCCCTCATATTCTTGAAATGGAACATTATGTGAACATTTTCTTGCAAATTCTACATGTGGTGATCTGTCTCAGACTTGCCTGGAATCTGTCACATTGCTGCTTCAGTCAAACTGAACAGGACAAGAAGAGTCCCATTTTAACATCTATTACACTAGTAAAGAATAGCAAAAGGAAATAAATATTACAGCACTAAGCGTGGGAGAGGGAACCCTCAGCAGGGTTTGATGGATATCAGATAGAACCATCCTAACGGACTAAGTGGGGCAGAGAAAGCAACAAGTAAAGGTGCTGGAGGTGCCTGCAGGTGGTGAGAGCTGCTGCTCACCGAGGTCCTAGGGAGACTTCGTGGTCATAAGGTACAGGCACAGAGGGCAGGAGCCAGCAGGGAGGAAAAGTCAGGGTGAGTCCTGGAAGTGCTATATGCAAAGAGTTGTATCAAAGAGCACATCCACACTACGCGTGCCCCTCTCTTAAGGAGGAAGAACAACAGACTAAGATGGCACCCAGCCCAGACCAAATCAGAAGGTGCCCTCTTATAGATATTAGACAGGATCCTCAAGGAAGACTAGAGCTTCTGATGCCTGTGTTGGCATCCCCAAAAAAGGCTTCTGTATTTTATCATGGGTGCATCAGGGGGTCCTGGCCATGGCCTCTTAATGGAATCCTGCAGGTCAATATGCCCAAGCCTCCCACTTAGGGGAGAGGGCTGTTGAATCCCTCTCTACATGACAATCCACATGGTGGTAGAGAAAACCAGCCATCTATATTAAACCACAAATCCTACAGTCACAGATATAAATGGACAGCCAAAGATCCTTAGATCTTTCAGTAAAACCAACAGCCCAACAAAAAAAGAATGAAGATAAATAGAAAAGTGAACTCAGGAGAAATAGAGATAGTTTAGGAAATAACTTTTAAAAAAACCTCCTGTGTATCTTTAGTGAGATTCTAGGTTTTTCTTCCACAGACAAGAAAAAAAGAAATAAGAGAAAATAATAAAGTGTTCTTAGAAATTAAAAATGTAATTGTCAACATTTAAAAAGCAATCAAAGAATGGAAAGACATACATGAGAACAGTGGTTCTCAAAATGTGATCCCCAACCAGTAGCATCAGCATCACCTGGGAACTTATTAAAATGAAAATGTCTGGGGTTCCAGCCCAGATTATTGCATCAGACACTCTAGGGTTGGGGCCCAGTGGTCTGTATTTTCATAAGGCCTCCAGGTGATTCTGATGCTCACTCAAGTTTGAGGACCACTGATCTACTTGGAAGGGAAAAAGGAGTTCTTGAGGAGGCAAGAGGGAGTGAGGACTAGAGAACAAATAGAGAGGCTGGCCTTTCTAAGACCAGGGACACCTTTCCATTCTAGCAGGAGAAAAGGCAAAAATGATAAAAATGGGTACAGATGGGCTTATAGATTTAATAGTAGAAAGGAAAAATAAGTTTCCTTCCTACGTCTTCTACACTATCCACAATAATAAGCTGAGGCTAAAAGTGAGGCAGGGGAGGAGAACTGTAAGAAAATGTTTGAAGAGAGAGATATAGAGTGTATTGAAATTGCTTAACAAAATGAGGGCCAATTTGAAGTTTGAGGTCTTGAATTAAAAGTGAAACCAACACCAAATAGGCTAATCAATCAATCCTTGGCAAAAAGAATACAACTGGAGGCATCACACTACCTGACTTCAAAATATACTACAAAGCTATAGTAACCAAAGCAGCATGGTACTGGCATAAAAACGTACACATAGACCAATGGAGCAGAATAGAGAACCCAGAAACAAATCTATGTATTTACGCCCAACTCATTTCTGACAAAAGTGCCAAAAACATTCACTGGGGGAAAGGACAGTCTTTTCAATAAATGGTGCTGGAGAAACTGGAGATTCATATGCAGAAGAATGAAACCAGACTCCTTTCTTTCACCATATATAATATAAAAGTAAAGTAAAACTGAATTAAACACTAAAATGTAAGACCTGAAACTGTAAAACTATTAGAAAACAGGGGATATGCTTCAGGACATTGGTCTGGGCAAAGATTTTATGGAGATCTCAAAAACACAGACAACAAAAGCAAAAACAGGCAAATGGGATGACATCAAACTAAAAAGCTTCTGCACAGCAAAGGAAGCAATCAACAGAGTGAAGAGACAGTCCAAAGAATAGCAGAAAATATTTGCAAACTATTCATCTGACAAGGGACTAATATCCAGAATATACACAGAACACAAACAACTCAACAGCAAAAATAATAATAATAATAATTCAGCTTTAAAAAAATGGGTGAATGATCTGAATAGATACCTCACAAAGGAGGCATACAAATGGCCAAGTATATGAAAAAATATTCAATATCGCTAATTGTCAGGGAAATGCAAATCAAAACCACAATGAGATCTCATCCTAATTTGCATGGCTATTATCAAAAAGATTAAAAACAACAAATGCTGGTGAGAATGTGGAGAAAGGGGAATGCTTATATTCTCTTGGTGGCAATGTAAATTAGTAAAGCCATTATGGAAAACAGTATGGAGGTTCCTCAAAAAATGAAAAATAGAACTACCATATGATCCAGCAATCCCACTATTGAATATTTGTCCAAAGGAAAGGAAATCAGTATGTCGAAGAGATCTCTGCAGTCTCACGTTTACTGCAGCATCATTCACAATAGTCAAAATACGTCGTCAACCTAGGTCTTTTCATCAACAGATGAATGGATAAAGAAAATGTGGTATATATAGAGGAGTCTGTTCCAAGATGGCTGAATAGGAACAACTCCAGTCTGCAGCTCCCAGCGTGATCAACACAGACGACAGGTGATTTCCACATTTCCAACTGAGGTATCTGGTTCATCTCACTGGGACTGGTTAGACAGTGGATGTAGCCCACGGAGGACGAGCTGAAGCAGGGCACGGCATCGCCTCACCCAGGAAGCACAAGGGGTAGGGGGATTTCCCTTTCCTAGCCAAGGGAAGCTGTGACAGACTGTACCTGGAAAATCGGTACACTCTGCCCAAACACTGCACTTTTCCCATGGTCTTAACAACTGGCAGACCAGGAGATTCTCTCCCGTGCCTGACTCGGCAGGTCCCATGCCCATGAAGTCTTGCTCACTGATAGTGCAGCAGTCTGAGATCAACCTGTGAGGCTGCAGCCTGGTGTGGGGAGGGGCATCTGCCATTGCTGAGGCTTGAGTAGGTAAACAAAGTGGCTGGGAAGCTCGAACTTGGCGAAGCCCATCACAGCACAGCAAGGCCTACTGCCTCTATAGACTCCACCTCTGTGGGCAGGGCATAGCTGAACAAAAGGCAGCAGAGGCAGCAGACAACTTCTGCAGACTTAAACATTCCAGTCTGACAGCTCTGAAGAGAGCAGTGGTTCTCCCAGCACAGCATTTGAGCTCTGAGAACAGACAGACTGCCTCCTCAAGTGGGTCCCTGACCCTTGTGTAGCCTAACTGGGAGACACCTCCCAGTAGGGGCCAACAGACACCTCATACAGGTGGGTGCCCCTCTGGGATGAAGCTTCCAGAGGAAGGATCAGGCAACAATATTTGCTGTTCTGCAGCCTCCGCTGGTGACACCCAGGCAAACAGCATCTGGAGTGGACCTCCAGCAAACTCCAACAGACCTGCAGCTGAGGGACCTGACTGTTAGAAGAAAACAAACAAACAGAAAGGAATAGCATCAACATCAACAAAAAGGACATCCACACCAAAACCTCATTTGTAGGTCACCAACATCAAAGACCAAAGGTAGATAAAACCACAAAGATGGGGAGAAACCAGAGCAGAAAAGCTGAAAATTCTAAAAACCAGAGTGCCTCTTCTCCAAAGGATTGCAGCTCCTCACCAGCAACGGAACAAAGCTAGATGGAGAATGACTTTGACAAGTTGACAGAAGTAGGCTTCAGAAGGTAGGTAATAACAAACTTCTCCAAGCTAAAGAAGCATGTTCTAACCCATCGCAAGGAAGCTAAAAACCTTGAAAAAAGGTTAGACGAATGGATAACTAGAATAAATAGTGTAGAGAAGACCTTAAATGACATGAGGGAGCTGAAAACCATGGCATGAGAACTTCATGATGCATGCACAAGCTTCAATAGCTGATTCAATCAAGTGGAAGAAAGGATATCAGTGATTGAAGATCAAATTAATGAAATAAAGTGAGAAGACAAGTTTAGAGAAAAAAGAGTAAAAACAAATTAACAAAGCCTCCAAGAAGTATGGGACTATGTGAAAAGACCAAATCTACGTCTGATGGTGTACCTGAAAGTGATGGGGAGATTGGAACCAAGTTGGAAAACACTCTTCAGGATATTATCCAGGAGAACTTCCCCAACCTAGCAAGGCAGGCCAACATTCAAATTCAGGAAATACAGAGAACACCACAAAGATATTCCTCAAGAAGACCAACCCCGAGACACATAATTGTCAGATGCACCAAGGTTGAAATGAAGAAAAAATGTTAAGGGCAGCCAGAGAGAAAGGTCGGGTTACCCACAAAGGGAAGCCCATCAGACTAACAGCAGATCTCTTGGCAGAAACGCTATAAGCCAGAAGACAGTGGGGGCCAATATTCAACATTCTTAAAGAACAGATTTTTCAACCCAGAATTTTATATCCAGCCAAACTAAGCTTCATAAATGAAGGAGAAATAAAACCCTTTACAGACAAGCAAATGTTGAGAGATTTTGTCACCACTAGGCCTTCCTTACAAGAGCTCCTGAAGGAAGCAGTAAACATGGAAAGCAACAACTGGTACCAGCCACTGCAAAAACATGCCAAATTGTAAAGACCATCGATGCTGTGAAGAAACTGCATCCATTAACAGGCAAAATAACCAGCTAACATCATAATGACAGGATCAAATTCACACATAACAATATTAACCTTAAATGTAAATGGGTAAATGCCCCAATTAAAAGAACACAGACTGGCAAGTTGGATAAAGAGTCAAAACCCATCAGTGCGCTGTATTCAGGAGACACATCTCATGTGCAGAGACATACATAGGCTCAAAATAAAGGGATGGAGGAAGATCTACCAAGCAAATGGGAAAAAAAAAAAAAAGCAGGGGTTGCAATCCTAGTCTCTGAAAAAACAGAGTTTAAACCAACAAAGTTCAAAAGAGACAAAGAAGGCCATTACATAACGGTAGAGGGATCAATTCAACAAGAAGAGCTAACTATCCTAAACATATATGCACCCAATACAGGAGCACCCAGATTCATAAAGCAAGTCCTTAGAGACCTACAAAGAGACTTAGACTCCCACACAATAATAATGGGAGACTTTAACACCCCACTGTCAATATTAGACAAATCAACGAGACAGAAGGTTAACACGGATATCCAGGACTTGAACTCGGTGTTGCACTAAGCAGACCTAATAGACATCTACAGAACTCTCCACCCCAAATCAACAGAATATACATTCTTCTCAGCACCACATCGCACTTATTCTAAAATTGACCACATAATTGGAAGTAAAGCACTCCTCAGCAAATGTAAAAGAACAGAAATTATAACAAACTGTCTCTCAGACCACAGTGCAATCAAACTAGAACTCAGGATTAAGAAATTCACTCAAAACTGCACAACTACATGGCCGGGGAGAATGTGAGGTCACAGTCAAGCTTATGGACCATGTGAGAAAAGAGGCCACCACGATGAGAGTCAGCAAAAGCACAAGCAGCTTTAGAAGTCCAAGAACTTGGCCAGACGTGGTGGCTCACACCTGTAATCCCAGCACTTTGGGAGGCCAAGGTGGGTGGATCACCTGAGGTCAGGAGTTCGAGACCAGCCTGACCAACATAGTGAAAATTAACTTAATTTTCTACTAAAAATATAAAAATTAACTGGGATGGTGGCATGTGACTGTAATTCCCAGCTACTCAGGAAGCTGAGGCAGGAGAATTGCTTGAACCTGGGAGGCAGAGGTTGCAGTGAGCCGAGATCGCACCACTGCACCCCAGCCTGGGCAACAGAGTGAGACTCCGTCTCAAAAAAAAAAAAAAAAAAAAAAAGAATTTTAAGAACTTTAAGAAATGTAATTAACAGACTTAGATGACTTAAAAAGCCTGTTTACAATGATTAAAGAAACAATAAATGCTATAAAAACAAAAGCAATTACTGGGATTAAAAAGATAAGTTTTAAAAGAAAACTTTTAGTAATGAAAAATATAGACATTGAACTTTAAACCCAAATGCATTAAACAGTAGAAAGACAAAACTGAAAAAAAAAACTGAAAAATCAGAAGGTAGGTTGGAAAAAGTACACCTAGAATGCAGTACAGAAAGTTAAAAAGAAGAAAAATATTTTTAAAAAAGAGGTTATGAGATATGGAAGATAAAATAGGAAGGAACAATATTAGCTTTCAAAAATATTTGTTTTCTCTCTCTTATTGTTAGACTTTAATTAACCCAACAATAAACTCTGATTCTAAACCCACAGCTTGACATTTTCTCTTAGACAACAGGAAGTGAATCAAATGCTAATTGTAGCAATGTGCTAGTTATAAAATAATATTTTCCTTAGATCTTCAAAAACACTTTCAGCGCAACTTCCTGGTATCCTGTGCCTAGATAAGACAGTGTATTTTTAACAACGGCACTGTGTACTTTATAATTTTACCGCAAAAAAATTTTTTAAACTTAAAAATAAATCAAGGAACCTAATTCCCAAGGTGGGAAAGAATAAGAGAAGTGTCATTTGTCATGAAATCACCTTCACAGTTGTTGGTACCTCCCTTTCATGGTAGGACAGCCAACAGTGTCAGACCTTCATAATGACACTCTAGGTGATGTTCGTGCTGGCGAAATAGAGTAAGGAGGTGGCAATTAGTTCGCGGGTTACTTCCTTAGTGGCTCATGGTCACAGGCTGCAGCCCAACCCCAGCCAGTGCCCTGTGACCTCTGGGTCCAGAGGTCAAGGCCATTGGGCTGAAGTTGTTACCACCACTAGAAAAGCAACTCTGGGACTCTGGCTGGATCATGTACATGCGTAAGTGTAGGTTGAGTAAATAAACACTACAAGCCTGTGCACTGCCATGGGGACACAGCTGGGGGAAAGGCACTCCAGCTGGTGGAAAGGCACTCCATCCATGGGGCTGGTGTGAAAACTCCCAACACATGGCCATCTCGCCCTGTATGTAAACATTAAGGATATGTGTCCATGTCTGTATTTCTTTTGGGAATATGTGTCTTAGAAACCAACCCTGTCTCTGGCAGATCTTTCTCCAAGTCTTTTGAATGCATTTAGGTTTTTTCTGTCAGTAGGAACTCTTTGAATAATGAATTCCATATATATATTTCTGGGTAAGCTATGGTAGGATTAGCTTTCTTTGGTCAGTAGAAGTACTCTCTCACTCCCAGAAATCATCATATTTAGTAAAGCCTAAGTGCTACAGGAAGTCACAAAGAAGCGGGTGGAGTGGTCCGTCTTCCCTTGGGGAGCTTACAACATAAAATAGGCAAAAAACAAACAAACAAAAAACCCAGTCTTTTTCACATGATTTTATGCATCCACACTTGTTGAAGGAAAACCTTTCTCATGACAGTATTATGAATGTCTGAAATAAATGCTTGAGTGATATTCAAAACAGGAAAATGAAGGTAACTCTGGCAGGCAGTGTAGCATCGAGGAAAATGGGGACAGGAGGCCCAAACAGGATGTTACTGACAATGTCTGGGAAAGGGAGTGGAGAGGGTAGGAAAGGCTGGCCCCATCAACCCTGCAGGCACTCTCAAGAGGATTAGGGGCTGGACAGAGCTTGTCAGAGAGACCCTAAGCTCTACCCCTGGATGACTCAGGAAAAACAACGCAAGGAGTGGAGGTGGCTTCCTGGGTGGTCCTGGTAGAGGGCCGGGAAGGGAGAGGATGAGTTTAGCTGAGGTGGCTCTGTGACATCCAGGGGGACAATGTCAGAAAGAGATGTCCAGAGGTCCTGGACCAGTGACCAGGTATGGGGTGCTGGGGACAGAGCAGGTATCTGAGCACAGATGGAGTCACTGAGGGACAGATGTGAGGGAGAAGACTGGGACAGGAACCTTAGAAACCCCTGATATTTTGGGGAGTGGGAGAGAGGTGGAAGCCTGTGCATAAAGTGAGAAGAAGAAAAGCCCCAAGAGAGAAGCGTTGAAGGAAGAGAGGGTTTTAAGCAGGGTGATGTGGTCGGCAGTCAGGAGGATGACTGAGAAAAGGTCACTGAATCTGGTAGCTGTAGTCTGGAGCCTGCAGAGGGAGCAGCTCCAGAAAGTGAGGGCACTGGCCCCAGGTCAGGGGAGTGGAGGGCAGGGGGCCCTCACGGCCCCACTCACATGTAGACAAGAAGAGAGTGACCAAAAATGGGAAAATCACAGATGGAAAAGACCATAAATAGAACAAGGTCTGGGGAATCCAGGGTGGAAGGGGACAGTAGTATTCACAGGAGGGACACAGGGATGAGAACATTCTTCTGAAATAGGGGCAGGCTGACTAGGAGCCCTGGATAGATTTGGAGCTGCTGACTAGAGCTGAGACAAGGCAGGGTTAAAGAGGCACAGGGGGAGAGTCAGAAAAGGAGGGTGAGGGTGAGAGGAGAGGATGAGGGGGCCAGGCAGGGTGAGAGGGTGAGGGAGAGGACAAGGACGACAGTGATGAGCGTCTGTGGGATTGGATACCAACTGGACAGACCACATCACAAACTCAAGAGGGCCCCTGGCCTTACCTGCTGCTTAGAAAATGAACCTGAGGTCACGCTGGGGCCAGCCCTCCTTTTTCTAGAGCCGTGGAGACCTTGAGGTCTACAGAGGCAACCACTCAGCTAGTGGCGGCTTTTCTGGGAACACTCCCGACAGCCCCCAGCCCAGTGAGTCCTTCTGGCTTCTTGGTTTGTTTCTGAGGCTTCCTCCCCTCACCCACAACTTCCAGGGCAGTGAGGTGATGTTTCCTGTGCAATTCCTCCTGGAATTCCTGCCCAGCCTTGTGGGAGTTTCTAGCTATCCTGGAGAGTCAAGCTGTGCCATTCTTGCCCACTGTGATGACCCAGACAGGCCCTTGGATCCCCCCATGATGGGATGGCTCTGACAGCTGTGAGAATAGGCTAGAGTTGGGGAGGCTGGAGGCAGCCCTATGAGGAAGGGTTGTGTGGTCCAGAGGGATGGAGATGGAGTGAAGAGAAGACGGAGATGCGGAGGCAAATTTATAAGTAGTGGATTTAGTACGGGGTGAGAGAAAGAAAACAAGGCTGGTGTCATACCAGTGGCATTGGATGTTGTCATCTGGACGAGAGGCTTCTGAATAAGAAGTGCACTAGGTGAGCGTGTGATATCCGAGTGTGTTTTCTCCAAGCCTGGGAAATCTCAGGGAAGAGAGCAGATGTCTGCTTTCCTGAGAGGGGATGGAATGTGAACAGGGCCTCTGAACGACAGGATGGAGGCATGAGAGGGGCCACTTCTCAGGTTCAGTCTCTGCAGGGACTTCCCTGAGAGATTCGGGGCCGAGGTCTGAGCCCAGTTCTGGGGTGGCTCTAGGAGGCCCATGCTGGTGGGACCATGTTTGTCCCAGCCCCCTATCTCCCAGCTCCTGCCCTGGAAGCAATGATAGCCATCTGGATCTGAAGGACTGGCCAGACCTCTCTCACTAACCTGAAAAAAGAAATCTCTTTCCCTGACCTAGTATGATGCAGTTTTCCACAGGAGCTTTTTTTTTGTTTTCACCTCTGGGAAATAAAGCATTTGTTTTCCAAAAAACTGATTCTTGGATTAAAAGACTGGGCTTTGCAAAAAAAGTTTTAATAAAATAAAACTTATCCAGTTGATGCCAGAAGTGATTTCCTTACTCTCAGGCTGAGGCTCACTCCAGGGTGTGTGCAAAGCTGCAGTCACACCCTGAGACCAGGGTAGTATGAGGTTCAGAGATGCAATCTCTCACCATACTATTGTGTCCAATGAGAAAGCCATACCCAAGGACAGACGTGATGGCCACTTGCATGAACAGACGGCCATGCATGTCCTGTTACTAACACACAAACTCTAGCAGCACTCCTGTCCTAGAGGCAGCAGCTCAGGCAGTTCCCTCTTAGGGCAGGGGGCTGCCTCCCGTCCAGGGATCACCTGTGTTTCTGGACGGGATCCCCATGTGCTTAGGCTTCCTAGGTTTTACCAGCCCTTTGGGGAAGGCTCTCTGGGGCTCAAACCCTGGGGGTGGCCACAGCTTCAGAGCCTCTCTTCCCACATACACTGTGCCGTAACTGGCTGGTTATATACCCCAAACCACCACCTTACTCCTCCCCGCCACCCTCACCAGACAGTGAGGACAGGATGGCCTCCTTGGCTTCTTCATTCCCAGGGCCTGGCAGAGCTCAACTGTTCTAGTTTAATGAACAGACCGATGACTGAATTCTCAACCAGCTGATCAAATCCCTTTTGGTGTAGTATAAACTCACTGTTCCTGAGTGGCAAGGAGACACAGCCAACTTGCATCTCTCTAAAAACCCCTCCCACACCCAAGGGCTGGCAGAAAGATAAAGCAACGATAGTGCTGTACTCCTTTGCGCCTCTGCACCCACAGGGTCATAGGCTTGGCATTGAACCCAACATGGGGAGCAGCTGGGTTAGCAGCCATCTGCCCATTCTGTCCTGCAAGTGACCTGCTAGCTATGGTCCAGTGTGAAAAGATGTGATGAGTGGGGCCAATCAGATTGCCTGTCTTGGGAATTTGGTGTGAAAATAAGCACAGCAACTGCCAGGTTGCAGCAGATATGTGGTGTATATGTAGTGGCTTAGAAAGGCCGGAACTGGTGTGATCGTTAATATTGAGTGTCAACTTGATTGGATAGAAGGATGCAAAGTATTGATCCTGGGTGTGTCTGTGAGGGTGTTGCCAAAGGAGATTAACATTTGAATCAGTGGGCTGGGAAAGGCAGACTCACCCTTAATGTGGGTGGGCACCATCTAATCAGCTGCCAGCGTGGCTAGAATATAAAGCAGGTAGAAAAAAAAAACGTGAAAAGACTAGACTAGATGGGCCTAGCCTCCCATCCTACATCTTCCTCCCCTGCTGGATGCTTCCTGCCCTCGAACACTGGACTCCAAGTTCTTCAGTTTTGGGACTCGGACTGGCTTTCCTTGCTTCTCAGCTTGCAGACGGCCTACTGGGACCTTGTGATCATGTGAGTTAATACTTAACAAACTCCCCTTTTTATATACATATATATATGTATATATATATGTATATAAAAGGATATATATATATCTCCTATTAGTTCTGTCCCTCTAGAGAACCCTAATACAACTGGCCATATGTAAGCTTAAGTTACAAACTACAAAGAAGCAGAGAAAGATGCCAGCTGATAGCCAGAGAAACAGAGTGGAGACTTTAAGAGCCTAGGGATCAAGAACAGCTTTGTGGGAGGTGGGTTTTGTAGGTGAGGAGGAGATACCCAGATGGACACGAAGTGGAGTGTGGTACAAGTATATGATGAGAATAGAGTATGTGTGTAGGCAGTGTGACTGCTGTGCAGGAACACCAAACATGCTCTGTGCCTGCTTCAACTCTGGAAACCTCCAGCTCACCATGGTTGGTTTCCCAAACCATGGCTTCACTCCAGGTGTTTCATCTCTCAGAACTCTGCCACCTCTGGACTTCAACCCAGATCCTACTCTAGCCACAAATGACTAATCCCATTCCAACCACTTTCTCCCTTAGTCCCACATCTACTCTGCAGGGTTCCAGGTCCTCAATCTCCTGACCTAACTACCACGCCCAGCCGGAGCTCATGGCTATCCACCTGAACTACATCTCACCAACACCCTAAAACTCTCTTGCCCCACTATCCTCACACCTGTCCAGAAAAACTCCAATCCTGCATTAACCCCACAGCCAGCCTTCTCTTTTGTAGCAGACAATTAGCTGGCCCCTCAAATCCATTATCTTCGTCTTCCATAGTAATAGTTTTAGTTGGGAACCTGGATGCCAGCTAGACTCCTTTCTCAGAGGTCCTTGCATCTAGGTGCCTAAATTCTTGACAATAAAATGTGAGCAAAGGTGATGTGTACAACATCTCTGTTATTTGTCTAAAAGGAATTAACTTGCTTTTCACTTCTGCTCCTGCCCCCTCCCAGAAGCTGAGATGTGGTAGAGACTCAGCATTGGCCATGCAGCCACATTAACATGGCCTATGGGATGGCAGGACAAGATGGAAGGGAACTGGGATCTTGAATGTTTCTGAACATGAACCACACCACCAGCCTGGGCCACTCTCCTCCCTTTGGACTCTCATATAAGAGACAGAACATTCATCTTATTTAATCCACTCTGTATTACAGCAGATTCTATTGCAGCCAAATTCACGGAGAAAAATGCCATAACCAGTCAGGGCAGTACTGCTATAAATTCCTGTCTCTAACCTCAGCTGACCTCACTTGCACTGCTCTTGGTCAGCTCCCTTTCAGATTTCCCTTAGAGAAACCTTCACACTCTTATGATGCTTACAGACTCCTATCCAACACCTCTCACTCTGAACCAACAATACCGTCTCTTATGTCATTAAATGTTGAGACCACCAAGTAGGCTCTCCTAACACATCCTTCAATTCTTTCCTCTCATCCCAACTGTACAGGTGTCCTGTGCGTGCTCTGGTCAGACTCCCTAGATGAGAATCACAGCTCCACTATGACCTGTGCAATCTATCTCAACCTCCATTTCCTCAACTGTAAAATGGAAATTAGTAACAATTGTTGTCAAGATTAAATGAGATCATGCATGTACAGCAATCAGTACAAGGCTGTATAGTAGGCAATGACCACCTGCTACTATCATTGCTAACACAAATGTGACTGCATCACTACCTGATGAAAGCCTTTTACTGAATCTACAAAGCCTCCAGAACAAAGTCTTAACGTGTTAGGCTCTCACAGCATCTGCCATTTACTCTTCGAATCTTCTGCCACCCTCTGCTTTAAACACTATGCTCCAATACTACCAAACTCTCCACAAATCTATTATCAACTTCCACTTATTTGACAGACATATATTAAAATGCCCACTATTGGAGTGCTGGTAAGTACTCAACAAATTAATTTCCCTTCCTGGGGAATTCCAACTACCTCCTAAAAACATGCCAACATGAAAAAAGGCCTATTTTCAATCTCGTATCTAGGAAGTGATACAGAATTCAGTTTCCTTATTTGTAAAATAAAACAGGTAATCCTCCTTTCATCTCAAAAATGTGATGCCCTGCTAAGGTGGCTGTGGAAAAAACTAATCTTCATATCTACTTTAAGTCTTAATACATTGTTTAAATGCACTTGAAGTACTACACCCTGTGGAAAGGGAATGAAGTTCCTTTAAGAGGGACATAAGGACAAGAGCCAGAAGGTGAGGCTGGCAACAGAGGGACACTAAAGAATAAAAGGTCCAGAGTGGACACAGAGGAAAATGGAGAAGGGGAAGCCCCTCAGTGGGAGCCAGTCCAGGTTTCCATGAAGCCCGGCAGTGCCAAGCTCCTGTCTCTTCCTCTTCCTGCCTTCCCAGAAGAGGTGAGAAGGACCCTAAGGGAGTACTTACCACAAGACAAGTCTGCTCAGCTGGCCAAGAATGCTTGTCAGGTCACATAAAGCTGCCCCTATCCTTTAAGCTTAGTTATCTGTGGGCCGTTCTGAGGACTGGGACAGGGGGAAGAGCAAAGGCCAGAGGGACACTGCTTAGAGATCCCAACACAAAACTTGAACACAGATTTATCAAGCACTGCACTTCCTGATAAAGAGATTATGGGTAAGTCAAACCTATTCTGGCTTGAACCACATTGGGCTAGAGGAACTTTTTTCAGGATATTAATTCCAGTGTTTTTCTAGAATGAGGGCCCACAACCAATTCGTCATAGAGTCTCCAGGACGGTATCCTGTTCTCTAAATTAGGCAATGTCTAAAGTGTTCTTCAGATGCCTATTAAGTAATGCTATGACCAAATAGTATCAATTAAAAAGTCAAAAAACCTAGTAGGAATGCAAGTATTGTCTAAATAAAGGCATATGAAATATAGTACAATAAATCTATGTAATAGATCATTAAATATTTTTTAAGCTCTTTTAATAAGACTTTCAATGGACACACACAGCCAGTCTCTGGCTTACGTCTAAAGGCCCTAAATAGTCAGATCATGAAGCTAGCAAAAAGGTACCTGGTGGTAGATACTGTACGCCAAATATTGAAGAAAATATAACTTTGCAAGCTCAAATCTATAAGGTGGTGGCAGAATTATGAACAGGTGGAAAACAGTGGGCCAGAGGCCAAAGTAACAGCATTCACAATGGAATACAGCAGTAGAGTTTTCTGGTCAAAGACTTAGAAGCTAAAGGTGAGGTAGTAATTCCTACCAGGCTTTCATCTCAAATAATGGCAGGACTCACCAACTTAAACACCAAGCTGACTGGACACTCCCTACAGTCACTAAGACTCTTCACAATCACTGTACTTTGACAGAACTTTTGAAGCATTAAATATATTGCTAAAGGAAGCCAAATACCAGCACATTTCTGCAAAGCGGCAGACACTGCTAGCCGTTCCTCAAGAGCCATCGCCTTCCTTACCAATAGAAGCCCAATTTTGTATACAACAAGAACGTGATCAACTCAAAACTCAATTTCCTCCAATATGCATTAACTGATGAATGGTTTATATCCATACAATGGAATATCTGTCAGTAATAAAAAAGAATGAAGTACTGATACATGATACATGAAGGAATTTTGAAAATCCTATGTTAAATGTAAGAAGCCAAACACAAAAGACCACATGTTGTGTGATTCCGTTTATATGAATGGTCCAGAACAGGCAAATCTATACAGACAAAAAGTAGATTCGTGGTTGCCTAGAGCTGAGGGTGAGGGTGGAATTGGGAGTGACTGCTAATGGGTATGGGGTTTCTTTTTAGGGTAATAAAAATGAATTAGATTGTGGCGATGATTATACAACTCTGTGACTACACTAAAAATCACTGAGAATTACACGCTTTAAATGGGTGATACTAGAATTATATCTCAATAAAGCTGTTTTCAAAAAATAACAAAATCTAATTTCCTGGCATTACCCACCTGTAGCGCATGGAGTGCTCATGTGCGTTCAGGATATTAAGTTGTTGGTGGAAGCATACTACAGGAAGTTAGTAGTTTCCTCACAAAAAGGACTCAGTAACTCATGCCTCTTGCTTTTTGCCCTTGCTCATCTTCCTATCTGGAACAAGCTCTAGGCCCTTGGGGTCCCTAAGAACCACAGCATGCTAAAGACGGCAGAGCAGCAAAACAGGAGGAGACTGGCAATGGATGACACCCTGGGATCACTGCATTAGCATTGGTTTATCTCTCTCTGGAGCTGTTATGGGAGAAAAATGACCTGCCTTTGGTTAAGTGATTATGGTTGAATTTTTCCATTACTTGCAGCTAAATGCTATCCCTAATGATACAAACCTATCTAATATCAGCCTATGCTTATTCTCAGAGCCAAGAAGGCAAAAAGCAAAAAAAGACTCAGAAAGATGTAAAAAAGTTTATTGCAAATGTAACCTTAAGGCACCATAGAGTTAATTTCTTTAAGGGTAAACAGTTATTTTATTTTCAAACTATATTTTTTTTCCCAGTTGTAATATACCCCCAGAGGAGTGCTCACTCCTCTAAAGACAAATCATTAAAACATGCTTTATTGTTGAAATACTGAGAAACCAAGTATGAACAAATGATGTATTTGTTCAAAGAGAATAATGTTGAACATCATCAATCCCTATTTCTTTTTTTTTTTAATAAGTTTTTATCAGTATAACAAGAACATCTGGTCTTTGAAAAGTTAGGAGACATCTCCCATTAAAACCTATAGACCTGGTTAGCCTTAATTTCTTAAAGAACAGCGCTGTCAGGGAGAAAGCAGAGGCTCACCCATATGGTTCACTTACATATAAAATGTATGTTGTCAATATACTTATGCAGGATGTTTGTGTGTCTCAGAGAATTAAGTCCAATATTATCTTGAAATATTAAAGGTAAAAATGAAGGTAGAAAAAAATTAATTTAACAAGCAAGTATTTACATTTTTATTTTCTAGACCCATAAATTAAATCATCTCTTTTCTACTTTATGAGATGGGGGTGAGGCGCATGGAAGAATAACACCTGGAAAACAATCTTCCACTAAAATCAATGAATTACTTGACTTGGAATAATTATTGTCAAACTCCAAAAAAAGTTGACCTGTGGGAGTATGAAACAGAATTTACATCAGGCTTATTATTCCGGTGGCCAAAGAAATAGCAGGTAGAATAAAGTAAAAAGGTGGTAGCTGGGGGCAGTGGGAGTGGACTTAAGCCAGTTTGGGGATAGGATATGAATGGTCTTTCCTACCAACCTGTCTCTTTTTATTTCAAACTTTATCAGTTTATGTTGCATCAAACTTGAACTCTTCAAATATGAGATAATGCTTTTAAGGAATTAGAAGACTTCCTTCCTGTTTAAGCCTCTCTAATTGCTCTCCTGTGCAAAATTTAGATATTTTCACTCATTCATTCATTAAATATTCACCCCTACCATGTATTGAGCACACCACTAAAGCAATGGAGATTCAGATCTGAGTAAAACACAAGTTCCTATCCTCAAGGAACTCACAGCCAAGTGGTGAAAAATAAACCTCCATCTTACCTTTGTTAAAGTTCAAATCCAGGGAAAAAGGCTGAAAAGCAACCACGAAGCCTGGAGGAGAGCAGTAAGGTGTGAGAGGCACCTTCTTGGTCCCAAGGCGGCAGTGTGGGGAGTGCGGGGAGCACGTCATTCTCGGAGAAGGGGAAGGAGCATGCCGAGCGGCGGGAAGCGTGCAGGCCCGAAGTGGGGAGCAGGAGAAACGGCAGAGCTGAGTGGATACTCTGCCTAGGTCTGAAGTCTACTCTGAAGGCTCCAAGCAGGGACAGCGGCTCAGTTTTATAAAGTGTTACCTGGGCAGTTGCTGGCTAGAGGGGTTCAAGGCCGAGGCCAGGGAAGCAGCTATGGGCAATCTGGGCAAGGAAACATGACAGCTGCAAGCACAATGAGGGTGCCAGTCTGAAGTCCCAGGAAAGCCCCTCAACAGAGGCAGGCTGTTGGGTAATGGGACGGTGGCAGTTTTGTGTACCGCCTCCCTTACCTTACCTCCCTCACATTTCTCCCCCAGTAAACACACAACCCTTATACAACAAAAGGGCTCGGGGCCAGAGTGAAAGGCTTTCATGGTTGTGGACCAAATGGCAAGGAAGAGCAGTGGCCCATACCCCAGAGGGATTTTTCTCCCTCTACCGGATCATTCCCATGAGCCCATGAAACATTTTCTGGCACTGTACCTTCATCTGGAAAACACTCTCATCCCTGTCCCTCTTCTCCCGAAAAACCCCCTTTGATCTCCTCTAGTTATTGCTTCATTTCCCTTCACAGCAGGGCTGACAGTGGTAGGCCTTTACGTCCCCACCTGTGTCCACACTTCGACTTGCTCCAGTCCCCATGCTCCTGCCAGTTAACTCCATATTGCCAAATCTGATGGAGGCGTCTCCATTTTGAAACACGACCTTTCTTGGGCTCCTGCAACACCTCATTTTCACTTTTTTGTTGTTGCTTTTATCAATTACAGTGGCTTTTCCTGTCTTTGTTATCTCTTCTTTCTTCACTAGCTGGAACTGAAGGTTAGAATGCTCAAGACTCAGTCCTAGGACCTCCTCTCCATCTATACACTCTCTCCCTATCAACTCCATCCAGTACCATGGCTTTAAAAATAGTCTATATGCTATACTCCTACATTTGTATGTTCAATGAGACCTTCCCTGAGCTGCAGACTCTCATCTATCAAAAATCTCCATACAGATGATCAACTGGCATCTCAAACACAGTCTACACCAAATTATGGATTTCTCTGGCCAATGCAAAATTCAGTTTCTCCTAGATTTTTCCCCATCTCAGTATATAGCTTGGCCATAAAACCAGATGCTCAAGCCCCAAATCAATTAGTCATTCCTCACCTCCCCGCTTCCTTCTTCACCCCACCGTCAACATCCAATGGATCCAGGTCCTGGTGTATCTTCAAAACATATCTCCAATCTGCCCCTTCTCTCTGTATCTCCTCACTACTCAAAGTGGTCCAAACCACTATCTTTTCTTTTCTGAACTATGCAACGGCTTCTTAAAGGGTCTCATTACTTCTTCCTTTGAATTCTCACAATCCAGTCTTCACAGAGGAGATGGCACAACCTTTTCAAAATGACAAATCAGATCATATCGCTACTTACTTGAAAAATCCTCAAATGAATTCCCATTGTATTCAGCAAAAAATATAAATGTATGCCACAGCTTACAAAGACCTGCTTCTTTGTACCACTCCCTTCCCTAACTACATTCTAGCCACGCTAGCTACCTTTCTCTTTTTCCAACAGCAGCAGCAGCTAGAGAATGAAGGGGAACGGCTGAGATTGGAGGCCAGCTTGCTTCTGCTTTAAGGCTTCTGCAATTATGTGCCTTCTGCCTCTGTGTTCTCATGGCTGGCTGCTTCTTGCCATTCAGATCACAATTCAAATGCCACCTGCTTAGAGAAGCTTGGCTAATTATGACATCTAAAGTTACACTCTCTAATATCACTCTATTATTTCTATCATAGCACTTACCAAAATCTTATTTATGTTCATTACCTGTTTTTCTTAACTAGAATGCAAAATCTAGAAAGGGAAGAACCTCATCTATCTTGTTCCCTGCATTATCCCGAGAGCCAGGATACAGTGGGCACTCAATAAATATATACTGAATGAGCAACCCAATCCTCCCTCTATCAATAAAAAAAAAAAAAATTTCTAGAACAGGAGGATTACAAGAAAAAACAGAATAGAATGCATCTCTAGGTCACCAGAGCCAGCTTATAATACCACAACACTGCTTTGTCAATTTGCTTCTTTTCCATAAAAATTATATTTTCTGCAAAATCAGTAAAATGTAAAACTTCAGTAACATTCACAATCTACAATAAAACTACTGGAAGAACATGAGTCAGGGAGATCTTATAACTGCTCTTTCCTTCCCATGTCAAAGACTCCAAGTAGCTCACCAAGAAAAATCTACTACAATAAAAATACATACATAAAATAAAAGTGCTCACAAACACAAAAAGATAAGGTTACAGGCACCACACCATCCACCAAACTGAGGACATTTCTTACAATCTGCTAATTGGGAGTAGAAGTCAGGTGTCAGTACTTATTTTTTTTTTAAAATAGATCATGTACATGTTAATAAACTGTGATTTCTAAACAATGCACTCACTTGAACATGAAATAAGAATGCCCTGAATACTGGAAGGGACGCTTGAGTTGAACCACTCCATGTGGAAAATACACAGTAAGTGCTGTAAATGTTGACTGAATGCCTTCTAAGAATGCAGGTTATGAATGAAAATATAATTTACAAATGGTTCAAAGGGACCTTTTAAAAAACAGTACTCCAGGGACTGGCTTCATATGAGTATTTCATAAAACCAAAGAACTGTTAATAAATGTACACAGAAAATCATGCCCTTGGCTTACTTGTGGAAAACCAGGTACTATGTGAGCTATTTTTCCCGATGTGCTGCTGATTCATAAGGCTTTTTTAAAAACAGCAAAAGCCTCCAACTGCTACACATTCTCCCTTATATACCTCTGAAGATGGGAGTAGTGGCAGGTACCTGCAGGCCTAGCTATTTAGAAAGCCCATTCAACTCTGCTTTAGGCCAACTAAAACTGAGCATAAATACATACATATCCCTTACTTGCTGGTTCTGGAGAAATGTTTCAGTGTTTTAATACTTCCTTATAACATTAATTCCAACTTTTTACTAGAACCTGGAGTCTGAGCCAGCTTAACTGTGTTAGGGCTTTGGAACTTGACTGGAACATCATGAAATAAAACACAAATGTCTGGCTGTTGAATGTTCAAAGACTTACCAGACACAATAACCAATCATTCATTATGAAAAATAATTTCAATACTGTCATAATATAAAACAAATCCTTTAATTTTTCAAGTGTTTAAAAAACAATTTTATACTTAAGCCAGCCTTGAAGATAAGCACAAAATTTACCAGTTTACATTTAAAAAACAAACAAAAAACGACAACAACTCAAGCACCCGCTCTGTGCATAGCACTATTCTAGGTGCAATAAAAGGGAATCTTAACCTTAGAAATATGAGTTCACTTTCTGGAATTGTATTATCTCCTTTTCCAGAGAGTAAAAATAAATAAAATCACCATTGTTTACTACAGATCTGCCCCAAACCACATCTGGTTCACAGAAAGGCTAATTTCTGCCAAATTAAAGATGTAATGAACTCAGTTCCTGCTTTCCCAAAAACACGAAAGCAGAATTCCTTTTCACTGAAAAAAATAAACAGTTTTCCATGCAAGGGCAGTTTGCTTCTAATAAGTATTTTTAAAAAAATTTTTTTTTCCTCTAGCTTTTCTTTAAATTTTCTTCCTCTAATATTGCCTTTTCTTGTACAAGGCAGACCAGGTATCTTTTTATGCTGTTTTTCCTTTACTAAGAAAAGTATTGCATCTTGAAGACAAACCATTTCCCAGAGTAGTGATAAAAAATAACACTAAAAAAACTTTAAAGGTGAGTCACTTACATCACCTTGATGAAGTAAAAAAATAAAAAGCAGTTGGCACTAAGATAGCTAATTCCAAATATCTGTGTCTAAACAATTTTAAAAACTGTTTATTTATTTTGTAAGAATGTACCCCTAGTCCAAAGTAAGTATGTTTTAAAAAATTTTGGCCAAAAAATTTACAAAAACCCTTTCAGTTCAACCTAATAAAAGTGATATCTAGAAAATATGCCACATTATTAAGTCTGTCTTAAAAAGTTCAGATTCTAAAGCATTTCTAAGGCACGGTGTTCTGGAAGACAAATGTGCTTCTGTTGGCGTTGTGTTAGATACAAAGCATCCCTGACAGGCTTCAAGTGAGCCCCGACAGGCACCTTCTTCCTGATGGTGTGGGATTGGAGAGGAGTCAGACGTAGGCCCCCAGGGCTGCATGAAACTCTGTTAGGCACTGTACCAGCTGCTGAAACTTGGGCCTCTCCTCTGGATCTAAGGCCCAGCAACAGGCCATCACAGCAAATCTGCAGAGTGACAAAAATGAAAATTTGGGCTAGTAAGGATACAGTATTCATAACTTTTGCTCAGTTTGATGCCAGTTATGTTGCCTGTCTAAAGGTGGGTATGGAGAGGATGATATATTAAAAACGGATCCATTTTACTATCTGTTGGCAGCTCTAGAAAGAAGCTAAAAGAAATTATTTGGATTATGTGTGAATTTCAATTCTTCATGACAACATATCAAAATATTTCAGCAAATACAGAGATTTCATGTAAAAACCTAAAACACAGTAAAAAAAGAATGTGTGTTTTCCTGTAGTTAAATTAAGAAAAGAACTTGGAGGAAGAGAAAGTTTTATCTAAGTTCTATGAACCCTGGATCTAGAGTAAAATCAGTACAAAAGCTGCCACCTTGTCATGGTGCAGAAACCTTCAGGAGGTTCTGGAACTGAGAATATACTCATCTGTACGATCAATCACCCTGCATAGCCTCCTGTTTATCCCATTCTCATTACATGGCAAGATAAGCTATGTGATAGAAGCAGGAAACAGAAAGCAACTATTTGGCTTACTAGTCCAGATCATCTTCCCTGTATTAGCTGATACTAACTGGCAAGGCAAAATGACAACGAGAGAGGTTTTTTATAACTACTATGTCCTTTATAACTACTTTATAACTATAAAAGTCAGATACTCACTTTATATAGAATAACTGACGTAGCATTCAATTTTCTTAGTACGTCCTCTCAGACTAATTTATAGTGCTTAGATTATGCACTATAAAATAAAATGCAAGACGTTCTAATATCAAATGCATGAAAGAGTGAACGAATCTCCCTGACTTTGTGGTTTTTTATAAGAGTCTAATTTAAATCCAAAGAGTCATTATTCTCAAAAGGGAAGGCTCTGTGTGAATATGGAAACCTGCTCTTTTTCCTTTATTCCAATATAGTAAATGGAATAAAACTCATGCCTTCAAGCTCAAAAAAACTCACAATTCATCAGGACAGTTGATTGGCTGGGCTATTCGGTAACCATCTTTCAGGTATGCGGCCATCTCGAAGGGGTCAATGTCCACGTAGGGAGTCTGGCCCAGAGTCATGAGTTCCCACAGCGTCACTCCAAAGGCCCACTAGTAAAGGAGCAGAAGCACAATGAGGGGACATTTAAAACAACAGTCAGGGGGCTAGCGCCCACAGCCAGCTACAGGACAAAAAATAACAGCTCAACTCATGCTTTGGAAAAGCGAAATGTTATTTACAAAAAAATGTCTATCATACACAGTTAGTTTCCCTTGCTAAGATAAAAAAGAGTGCATCCAATATTAGTATTATAAATTCTAAGTAATTAGATCCATTGGAAGTAATAGTTTACTGTTGATTACAAGCTACGTATTATGAATTATGTCCAAGATTCTTCTAATATGAGAATTTGTAACTTTAAATATTATAGCTAGTCTGCATAATTGAGAAGTGGAAAATGAACAGAATTTTAGTTTAATTAAAGGGAAGAGCATCCTAAGTGAAATACGCAAATGAGGGGAAATATAAGAAGTCATGGATTTTTACTGTATTTAAAGTTTTAAATTAAAGGATTAAAAAAACTTCCAACCTTGCTTGAGTAAGCAATCAGGTTTATTTAAAATCAGCAGGTAAACTACAGAAAGGAACAGGAATAGTAAACAGTGGCAACAGTGTCCATTCATGGTCCGTTCGGGGCTCTCCATTTTGGCCAATTCCTGGCTGTACTTGGCTCCTGGAGAGCGTGCAGGGGGCGGGGGGCAGGCAACGTCTCTACACAGAGCTGCTGCCACATGGCTGGGAAGGACTCAGATCCGGTACATCCACTGATCTGCCGCCAAGTGTGAACCCTGAGGTCAGAACAACTGAACTTGGATGAGGAGGGGGATACCTGTGTACTGTAGTATCAGGTTTATGAGTACCTACAAATTCAAATCATTTTGCATCCTTCAATACATTTAATTTCCTCAATAAACCTGTGAGAATCATTGGTAGCTCAATTTTACAGGTGAGAAAACTGAGGCTCAGAGAAATAGCTTGCCCCAAAATACATATTTTAATGAGTAAAAGAGAAAAAAGTGAAAAAAAGAAAAGGAAAAAAGAGAAATACCAAACGCAAGTCAAATACAAGTCTGTTTGTAAAATCTAAACATGTTGCATTAAATTTTAGGTTATTATTTTTCAATAACAACAAAATCCCAAAATACTTTGTAAAATACACAGATTTTTTTAAAAGCCTTATAATAGTGAACAATAGCTACATTTCCCCCCAGAATCTATGCAAACAAGAAAACAATGAAATGACATATTTTAAAATATTTTAGGGCCAGGCACGGTGGCTCACACCTGTAATCCCAGCACTTTGGGAGGATTATCTGAGGTCAGGAGTTCAAGATCAGCCATGACCAACATAGAGAAACCCCATCTCTACTAAAAATACAAAATTATCTGGGCATGGTGGCGCATGCCTGTAATCCCAGCTACTCGGGAGGCTGAAGCAGGAGAATCGCTTAAACCCGGGAGGCGGAGGTTGCGGTGAGCCGAGATCGCGCCACTGCACTCCAGCCTGGGCAACAAAGCGAGACTCTGTCTCAAAGAAAGAAAAAAAAATTAAAAACTGTCATGGAAAGTTCTATATAGAGCCAAAATATACTTCAACAATGAAGATAAATACAGAGTTTTTCAGACAAATAAAAGCAGAGAGACTATGTTTCCAGCAGACCTGTAAGATGTATGAAAGCAGTTCTTCATGTGGAAAGAAAATATACCACATGGAAATCTGAGTCAACACAAAGAATACAGAGTGCTGAAAATATATTAGTAACAACTGAACATATTCTCTTATGTTAAAATTTCCTTGACAGACTATTTAAAGCAAAAACAGCTAACAATATATCGTGGGGTTTATAATATACAGAGAAGTAAAAGGTATGCCCACAACCAGTTTGAAGACTGGAAGGGGATGAATGGAAACACTATATTAAACATGAAATGATATAATATTTTTGGAAAATAGAAGGTTTACACTATAAAGCCTAGAGTAGGTTTTTTAACCTCAGCACTACTGATATTGTGGGCTGGAGGATTCTTTGCTGTGAGAAGCTGTCCTGTGCATTGTAGGATGTTTAGCATTCTCCCTGGGCTCTACCCACTAGATGATAGTAGCACATCCTCCAAGCTGTGACAACCCAAAATGCCTCCGGACATAGCCAAATGTCCCTTGGCACAGACAAATGTCCTTAGCCAGAGCAAAACTGTCCCAGTTAAGAACCACTGTGTTAGACTGAACAACAACAAAAAATTTAAAATATCAGAAATAAAGGAGGGAACACCATCCTTTAAGACATCAAAAAATATTATGAACAATCCAATTTTATGCCAATAAATTCAGCAACTTAAATGAAATAAACAAATTTCTTAAAATACAAATTACCAAAACAGACACAGGAGTAAACAGAACATCTATATAGCCCTACATCTATTAAAGATACTGAATTCACAATTCAAAACCTTTCCACAAAGAAAACTCAACACTGTTTGGTGAATTCTATCAAACTTGAAAGAAAATATAAATCTGTATTAGTTTTCTAGGGCTACCATAATAACATACCACAAACGAGTAGTTTAAACAACAGAAATTTATTGTCCCACTGCTCTGATAGCTAGAAGTCCAAATCAATGTGTCAGCGTGGCTGTGCTTCCCCGGAAACCTGTAGGGGGAATCTTTCCTTGCCTATTCCCAGCTTCCTGTGGTTGCCGGAAGCCCCTGGTGTGTCTTGGTTTGCAGCTGCAGCCCTGCAGTCCCTGCCTCTATCTTCACGTGACATTTTCTCCTCATGTGTGTGTCTCTTTTCTTAGGGTGGATTAGAGCTCATACTCATTGAGTATGACCTCATCTTAACGTTACATCTGCAATGACCCTATTTCCAAATAAGGTCACATTCTGAGGTACTGGGGGTTAGGGCTTCAACCATTTTTTTTTTTTTTTTGGTGGAGACGCAGGACACAATTCAACCCATTACACACCCAACCCTACGTAAACTTTCAGAACACAGAGGAAGGAATATATCTCATTCACTTTGACAGCAGCATTACCCTAAATACCAAAAACAGGTGGTCAGCCTTTTGGAACCTATTATCTTTTTCATTAACAGTGATCATTAACATGGAGCAAAGTCCAGCCTTGAAGTCTATGCTCTGGGAGGAGGGGGCAGGCGACAGATGGAGAAGCGTGTATAGTTTCAAAATCTCCACAGAGTCTTGGAGGCTACTGAAATTTCCCTTACACCTACTGGGACATTCTATTCTGCTTAAAAATGGAAAAATGATTTCAAATTAATAAAAGTTAAAGGATGGTGCCTGCTCACAACTAGTTATTTGCCTATCTTTAAAACCTTACTGTATATGAAACTTTTTTCTGAGAAGCAACAAGATCTACATGAAATCTTAATACTGACAGTCATTAGTAAATGCAATGCTTTATTTTTAAAATCGTGTCCAATTTCCATAGAGAAGGTAGTTCCCTGCACAGATGGAACAGAGCCCAAAGAAATGAAACTGGTCGGAAGGGTGCTCCCATCCCTTCCTCCAGAGATGAAATGATCCATTCAAACTAGATTTTGGAAGAAGAAACCATGGGAATTGGTGACAAGTGCATCCTGACTCTTTGTACACAGGGAATAACCCCATCCACTGACATTATAACACCTTCTGACTTTAAGGGACTTTGATATTAAAGTTGGTGGTATTTGAGATCTGGAGTTGAATGTAAGTATTACAGCAGCAATGTAGATAAGCTTTTAAAAATTACTCCCTTCCCACTGTTTTGTTCACATTACTGCCCAACATTTACCTAAGGTTTTCATATTACAACTACAACACTAAAAGACGCCATAAAAAAGAACAGTCAAGCCAAAGGGAACAATGCAGTTTCATTTCCTTAAAAACTAACAAAAGTGATTAATTACATGTTGGCAAACCAACCCTTAAAAAAATAATCAAGACAAAATGGCGCAGAGATGATTTGTGGAAAACTTGCTCTCTAAGGTCTTCCGATAACTGAACCATTTAAAATTTAGACAGACTTATTCTATAATTTCCTTCTGTTTGACGTCGGTGGAAAGGGGGCAATAAGAAGGTCATGCTGTTCTTTCCAGAGTTTTACGAAAGATTGTGGCTATCTCCATTTAAAGAACATTTAGATAATTATAATGTTATTCTATTCATCTTATTCCTCTCCCCAGAACATGTTATTTTACAGCTTCTATATATAAGATGTAAAACAGTTTTTCCACTAAAACATATATGAATGTGACTTGTCAAAAAGTATGTAAGTAAAATTCCTTTTTTCTTTTAGTGCAGCATTAACTAAAGATGGAGCTACTGAATTAAGACATTTCCAGTGATTACTTCAGGAACTTACAATGCAAGGCTCACTTCAGTAAACTATAAACTGAAAGGAAAATAATTCCATTCAATTGTAAATTATCTTATCTGACCACAGTGGAAGCATCATCAGGTGGTCCATGGCTAGGCCTTTCTGTTCATATTAGAAACCTAATATCCCTTTCTCACATAAAGACATGGCTGCAGATTACCAAAGTGCAATTAAATGAACCTGGGTTAAGTGTTTTATAAGAAGGAGAAGAATTATCTGGGGTGCTTGCTAAAAAGTCCAGTTCCTCTGTCCTATCTTAATAATTCTGAAGCCTGGATCACATTATTTTATTTAATTAATTATTTATTTGCATTTTTAGCAGAAATGGGGTTTTACCATGTTGGCCAGGCTGGTCTCGAACTCCTGGTTTCAAGTGATCCACCAGCCGTGGCCTCCCAAAGTGCTGGAATTATAGGCATGAGCCACCATGACAGGCCTGGATCACATCCCTTTAAACAAAAGTCCTTGGTGGGTCTTAAGATTGGGTAAATTTAGCAAGTAGTCCTAGATTTGTTAGCTGCAGTGATCAGACAGTAAAGACAGTTTTCATTTATTTTTATTGTAGTACAGCTGACACATAAGAAATTGCACATAAAGTATTCCACTGGATAAGTTCTGATATACATAAACACTCCTGAAACCACTGCCACAACCAAGATAAGGAGCATATCTATCACTTCCAAATGATTCTGTTTTGATCCTTTCCTTCCACCCCTCCCTACCACCAGCACTACCATCCCCAAGTACCCACTAATTTGCTTTCTGTCACTAGATAGTTGGCGTTTTCTAGAATTATATAAATAGAATTATTCAAGCTGTATACTGTTTTCCTAGCTTCTTTTACTCAGAATGATTCTGAGATTCATCTGTGATGTAGCATGTACCAACAGTTCATTCCTTTTTATTTAGTAGTATAGCTCGTTATATGAATACTGCAGTTTACCCATTTACCTGTTGATAAGCATTTGAATTATGTTCAGCCTTAGCTATTAAAAATAAAGCTGCTATGAACATCTGCGTAGTGTTGGTAAGAACATGTTTTCATTTATCTAAGAGCAAAATGACTGAATATGGTACATACATATTTAACATTTTAAGAAATTGCCAAGCTGTTTCCCAAAGTTTGGAAATATCCCATTTTACATTCCTGCCAGCAGTGTAAAAGAGCTCTTGTTCTTTCATATCCTTGTCAATATTTGGTATGGTCAGACTTTTCAATTTTAGCCAAACCAACAGTATCTCATTGTGGTTTAATTTTGCATTTCCCTAATGAATGACTAATAATGTTGATAATATTTTTCAAACTTGGAGAGAATATCTTGAGTTTTCTGACCAAGGCAAAAAGGGTGTACCTCTCCTATTGTGTATGTATTATTTAATTTCTCTCAGCAATGTATTGTATAGCTCTTTCACATTTTTTGTCAGATTTATTCCTGAGAACTTCGTATTTTTGATGTTCTTATAAACTTTTTTAAAACTTTATTTTTCATTGTTAGTGTTCAAAAATACAATTTATTTTTGTACACTGATCTTGCAATCTTTCTAAACTCACTTATTAGTTTTAGTAGCTTTTTTGTATATCATACTGAATTTTCTACATAAATGATCATACTATTCTGCAAATAGTTACTTTTTTCTATCTACTCTTTTCTTCCCTTAGTGCACTGGCTATAATCTTAAGGACAGTGCTGAGTAACAGAAGTGGTAAGAGTGGGCAACCTTGTCTTGTTCCTGGTATTAAATAAAAACAATTCAGCCTTTCACCACTAAATATGTTAGCTATAGGTTTTTCTGTAGACGCCCTTTACCAGGCCTAGAGCAGATGTCCAGAGGGACATGCCTCCTCTTAGATGCCTCTTTAGGTCTGGTGTGCCCCAAGTGCCAAAAAAGGACCTCAGTGCCTCTGGGGTGGGGCTCTGGCAAACAGCCACTGAGGTACGTTCCACCTAGCTGAGAGATGATGTTCCCACCCCAGTGGACCTGAAAAGCAGAGTACGAAGCCAAAGGGAATTATTCTTGAGTCCTAAGGTTTAATATTGTTTGTTCGGTTAGGTTTTCAACTTATTTTAGATGCATTACTCCTTTCTTCTTTCCTATTTCTTCCCTTTGGAATGAGTATGTCTATCCATTACTTGTCCCACCACTGTATTTTTGAAGCACATAACTTATTTGCTTTTATAGGTTCAGAGCTAGAGAGGAATTTGCCTCAGCATAAACTGTACCTTGAGGTTCATCCATATCAGATTTAGACGACATTTAAATGACACTTTGGACTTAAGACTTTGGAGCTGATGCTAAAACAACTTAAGACTTTTAGGGCTGTTGGGATGGAATGAATGTATTTTGCATGTGAGAATGACATAAATTTTGGAAGGCCAGTGGCAGAATGTGGTGGACTGAATGTGTGTGTCCCTGCCACCATTTATATGCTGAAACCTTAACCCCCAAGTGATGGTATTAGGAGTTGGGGCCTTTGGAAGGTGGTCAGGTCATGAGAGTGCAGCCCTCATAAATGGGATTGGTACTCTTATAAAAGAGACCACCAGAGAGCTCCCTCACCCCTTATGCCACATGAGGACCCAGAAGAGAGGATGGATATTTATGAACCAGGAAAGGGGCTCTCAACAGACACCGAACCTGCTGGTACCTAATTTTGGACTTCCTAGACTCCAGAATTATGAGAATTCATTGTTTGTTATTTAAGTTATCCAGTCTATGGCAGTTTGTTACAGTGGCTCCAATACACTAAGACACCAACTCAACTTCAAACATCAGCAATCTTTAAGCAGAGTGTTATACGTGATTGAAAAGTGACTACTTCTGCTATGAATCTGCCCCACGATCTGTGATTAGGAAAGACAGAGGAGCCAACATTGGATGCTAACCAGGCCATTACACATATCTGTTATTTATGGCACTTTTTGCCACTGTATCAGATGCATAGACATTACTCCATCAGAACACTGGGGCTATCTGAGGGGAATATTAAACAGAATAAGGACAAGTCTCTTTAAAGGAATGTAAAGAGTTGTTTACAAGATTTTATCAGTAAATTATCCTGAGGGAGAGCCAACGACAGAAAACACCCAGGCCAACTACTTGATCACAGGACAGCAAGTGCTCACCTCTGAAAATACAGTAACTCTTCCTAAAGTAAATCCATTTATTCCTCATTCCAAGAAAATATTAGGATGAATAAAACAATACCATTAAATAAAACTAAACAATATCTTAATGTTAAATTTTAAATTTTTATTTCTTAAAGTCTGAAATAATCCTTGCACCTCTAGATTTTTCCTGTCTTTAATATTTATTTCTCTTAATGTGAACTTAATACTTAAATAATTGTTCCAAGATTATTGTATATAAAATCTACAACTATAAAGGAAACAAATATTAGGAATCTATGCATTACTCTAAAATTAATAATGAATAAAGTTTTCTATACTTTAAAAAATAATAAGCGCTCCATGCTCATGGACAGGAACAATCAATATCGTGAAAATGGCCATACTGCCCAAGGTAATTTACAGATTCAAAAACTACTTTAAAGTTCATATGGAACCAAAAAAAGAGCCCGCATTGCCAAGACAATCCTAAGCCAGAAGAACAAAGCTGGAGGTATCATGCTACCTGACTTCAAACTATACTACAAGGCTACAGTAACCAAAACAGCATGGTACTGGTACCAAAACAGAGATATAGACCAATGGAACAGAATAGAGCCCTCAAAAATAATACTACACATCTACAACTATCTGATCTTTGACAAACCTGACAAAAACAAGAAATGGGGAAAGGATTCCCTATTTAATAAATGGTGCTGGGAAAACTGGCTAGCCATATGTAGAAAGGTGAAACTGGATAGCCATATGTAGAAAGGTGAAACTGGATCCCTTCCTTACACCTTATACAAACATTAATTCAAGATGGATTAAAGACTTAAATGTCAGACCTAAAACCATAAAAACAATAGAAGAAAACCTAGGCAATACCATTCAGGACATAGGCATGAGCAAGGACTTCACGTCTAAAACACCAAAAGCAATGGCAACAAAAGCCAAAATTGACAAATGGGATCTAATTAAACTAAAGAGCTTCTGCACAGCGAAAGAAGCTACCGTCAGAGTGAACAGGCAACCTACAAAATGGGAGAAAATTTTTGTAATCTACTCATCTGACAAAGGGCTAATATCCAGAATCTACAAAGAACTCAAACAAATTTACAAGAAAAAAACAACCCCATCAAAGAGTGGGCAAAGGATATGAACAGATACTTCTCAAAAGAAGACATTTATGCAGCCAAAAGACACATGAAAAAATGCTCATCATCACTGGCCATCAGAGAAATGCAAATCAAAACCACAATGAGATACCATCTCACACCAGTTAGAATGGCAATCATTAAAAAGTCAGGAAACAACAGGTGATGGAGAGGATGTGGAGAAATAGAAACACTTTTACACTGTTGGTGGGACTGTAAACTAGTTCAACCATTGTTGAAGACAGTGTGGTGATTCCTCAAGGATCTAGAACTAGAAATACCATTTGACCCAGCCATCCCATTACTGGGTATCTACCCAAAGGAGTATAAATCATGCTGCTATAAAGACACATGCACACGTATGTTTATTGAGGCACTATTCACGACAGCAAAGACTTGGAACCAACCCAAATGTCCATCAATGATAGACTGGATTAAGAAAATGTGGCACATATACACCATGGAATGCTATGCAGCCATAAAAAAGGATGAGTTCATGTCCTTTGTAGGGACATGGACGAAACTAGAAACCATCATTCTCAGCAAACTATCGCAAGGACAAAAAACCAAACACCGCATGTTCACACTCATAGGTGGGAATTGAACAATGAGAACACTTGGACACAGGAAGGGGAACATCACACACCGGGGCCTTCGTAGGGTAGGGGGATGGGGGAGGGATAGCATTAGGAGATATACCTAATGTGAATGATGAGTTAATGGGTGCAGCACACCAACATGGCACATGTATACATATGTAACAAACCTGCATGTTATGCACATGTACCTTAGAACTTAAAGTATAATAAAAAATAAAATAATAATAATAAGAAGAAGCATCCTCCGTAACTCTAGCTTTCTCTTTGATACCACAGTAGTTCAGCAGACTACTTTCCATGGGTATATAATAAATGTCAGACTCTCCCGCTCAGGTCGCTCAGGATACAACAAGCACTGGGCTCCCTCCACAGCACTGGGCAAACAGGGAGTTAAAAGAGTCATACGTAGCAATGTGCTGCAGATGCAGTCTCTGGATAACTCCAGACTTCCTTTTATTTTCTAGGTGATCATTGATAGTCACAAAATAAATAATGTAAAGGCACAAGCAACACATTTTGATTTGTCCTATCCCCTAAAAACTGTTCAAATACTTTTAAAAGGATCTCTTCACTGCCATAAACCATGCTGATAATATTTGGCATGGAAGTTATTTCCTTGACTTGTTTTTCTTAAGAAAATGCTTCTTAAACACAATGTAATACTATAAAGACAAGAAAACCAATAAGAAAGAAATTCCTAACTGCATACTCCTGATTACATTTAGTAATCTCCTAATAGAAAGTAGTTCTTAAGAGCAGAATTACGTTAGCTACTATAATTAGCTAAGTAATTCAAAGAAGATGTAAATCAAGAACTCTATTTTCAAATAAAGGAAAAGAAAGTCACATAAAAAAATTTATGGTGGTATCCACATCTGATGAAAACACAATAAAAACAATATCCAGAAATTCTTAAGAATGCCTACAATGATGTCATATCTTGGAATAATATTAGACATTTATAACTAGTCAAATCTTGATGTGCATAGTTCTTAAGCTCAACAGTTAAAAGTTGACGTTAACAGAAGAATCTGGACATACTGAAATATTGAATCCTTTCAGTAAAAATTCTGAAAACACAGCCCAGAGATGCAATGTATTATTTTCATGATGGAAAACATCAATGTATTTCTAAATAAATCGTGTAGAATTTTTAATTATGAAGAAATGCAAAAATGTTAAGGATGTCTTAAAGGACCGAGAAAATGTTCCCTCCAAGGCAGCAGTATCATTTGTTGGGTGCTACATTTACATCTAAAAATATGTATTTCACATGTGTATAGACTCTGGTGGAAGTGTCCAAAAATAGAATATTAAATGTAACTTTTAAGCCCCCAACTTCACCCATAAAGAAAAAATGGTAACAGAATATAATGACTGTGTGTACACATTTCCAACCCAAATGTTAAAAAGCAATCTTCAACAAGTGTGCTTTAAAATATTTTAAGAATTAAAAAAAATTCAATCCCAAAAAACTAAAAGGCAGGACTTTTACACGAACAGTCACATCATAGTCATGGAAAACAGAAGGGTGTTCCTAGTCCTTTCAATTCCAATTATCTAAAGCAAAGGCGATACATACATACATATGTGTGTGTGGGATTGTATATACACACATACATATATATGGAAACAAATTTATAATAAGCTACAAAAGAAAAATGTGAGCACTTTCTAGGAGTTAACCACGTTAAATGCAAATCGGAGGATATTGTTAACATCACATGCTAAGTATAGCTCAGAAAATTTGGGTCACACAGCTATTTCAAGTAAGTTTATGCCAAAACACACTGAAAGTAATTATGATGTTAAAGTAATTCTCCTGTTGAGGTGCCTTTTGTGGAGGCAGCTAGCGTGAGGCTGGGGAATCACTAAGCTACATGTCATGCCCTGTGCTGCCCAGACTCATGAACAATTCAGTCAGGGTGGCTAAAAGCTACTCCACAAAACCAAAAGGCAAGATGTTTGCTTATGCCTTCTTTGTGCAGGCATACAGAGAACCTAAGCAGAAAAACCCAAAGATCCCTGTCAATTTTTGCAAAATTGTCCAAAAGTACACTGAGAAGTGGAAGACAATGTCTGGGAAAGAGAAGTCTAAATCTGATGAAATGGCAAAAGTAGATAAAATATGCTATGATTCAGAAATGAAGGATTATGGACTATCTAAGGGAGGCAAAACAAAAAAATAAAAAACAAAAAGGACCTCAATGTCCCCAAAAGGTCACTGTCCAGATTCTTCCTGTTCTGTTCAGAATTCTGCCCCAAGAATTCAGACCCTGGCATCTCTATTGGAGATGTGGCAAAAAAGCTAGGTGAGAGGTGGAGTAATTTAAGTGACACTAAAAAGCAGCTTTGCATCACAAAGGCAACAAAGCTGAAGGAGAAGTATGAGAAGGATGTTGCTAACTGCAAGTCTAAAGGAAAATCTGATGGCGCAAAAGGTCCCACTAAAGTTGTCTGGACAAAGGTGGAAGAGAAAGGCAAAGATGACGAGGAGGAAGAGGCGGAGGAGGAGAATGAATAAAAAACTCTATCTGTAATAACAAACTAAATAACTAACTAAAGTAATTCTCTTGTGAATCTGCTCACCATTAAGTTAATGGTGATATTTTAAAATAAAGCTGCCACATGAACAAGCAACTAAGTATTTGGTGTAACTGCATTCTGATGATGGCAGATTCTTACATAAAATGTGTGAACTCCTGCAAAATGTCATAACCATAAAAATAACTATTTCTGATATAATTTGAAATGTTCTGCCTAACCAAACCATGTATCCTCAACATGAACTTTGCCAGCTAATACCCAGCTGAAGAGACTCAACGCTCTTGGAGCATCTTGCTTGGAGATTTATTATTAGCTATAGCCTCATTTGTTGAAAGTATATTATCTAACTTAATTTTCACTCTGTAGGTCCTACAAAATATTTAATCATAAATGTTACAAAAAAATAATTCCTATCATCGCTTAATTATACAATGGTATACCTACACAGAAATAAATACGTTAAATTAAGTAATACAGGCTGGGTGCAGTGGCTCCCGCCTGTAATCCCAGTGCTTTGAGAGGTCAAGGCAGGAGGATCGCTTGAGCTTAGGGGTACAAGATCAGCCTGGGCAACACAGCAAGCCTCCATCTCTACAAAAAATAAAAGAATTAGCCACGTGTGGTGGCACACACTGGTAGTCCTAGCTACTCAGGAGGCTGAGGCAGGAGGACCACTTGAGCCCAGGAGTACAAGGCTACACTGAGCTATGACTGTACCACTGCACTCCCACCTGGGCAACAGAAGTAGCTAAGGAAAAAAAAAAAAAGTAATACATATTTTGGGGGCCTCCACTGTGCAAGCAAATAGCACTACTTGCCATCTTGCATACCCCTTTGAAATACAAGCTATCAATGCTCCTTTTTCTAAGAGAATAATAAAAAGATTTCCAACCTCTTCAAATTACACGAAATACTTATAGATTATCATCTAAGAATTATCTTCCATTTTCTGCCCATCGAACTAGTTTTGGTTCACCACAACAGCCATATCATTTCAGCAAAGGCAACTATATTTCAATAAATAACAAAATAAAAATTTTAAATCAACCACTGGAAATAAAAAAATTAACATCCCAAAGAGACGAGTGAATCCATCTTTTAAATCAACTACGGAATAAAATTTTCAAAGTAAACACTAAGAAAAGTTTACTTCACTTTTCTACATTTAAAAATGTTTAGATGTGAGCTTTTACTAAAGGAGTAAATTTGAGATCACACTGCTCTAATTCAACTGATATTATGTTTTAAAATTATGTTCTACAACCAAAGCCAAACCAATTCCTCCTGTCCCCTTTCCCACTCCATGAAAATAGCTTTGCTTAATGTAGAGCTGGTAAACAGTTCCAGCTACAATTCAGAATTTCTGAATAAAGATTTGGCAACTCTAAAACCAAAAACATTATCAAAGAGTAGAACTAGTCCTTACTGTCATTCAGTACAGCAGCTGTGCATTGGTCTAAAATCAAACTCTGCTTTCCCTTCGTATGTCATTTGAAAAATATAAAAATCAAAACCAAAAATGTAACCTTTCTCTCCCTAAAAAAAAGCCCAGGTTCTCATTACGTAGAGATTTAAAAAGAATATAACCTGCTTTGCATATTTGTACTGCTTTACTTGGTATGTTTAACTTCTAGACATTAATGCTAGAGAGAGATTTTTTCTTTATCATCAGAGCTCTGGAAAAACAGACCAGGACTAGTACCCCACTGCTCTATAAGCTGAACCCTGGGATTCAGTATCCAAGAGTCTGGCTTTATTTCCCTCATCCTGCCACCCATCACCCACCATGCCCGATGCCTCTCTGGCTAGGAGAGGCTGTGGACAACATGAAACAGGTTGTCATTCAGTGTTAGCTTCTGAGACTGCTCTGTGAAGCAGATCACATCCCTTCTCATAATCATTCATATTTACTTTGTTCATCTCACAAATGTCAGATAAATTGTTTCTTTGAGAATAGTTTATCTTGAGTTAAAACAAAGTATTTTGAAGATATATAAAATGAAAGACCTTGATTTTAACAAAATTAGCTAGGCATGGTGGTGCGCGCCTATAGTCCCAGCTACTCAGGAGGCTGAGGCAGGAGAATCGCATGAACCCAGGAGGCGGAGGTTGCACTGAGCTGCAATCGCGCCACTGCACTCCAGTCTGGTGATAGAGCGAGACTCTGTCTCAAAAAAAAAAAAAATTTAAAAATTATATAAGTAAATTGCTCATTCACATTAAGTGAACACATTTTATCAAAATACTTGGTATGTAAAAGGAGCAATATATCTGTATTAGTCCCTTCTCACACTGCTATGAATAAATACCCAAGACTGAGTAATTTATAAAGGAGAGAGGTTGAATTGACTTATTTCTGCAATGATGGAGAGGCCCCAGGAAACTTACAATCATGACGAAGGAAAAGAAGAAGCAGGCACCTTCCTCACAGGGTGGCAGGATGGAGTGAGTGTGAGCAGGGGAAATGCCAGACGCTGATAAAAGCATCAGATCTCGTGAGACTCACTAGAACAGCATGGGGGAACCTGCCCCCCATGATCCAATTATCTCCACCCTTGGTCTCGCCCTTGACGTGGGGATTATGGGAATTCCAATTCAAGATGAGATTTTGGGTGGGGACATAGCCAAACCATATCAATATCAAATAGCACATAGTTTCTAAAAAGGAAAAAAAATTTATTTAGTAGTTAGAGTTAATTAAAGGAATTTTCCCCTTTCTCAAATTATTCTCATTTTAAGGATTTTAAATTAGAATATCAGTTTTTCAGTAAAGAAATCTTAGATCATTTCAATTATTGACTGCAGTGAACTGAATGGTAGCCCCAAAGATATGCCCATGTCCTACTCCCTGAAACTTGTAATTACCTTACATGACAAAACGTGATTAAGGATCTTGAGAGGAAAAGTTTATTCTGGATTATGTAAGTGGGTTCTAAATCATATGTATCCTTTTAAGAGGGAGGCAAAGAGAGTTTGAAAGACGTATGTGAAGAAGAAGGTGGTATGAACTTGGAACAGAGGGATGGAACCGCAAGCCAAAGAATGCCAACAGCCACCAGAGCTGAAAGAGGCAAGGACTGCTTCTCCACTAGAGCCTCTGGAAGGAGCCCAGCCCTGACTACACCTTGATTTCAGACATTTGGCCTCAGAAGTGAACCACGAGAGACTATATTTCTATTGTTTTAAGCCACCAAGGTTGTAGTAATTTGCTACAGCAGCCACAGAAAACTCATACACCGAGGAAATGAGTATATACCAATTAATATAATTAATTAGCGTACAGTAATACATGATTAAAAGATTAATCCTTAAAACATACACACTTTGAAACAAAAGAGTAGCCCTAAATTTTAAAATATAGACACACAAAATACAATGATACAGTAAGCCCAATTCTTACAGTTGAAGCTTAGAAGCAAATTATTCTATAGGATTTTACATATAACACAAACAGATTATCACTGAGTGAACATATGTGGGACCCTATAAGCAGAAGTTTTACCTAATCCCTAAATATTCTGCAACAATAATAAAGTCTAACAGGCAAGAGACAGGAAAATAAATTACACTTAGTCTTCCAAATAAGACTAAGAAATCAAGTGACAGAAATTTTACATGGCTGTAAAATATGAACAAGTGAACGTGGCTTCTGAAACTGTACATCACAAAGGGCCCAACTATGATCTGGCTAAGTGGCAAAACCACCCAGAAACTTGACAAAAGGAAGAGGATGACGGGGGGATTTACAAATTTTATGAGCCATAACACTTAGAAGAGGTCACCTGAAAAAAAGAAAACATCTTTATGATCTAGCAACTATTTGGTCTGCCTCTTATATAAGAAAGAAATAATAATGAAATTACTGTAACTGCTCTGAGTCTCAAAATCCTCACCTTTAAAACTGGGATACCACAGCCTATCTCCTAGTGTTAATAGTGCTTCTGTCAATGGGCGTGGTGGCTCACACCTGTAATCCCAGGACTTTGGGAGGCGGAGGCAGGTGGATCAACTGAGGTCAGGAGTTCAAGACCAGCCTGGCCAACATGGTGAAACCCCGTCTCTACTAAAAATACAAAATTAGCTGGGCATGTGCCCATGGTGGCACACGCCTGTAATCCCAGCTACCTGGGAGGCTGAGGCCTGAGAATCGCTTGAACCTGGTAGGCAGAGGTTGCAGTGAGCCAGGATTGCGCCATTGCACTCCAGCCTGGGCTACAAGAGTGGAACTCTGTCTTAAAAAAAAAAAAAAAAAAAGTGCTTCTGTCAGAGCAGTACTGTGAGGATGAAATGAGATTACAAACAGTGCTGGCCTATGGTCTGGGTCACAGCTCCTCTCCATAAACTGGTTGACTGGCAGCTAATTACACTTGCTTTCTGGATAAAAATTTCCGGGAACAGCTAGCAGATTTTTTAAAAACCCAAAAGATAAAAATAGTAGAACATTTAAAAACAGAAAGCTGTTTCTCTATTCTTTTGCTATCTGGGGGTCCCGGCACTTACCACATCACTAGCGCTAGAGAACTCGTTATTAACCAGACTTTCAAGAGCCATCCAACGAACTGGCCTGTTTTCATTGTCCCCCAGACAGTGATAGTCCATGGGGAACAAGTCTCTGGAGAGGGCATTGTCTGTGATCTTAACTTGAAGTGTGTCATCAATGCTGAAAAGTAAAGATATGAACATCAAATGCAATCAGAGTATTAAAAAGTAGGGATCATCACCACCCTTAAATACAACACAAGTCCCACTGTGACTCGCAGAGAACCCCAAATCCAGGAAGCACTCTACATCAAGTGACAGCGTCAAGCTCATGGCACCTACACACAGTTCCTGGCAGCCAGGTCTTTGTGGATGACTTCCCTTCTGGCCAGGTAGCTCATTCCACAGGCAATCTGAATAGCCATGTGTACCAGGTCTTGCTGAGAAATTGCCTGTGGTAACAAAAAATAACATGGTTTGCAAATAGCACACAAATATGATGGCACTTTCTTACTTTTTTTATTCCACAATCCTACTCCATCCAAAAATACTGCTTTAAACCTACACACAGAATTTTTAAAAGCTATTTCTTGACCAAGACTATGTTCCCATATATCCCTATACTTATATCAACTGTAGTCCTTATTATTCTGTAATCTACCATTTACTCTGTCTCCTTTCATCTGTTAGATGTATCTCCCCAATATCCAGCACACACAGCAGCTGCTCAATACATCTGTTCAGTGAATGCTGAGTTCTCAAGGTAATATTTCAAATGTTTATAATTCAGTAATCTTTTTTTCCCCCAAACAGTAGTTTTTATTAGGAGATTCTCTCTTTGGGATTATTTTCAAATTAACACAAATCTAAGCCTGGTGCAGTGGCTCATGCCTATAATCCCAGCACTTGGGAAGGCTGAGGTGGGAGGATCACTTGAGCCCAGGAGTTCGAGACCAACCTGGACAACATACTGAGGCCCTGTCTCTACACAAAATGATTTTTTTTTAAATTAGCCAGGTATGGTGGCATGTTCCTGTGGTCCCAGCTACTCAGGAGGCTGAGGTGGGAGGATTGCTTAAGCATGGGAGGTTGAGGCTGCAGTGAGCTGTGATCACACCACTGCCCTCTACCCTTGGTGACTGAGATCCTGTCTAATGAAACAAAAAACAAAAAAACCCTGCAGCTGGGTGCGGTGGCTCACATTTGTAATCCCAGCACTTTGGGAGGCTGAGGCAGGCAGATCACGAGGTCAGGAGATTGAGACCATCCTGGCTACCACGGTGAAACCCCGTCTACTAAAAATACAAAAAATTAGCCGGGCGTGGTGGCAGGCGCCTGTAGTCCCAGCTACTCGGGAGGCTGAGGCAGGAGAACGGCGTGAACCTGGGAGGCAGAGCTGGCAGTGCTGAGATCACGCCACTGCACTCTAGCCTGGGCGACAGAGCGAGACTCCATCTCAAAAAAAAACACAAAAAACAAAAAACAAACAAAAAAAAACCACACACAAACCCAAAGTACGAGCTCCTAGCTTTTTCTGCTGATGTGTTCTTCTAGGTGTATGACAGTACTTGGGGCTGAGGAATAAAATCCTTCCCCAGGTAATGCAGATGAGCCACAGCCTCTAACCACTTATTGAGAATCCCAGCTTTAGTCTTGTCAATTTACAAAGCATATGATACATATTAGGCCAAATACTGAATGCAGCCTTTGAACCCACTTTCTCCTGGCAACTATAATAAGCATACTATTATAAATCCTAAAGCAACTTAATGGGACAACAAGATACAGCTGACAGCAAAAAAAACCCACTAGGCTTTACTACCACTACCATCATAATATGCTTGGTATCTGACCTTTGCTTTACAGTTATAAACACAAGCAGGGAAGAGAAACACTCTTAGATGACTGCCATCTTACAGCCACGCATATTAACAATACATCCAATTATCTCCCACAATCTAGACCTCCAGTCATCACCAGACTTTGGTATAGTATGAACCAAATGGCTCTAGAAAGTCTGTTTCCATTCCTAAGAGGAAGATCTAGGACAAGTACCCTCAGTTATCAGGAAAACACCTAAGATGGCATTACAAAGGGTTTGAGTTGATTATGAATAAGTACACAACGAGAATATAAGGAAAACTTCAGCATCAGCACAGTGTAAGCCTCAAGGCAGGAACATAAGCCAACATTTTCCTTTAAGCCAACAGGTTATAAATATCTTGTGGTTCATTTTGAGGTTCTTTTTTGCAGGCCTCTAAACAGTTTATATTTAAGAATGTTAATATCTACTTTCAAAGACATTATCAGAAACTACTGGTAAATAATTGGTATTTGGGCAAATTTTTCTCACCTGTGGATTATTGGCCTCTACTAACTTGCACTGTCGTAAAAACAATTTAAGATTCCCCCAATTCATGTAAGGCAATATCACCATGGGCTTTTCTCCTTCTTCTATACACACATGAGTAATAGGAAGAAGATTTCTATAAAATAATAAAAAATTGGGAGAAAGACAAAGGAATCCAAAATGTTAGGGGCTTACTTCTAATAAAAATAATCTAAAACAAAACAAAATCCCCAAAATACTTAAAAACATGATTACCATTAAAAATGTAAAATTATAAGTGTTCTGTATTTTAAACCAGACTTAAGTGTCCCCTATATATGTGCATATATCCCCATATATGCACATTCTTGGTAGGGAAAAATCATAAACTCAAAGTTGCTTCCTGTGGGCTGGATTCTCTGAAGGCACACTCTAACCACACTATATCTTTACTCCAAAGGGCAATTAATCAGAGACATCTAAAAACTGACTTGCCCATGAGTGTATTATGATAACAATATCCCACTTACTCCATTATCACACATGAAAAAAAAAAAAGGCCCAATCCAGACGGTGGTCAAGAATATGATCATCAAAAAAGGTCTCTAAAAGGCTGAAACTGCCACAAAAGCCAAAAAGTTCTTAGCTGGTCACACTGGATTTAGAATCAGATTTTTGAATCCTAGATTTACCAATTACTATCAGAGTGACCATCTTCTCTTGGCTTTGGTTTCCATTCTTATAACATAGGGACCCCACCAACCATAAAAGGTTGCTGTGATGTGCAAAATAAAACCAAGCATGTAGTGGACAATCCCGTTCCTATTTTAATTTCTATGGCATACATACATACATTTCATCCTACTGTCTAATAACACCTCCTCCACTGACATCTGGAAATAACTGCTAATTTTTCCCAAGGTTATGTAACTTTTTACATAATTATATCATCTTCCCCACTAAGCTAAAAATTGCTAGAAGACAAAAACTAAGGTAAACTCAATTTTTATACCCAACACTTCGTAATCTATGCTATATAAAACAAACATTTAATAACAAATAACAGTAACAAATAGCCTTAAAACATTCCTACTCCTTAACTTGGCAAATCCTGCTTCTAAGGATGTTTAATAAGGAAAGAATAACAGGATAATAAGTCACAATTGGTCACAATATGAGAATATAAGTAAAAGCTTATCTTACAAGAAAGTAAGATAAAAAATTCCCATTTGCAAGATAATTATAAAAATGGAGAAAAATAATAAAGGTCTGCATGGAAATATGCAAAGAGTTAAGAGTTGTCTTTAAGTTGTAAGACTATAGATAATTTCAGCTTTGTTTTCTGTATTTCCTAAAAATTGTCTTAATTGAGCATGTATCACTTTTTAAACCCCAGTTATAAAACCGTGGCACAATCACCAATGCACAAGTGGCAAAGCTGTGCGCTCCCCTCATATTTGCAGGAGTTACTAACATGGAAAGCACTGACCCTGAGGAGGTGGGAAAATGAGGACTTAAAGATCAGTAAACCTCTAAGAGGCAACCTCTCTATAACCGCTCAAGTGGCAGCGATTAGGAGTTCCACTTTATATGCAAGGAAATCCACGCTGGGAGAGAAAGTTTAGGTAACCTGCCAAGGACAAAGAGCAAGTACACGGAGAAAAATATCAGATCTTCATCTGATTCAATACCCTTTGCATTCCCCTGGACCACTAGACTTTCTCTCCAGAGGAGCAAGGGAGATCACATGGGAGATTACAGAGCTTCCTTTCCACCAACTCCCATGAATACTAAAATGACTACAGGTTTACACTAAGGATTAACTTGGGCATACCATTAAACACTGTTGCCCAATCTATTTAACTCACCAAAGATTACTTCTGTTTCTTTCTTTGTGACTGAAATTCATTTAGCAGAGTTAAAGACATTTTATCCATTAGGTTTGCTGGGTGAAGTCAAATCTTTTATTCCACTACCACAGGATTAAAAATCCACTGGTAGAGCTAACAAACTTCATGAAAATGTTTCAAAGTACAAATGGCTGTTTTTCATTCTGCCCATCTTGTAATGAAAAGGAGGATGAAGGGGAAGGTCTGGATCTCTAAGAAGAGTGAATGAAAGCAGGAGATGCTATAGTGAAGAAAGAAGGTACAGGAAGGGTAGGTTCTGTGGGGCTTGGCACAAGAACTGCCTCTAATTCTCAGTCTTGTTGAGGGCGTTTGCAGAGGGAGAGCTGTGAGCCATTTGGCATAAGAAGTGTTCACCATCAGGCATCTTTGGGCCAATGAAGGGGCCAAACTACAAGCAGAAATAGCGCAAGAGTACTTTGATGTGAAGCACTTCTAATGAAATTAAAATAGGTTAATATCTTTTATGTATACAGCTATTTTAACTTTTAATAAAATTATTTTCATAAATTCCAGTGGAAAAATGTGTGAAAAGAAAGGATTTCAAAATGCTTTAAAACACTTCAATACGCGTACAATCCGTAACCATGGATGTTAAAACATGAAGCAAACATGCTGTATTACATACCACAAGGTAAAATCTAAAAACAGGTGTCTTTTCTTGCTGAATAAATTCTATATTCTGTTGCTTGATAAATTCTATAATACGATCTCTGAAGATCATTTCATTTTCATTCTGCCTAACACAGTTCCAAGTGCAAAATGGGTACTGAATGAATTAGAATAAAAGAATGAACAAACAAATACATAAGTATAGCTATGAACAGTCTATACATATTAAGGATCAAAACAAAATGTGTGATAGGCCCTGGTCACCTTAAAAATGAAATGAACTGCTACAATGAATGGAAAGAATAATATACTTTCTACATGCTGACAATGTGTTTTATTCATTGTAACTAGGACTCCTGCTATCACCTCATAGAAGGAAGAACAATTAAGCATAATCAAGCTATAACCTACCTTTACAAGACTTTCCTCAAGGACTGAATGCTCAGTATCAAATAACCCCAATTTAGTATGTAATGTCATTCAATTCCCTAAGGACCTCCTGAGACTGCTAATTCATCCTGATGGGATGCTGCAAAACCTTACAATCTAAAACTGCATGAGACACAACACTGCAAATGCTTGCTCTGAGCATTTTTCAGCCAAGACATCTTTAAGGCTACAGTGAATATAAAACCGTTTCTTGGGAAAATCCTGGCTTTGTCTACATTTATCCCTGCTACTCACTTCTGTGCTGAAGTGATGCAAACCTTTCACTGGGGTAAGAACATTGGCTAGGTATCTAAGTAATAGGTTAACATTATATACTAGGATTAAACACCTTTGGCCCTTCTCCCTAGAGTCAGTGTAATAGACCATTAAGCACTTTCAACACTGCCAAAAAGGACAATATTCCAACTGTTTCTTTCCCTTCTGCTACTGAGATTATCAACTTTTAGTGTTTCCTTCACCCTTGGTTGCCGAGAAGCTAGGAGGTGTTTTATGTTCAGTCACAGTAAAAATATTTGTTCTCCTTACTGCTGGCTCATTTGTTTTCTTTTTTACCACCACAATGCCAAAAAACTCAGTTTCTTTTTCATTACCATTTTATTTATCTTACTGTGGCTGCCTTCTTTTTAGGTCCTCAAATCCTTCTGAATATGAACCAAAATATAACTAAATTTAAAAGTAAGGCTCTGGGTAGTCACCTTATTTTTCAGCAGAACTCAAGGAACTGTCTAAAGTATACAGAAACTATATTTTTTCAGAAGCCTATAAACATCTTCCAACAGAGATAACCACAGTTCTTTTTTTAAACATATGTGATCAAATTTTCAGTAGACATACAAATTATGTTGACTCTATATAGTGCTTTAAAAAAATTTGCTCTAATGTTGATACTGTCACACATTATGATGTTACATTTAAGCTGCTTCTGGCTCAAAAGGTAGAAGTTTTTGTTACAGTTCTGTGAACAGGACCAATACCAAGCTTTTAAAAAAGGTCTTCATGGCCGGGCACAGTGGCTCATGCCTGTAATCCCAGCACTTTGGGAGGCCGAGGTGGGCAGATCATGAGGTCAGGAGATCGAGACCATCGTGGCTAACACGGTGAAACCCTGTCTCTACTAAAAATAGAAAAAATTAGCCAGGCGTGCCTATAGTCCCAGCTACTCAGGAGGCTGAGGTAGGAGAATGGCGTGAACCAGGGAGGCAGAGCTTGCAGTGAGCCAAGATCACACCACTGCACTCTAGCCTGGGTGACAGAGCGAGACTCTGTCTCCAAAAAAAAAAAAAAGGTCTTCATATAGAACTATAAGTAGTTTTTAAAAATCATGCTATGGCATAATGATTGTATACCAGAAATTAGTTAAATAAAATGTGGTACATCCATTCAGTGGACTACTATGTAGCCTTTTTAAATGGCTACATGGATTTACAGTTGCCAATATCAAAAGTCAGATACATTGTTTCATTAAATTAAGAAGCATGTTAACTTTGTCAAAGACAACAGTGATATTATGATTATAAAGAAAACTATCTTCTTTTTATTGAAAATACATGCTGGACATGCACTAAAAGTACTGAGATGTCTAATTTATTATAAAATAGTTATATACACAAATATATAGATACCTGTATCTAGAGATATGTCTCTAGATACAGATGGATAAATACACAAACATACACAACACAGAAAATATGGCAAAATGTTAACTATTACTGCATCTAGAAGGAAGATTTATTCATGTTTATTATACTTGACTTTGAGGTCCTATACGTTCAAAAATCTCATAACAAATATTTTTTAACATATGTAAACCATCATCCTATTTTTTAAAGGGAAATGTGCACATAAATATGTATAAATTATTTCTGGAAAGATCAGCTAGATTAGCTATGATTATCCAGATGTGGGCTTACATACTATTCTTTGTTTTCTTTTATACTTTACTGTGTTTGTAAGTTTTGTGCAATGAGAATGCATTTCACTTTTATATTCAGAAAAAAAAATTAAGCTATTCCACAAAGCTTTCAATTCAGAAGTCATCACAATGTTCTGCACATAAAAATGTGGCATCAAGTGTTGCCATGCTCAACACTGAAATGCTGGTGGTTTCTCCTCTCACCTGTGATGAAGACCTCGCAGCTTACAACTTTCAGTGAGCATCATTGTCACCTGAATTTCAGAAGCTTGATCTATATATAAAGAAAAGAAAATGTCTTGAATAATAATACTACATATATGGCATTAACATTTTCTGCTATTAGTAAATAATTATCTTGAACTATAAGGTACATAGGTTTTCATTATAAGTTACAGGTAAATCTAAATAGATCTAGATAAAAATTCTACTGCAGTCTCATTAAATAGGTCAATTTTCCCAGAAATTTTTATATTAAAATCAATTAAGTTTCCATAAACAAAGCAGAAAATGCAATAACAGACTGGAAAAACATATGCAACACATAAGGCATATATACTGCTAACTTCCTTTTTTCCTATTTAAATAGCTCATATAAATCAATAAGAAAAAGAGGCAGAGGATATAAACACACAGTTCACTGAGAAAATAAAAAACAAATGACACACAAGATTACAAAACGACTCACAGCCTCAGTCCTAAGAAATGCAAATTAAACCAGGAGATGCCATTTCCCCTGTCAAATTGAGACACAAAAAATTCCACTACCTACTATTAAGAATTTGGGCAAGAGTGTGAGAAAACAGGTTCATCAATAGTAGCTTGGATAGATGGAGAAAGCAACATGTAACAAAATTTTGAAATGCAGATATACCTTCCATCATCAATCCCACTGCTAAGAGTCTCTGTTACAGATATAGTCACAAAAGCTCATCTATGTACAATGTAATAAGAGCACTGTTCAATGGCAAAAAAACTCAACCACCAAAGTACCCACTAACAAAGAACTAATTAAATTGACACAATGGGATACTATGTGGCTACTTTTGAAAAATGAGATATGTACTGACAGAGGACGATCTCTAAGGTATATTAAATTTCAAAAACAAGGTACAACTTGTGTTTACATATCCTAATATTTCTTACATATTAAGGAATTGTTTACATATGATGGCTACTTTTCAAGATGGGAGAATTTAGGTTTTGTACCTTTCTGTTCTGTTTATACTTCCTAACCTAACAAACATTACAGGTATAAAATGACTACAAAAGTTATGATTGGAGATTATGGCCTATTCTGTTGCTTTCTTCTTTTTACTTCTCTGTGGTTAAAAACAAACAAAAAGAACTAATAATACAGTAGTAAAAATATAGTTAACTTTCATATGATAACCAAAATTAGAATTATGCCATTTTAGTTTTAGTTTCTAAACTCATGGTTTTTGGTCCAAAGTAGCAAAACAGAACAAATGAACTTTTAGGTCAATGTTTTTGAAACAAAAACATGATAATGCAATTTACCAATATCTTTAAGTCTACATCTCCAAAGGAATTTTTAAGCCTTCAAATATTTGCACAAATCCACAAGGATTCCTCATCTTATAGGGACCACGACCTTAACAGTATAGAGGAATTTCTCCACTGCTTGAAAAGAATATTTCTATTATAAAATTGAAAATGCAGCCAGGTACAGCGGTTCACACCTGTAATACCACCACTTTGGGAGGCTGAAGCAGGGGGATCACTTAAAGTCAGGAGCTCAAGATCAGCCTGAGCAATACAACAAGACCCCATCTCTATTTCAAAAAGTGTTTTTAATTAGTTGGACCTGGTGGTGCACACTAGCAGTCCCAGCCACTGAGGGGGTTGAGGCTGGAGGATTGCTGGAGCCAAGGACATCAAGGTTGCAGTGAGCCATGATTGCACCACTGCACTCCAGCCTGGGCAACAGAGCAAGACCCTGTCTCCCAAAATAATAATAATAAACAAATAAGAAGTGGGTTTGAATTTTAAAAAATAGTTTTTAAATGTTAAAACAAACTTAACAGTATATTCTTAAAAACCCTTTCAAAGAAACCCATAACGAATTTTTACATCAGTAGTAAAAACAGCAATAATAATTTGTAAAGCTCAGGCTGGCAACATGGTGAAACCCCATCTCTACAAAAAAAAAAAAAAAAAAAAAAAATTAGCAGGGTGTGGTGTTGCACACCTGTATTCCTAGTTACTCAGGTGGCTGAGGTGGGGGATTGCTTGAGCCCAGGAGGTTGAGGCTGCAGTGAGCTATGATTGTGCCACTGCACTCCAGCCTGGGTGACAGAGTGAGACCCCATCTATAAATTAATTAATTAATTAAATAATAATTTATAAAGCTTCGGACCAATGCAATAAGAGGAAGAGAGAAATGTAAAAGACTGGCAAAGCCAAGATTCATATTCTAGACCCACCTAGGAAAATGCTGAACCAACAATAAAACCCACCCCACTGAATTCAGATACTATGATTGTCACATTTGGTCTTTAAATGTGGAACTGTCAAAGCTGAGAAATCTCAAATTTCATTTACTTCCACATCTACCCATTGGAATCTCATTCCTGCTTCACTTCGTCTTGCTTCACTTCCATTACTTGCTACTAAGTGTCCCCTTTCCAAGCAACTTCTCTTAGTTAAGACTTTTGTAGGAATGTAAAATGGGTAGACAAAAAGCCAAGGATCTGAAACATTCGGTACTTCTTTGGAAAAGGTGCTTCATATCAATGTCTGCTGGAATAAACTCTAAGTGTCTACAAACTGCTTGTGGGATTTCTTAGTAAATAGCAAAATGTGCCTTTATTACTCTTTCTATAACCTAAATAATTTCTAATGAAATTATGGCCAGGACTACTGGAGGCTAGTAGGATCTTTTCAAGACTGAAAACTAGTAATAGTTGGAGGTCCCTGCCCAGTTAAAAAGACTTTTACCATTCCCTCAACTGGTAAGGAGATCTAAGTACAACAAATGGTAATTTCAGAATGTGTCATTTTATACTTACTTTTTTCAAGTTTTTATTTTGATAAGCATGTTCTATTAAAGCAAAGGACACTTGAATGATGATCTAAGAAAACTCAATTAAAGATAAAATAACTTTATCCATTTAGTAAGAAAAACTCGTTTTCTTGGATTCCTTTCCCAGTCTCATCCTAGTCTTTTAATTACATAATGAAAGGTCTATCTTCAAGATGTACACATTTGAAAAGGGTACTATTAAATATATTCTAAAAGTTACAAGGATGCACAAAATGATTTTTAAAAACAAACACTTGCTTATTTACAAAACTATAAAAATTTAGTAGCTATAATAAAGAAAATAAGAACTTAATACCAGTAAATCCAAACTGATTCATTTATTTTATGGAATTCAATTTCACAATATTTAGTGTGTAAGATTCGGGTTGCTAATTTCAATCTCTGGAAATTTATACTGGAGTATCTATGAAGTCTCTGTATAAAATTATGAATATTTTTAAAAGCCAAACTCCAATTTTCTGCTTATGCCTAAAGGCAAAGGTCAGTGCTTTCTAAAACACTGTTTTTTTATTTTATGCTAAACTTCTAATTGTGCAACATGTAACAAAGCATACAGATTTGTGAAAGACCTTGGTCAGCTCTATGTGGCTACAACTAAAACCATAAAAACAGCATTCCAAAATAATCAATCTCAGAGACAGTCATGTGGCGCTATCTCTCTAACAAATTTGAGGCAATGCACTTCCCCTCTGTCCCCCATAAGGACTCACTGTGCTTTCTCTTATTTCCGCACAGCTCACAGAGAACATTATAATTACAGTGGTAAAGCACAGAAACAACCAGTGACTACAAGTCAAGCATATACGGAAAGAGAAGTCTTATCTTGTGAAACAGTCCAAGTATACTCATTGTGTTTTCTTATCACTATTATTTCCTTTTATCTCCCCTTCCAACCCTAAATCAACCCAATTTTGTATAAAAACCTCCTTCCTTAATTCAGAACAAGTCAATAATAGCCCAGTTCTACACAGTCTATAGAATACTTACAAACCCCGGAAGAAATATTTGAATTAAGGAGTTTCCTTAAAAAAAAAATGAGAAAAGAGTAACAAAAGGCTGTTGTTTAATAACCTTATAGTTCAAATTTTACATTTACAAAAAGTAATATGTAAACTCTCCTAGTCAGAAAACCTACTGGGACCTAACTTACACTTGGTCTTAGCCGAAAGGATGGACCTAACACATAAATATTACCCTTTAAAAGTGTTTTTGGTGCTGGGAAGGGGTGAATGAATAAAATAAATATTGAATGATATAGTAAATTAAACCACTTGTTTAGAAAATATTAAAGAGGTGTGTGTGTATGGATGTATTTGTAGCAGCCTTAAACAAACAATTTTGTTCAATTAAAAGCAATTCCAAAGATTTTTTGTTAGATTGGTATAACCCAACTTTTTACAACCAATAAACATAAACCCTTCATACTTTCCATGTATTCCTTTAAGTAAATTTAGAAACAGTTCTTATAAATTAACTTCATAAACTGTATAAAATTTTATCACTTTCTACTCATAAAACTGAATTTAATCTTCCCTTCAGTTTCTGAAGGGAAAGTGCTAAATTTGTTTTTAGATATTATTAGCATGTCTTCTCAATTTACATCAGACCTGATAGACATTAAGCACCCTATAAATTATCACATTTTTCTTTCTCTCTAGATAAGCAAATAAGACTTACCTCAGAATTATTATCATCATTTTTAAAAATTAAAACAGGATCTTGCTCTGTCACCTAGGCTGGAGTACAGTGGCATGATCAGGGGTCACTGCAGCCTTGAATTCCTGGGCTCAAGCAATCCTCCTGCCTCATCCTCCTGAGTAGCTGGGACTACAGGTATATGCTACCACACCCAGCTACTTTTTTTTTTTTTTTTTGTAGAGACGGGGGGTCTTGCTATATCGCCCAGGCCGATCTTGAACTTATGGACTCAAGCAATCCTCCTGCCTTAGCCTCCCAAAGCATTGGGATTACAATTGTGAGCCACTGCACCCAGCTCTTAATTCAGAACTATTTAAGCTTTCACAAGCATCTGTTGTAAGTAATTAAAATTCTAGTATTTTTTAAAGTCTTGCAAATCTACCAGTAATAGGAAATAAGCCATATGCCTGCATAAATAACACTGTAGTATCTTGATAGGGAATCTTTAATTAAATAACTTATACACATCAATAAATTAAAAATTAGGCGTCACATTTCAAACGCTGGCCCAAAAGAAGAATATGTGAAAACAGTTATTCTGTTCATGACAATATAAACCAGTGCTATCTTTTAGAGGACAATCTAACAATATATATATATATATATTTTTTTTTTTTTTTGAGACAGAGTCTCTGTCGCCCAGGCTGGAGTGCAGTGGCATGATCTCGGCTCACTGCATCCTCCGCCTCTCGGGTTCAAGCAATTCTCACACCTCAGCCTTCTGAGTAGCTGGGATTACAGGCGTGAGCCACCACGCCTGGCTAATTTTTGTATTTTTAGCAGAGACAGGGGTTTCACCATGCTGGCCAGGCTGGTCTCGAACTCCTGACCTCAGGTGATCTGGCCACCTCGGCCTCCCAAAGTGCCGGGATTACAGGCATGAGCCACTGCACCTGGGCTCTATTAAAATTTTAAATGTACACACCCTTAGGCCAGCAATTCCAACTATGGCTATACCTGCAAAAGTATACCAACACTAAACATAGTAACAATGAAATCAAGTGGATGCAGTTTGACTTGCAATTAACTGAGTAATATCTAAGAAATGTCTTATGTCTTAATTTAACAGACTTCTGTTTTTCTATACTTAATGAGAACAACCCAAATTTCCAAAACAATTAGGCTCATATAAGACAATTTTTGTTTTCAGCTAAATTAACACTGACTGATTTAAAAGGTCTGGCACACATTGGGAAACTGAGACAGAATTTTGCTGGCAGGAGCCACCTGAGACAGAAGAGCATCATGGAAATACTATGGAAAAAAGATCCTACCTTTAACTGTTTTGACAAATGCTTGTTTTTCTTTATTTGGATCTTTTTCATCTATTAAAATCCCATGGAAAATACGCCCAAAAGTACCTAAAAGGAAAAGTAATAATTAATGAGATCATACAACATTCATAAAATTATAGTACAAAACTTTCTGGCACAATATAACATAAAACAAAAATAACAAGGTCATATGTGATCAACATTACTGTAGCCCTAGAGTAAAAAGACCCAAATCTTTGGTTTTAACGACTGTTAAAAGTTTTTTGTGACTATTACACATCTTAACTTGCTTTCAGAAACACCATATCTAAACTAAGTATATGAAAATTTTCCTGAATTATACTAAATAAACTAATGATATAGCCAGGAGCATTGGAGCTCAGTAATGAGGTATCCACAATGGCATTTATGAGTTTCTAGGCTTAGCCTCAGAGAAATGACGAAAAGACAAAAATGAACTTTCCTCTCTACCGCAGAGCCTTAAAAAGTAGCTTCAAGGGAAGGCCAGGGAGTACAAGTTTTGGATCCAGACAGTCCTGGGTTCCATTCCTTCTACCACTCACTCCTCAGAAGGTCTCAGACAAGCCAATTAGACTCTCGGTTCACTGGTAAAATGTGTTCCTAAAAACTCTTAGAGTGAGAAGAGGCTGCGCGCGGCTCACGCCTGTAATCCCAGCACTTTGGGAGGCCGAGGCAGGCGGGTCATGAGGTCAGGAGATTGAGACCATCGTGGCTAACACGGTGAAACCCCGTCTCTACTAAAAATACAAAAAAAAATACAAAAAAATTAGCCGGGCGTGGGAGGCTGAGGCAGGAGAACAGCATGAACCCGGGAGGTGGAGCCTGCAGTGAGCCAAGATTGTGCCACTGCACTCCAGCCTGGGCAACAGAACGAGACTCCGCCAAAAAAAAAAAAAAAAAAAACAAAAAACAAAAACTCTTATAGTAATAAGAGAAGTTAGTTATGACCTTTGCGGGTGCTAGGGAAGGAACTAAGAAAATCCATCTAGATTTTATTACCAATTTTGTAATTGCCCATAGAAAACTCCCAAACAAGATGATCACTGAAAATGAATCTCATTTTACTCTTTCTCACTAGAAAATTGTTTACTTTCCTTCCTTCACAATTTAAAAGATAAGCTTGCAAATAGTTTCACTTTGCTGCAGATACCATGCATACAAATAGGCTTGCTCTAATGCCTTCCACTCTATGAGGTGGAGTTGTTGGTATCCATGTATCATCAGGTTTCACTGTGGCCTAGAGACAGAGTAACTTGTATGCTCAAGGCAGAAAAGACTTTGGATAATCTTCATTTAAGACATTTTGCTTGAAGCTGAGTAAATATCTTCAAACACTCTAGTCAATACATAGAGCTACACACCCTGACCTGTCTTCCTCACAAAGGTTTTCCCTTCTCTCTCCAGCCAAGTTCACCTTGCTTGACTGAGCTTCTTAACTCTCTTGCACTGAAGCACTGCAAAACCTCCTGTCTCCTCTTCCCAGTACCTAGTCCCATTTTTAAATATTACTCTCAAACACAGATTTACATATACTTAAAAACAATGGAAGTAAGGAACATACACAAAAATATATATGTACATATTACTTTACCACAATGTTACAGCAATTCACATTCCTACCAGCAATGTAAAAGAGCATGTGTTCCTCCATACCCGTCAACCTAGAAATTATCTTTTTACTTTTTCACAAACTAACGTAAAAAAAAAAAATCGCATGTAACTATTGTTTTCTTTGCATTTATCAGATTTCCAGTGAACCTGACCACCTTTTTAAATGTTAATCAGCCACCATATTTTCTTTTCTGAAATCAAAAGAATTTTAAAATAAACTATTATGGGCCTGAAAAGACCAATAAAGAAAAACTCTACCTGGTTCAGAATTCCTTCTTCTCAAATCATACCACTACAACAGATTGCCTATTCTATCCCATTCAGAGACCAAAAGAAACTGCAAATATAACATTAATTGATCTCTCATTTTTTTTTATTCTTTAGGAAATGCTACCTGGTCTACTTACTCTCTTCAGATTGCAAAAAGATCTGCAAACTAGTTATGCTTAGAAAACAGTCAACTATTAACAAGTGGCAATCATGCATTTTAAGACATACCAGAAAATCTGCTTCCATTAATTACCATTTGCTACTGGGGACAGTTTAAGTACCTGACTTAGCTGTGATTGACCTAAATGTGTCCCAACCAGCAAAGGAATACATAAGGAGGACTCATAAGTATCCAAAGCATTCCAAACTGAATTACAGTGGAGGTAAAAAAGTAATTCTCTATTTAACAACATGAAGAGCTCAGTGCAGTATTTTATTATTAATTTCTGTCTTCTTCTTTCAGCATCTCCCTAATCAATACCCTCCAATTCAAAAAGGAAAGCAAGGCCCAGTGAGAGGTGAAGGGAAGCATACTAACACCTGGCAAACACTATTATGTGTTCATTCATTTACTGTACCTAATTTCATCTCATCTTTATAACTAGTCTAAGAGATGACAACGCAGTCCAAATTTATAGAGGAGGGAACTGGAGACTGAAGACATTACGTGATTTCTCCAAAGCCACACGGAGAATAAAATGTGGGATTGGAACTAAGGACCAAAACCAAAGCCCAAGCCCATGTCCATTCCTTCCGCTACAACCCCCAAGTTATCCGTCAGAGAGAAAGTAACTTAGACTATCTCAGAGAGACCTGCCAGGTAGTGGCCATTTTAAATAAAAACCAAACAGAGAATACACCTTAAATATAGCCAACAATAATATACGTGCTTTAATATACTTGAAAATCAAGAACTGCACCAAAGTTGTACAAGGCCCATTCAAGTATAGGAGCAAATGAAAATAATTTTTATAAAAGAAAAACCATACACTGCTTCCTATCCTTATCTTAGACACAAAATGAGATGAAATTTTTTAAATTTTTGAAAAAAGTGTCTATAGTGGTAACATTAAATCATACTTAAAAAACCGACTTTGAGATAATAAATACCTTCTTGGAGTACATCTTTTAGAGTTATCCTCTCTCTGGATATTGCTATATCCTTCACCTTGCCTTTGGCCTCCAAAAGAGTGACACTTCTCAAGTCGTTCTTCTCTATCCGCAAGGTAGGATAACCTAAGGAGCCAACAAAGCCAAACCAAGCAATATAAATACCCTTATTATGGTATTGGAGTCAACTAGTTCAGTTAGAACCTCAGGACTCAGGTCACAGGAATGAGTGTAAGAATCATAAAAGGAAACAGGCATATATATGAACTAGGAGAGTTATTTGAAGGCCACACTAAATGTTAAAGAAATGTCTCCTCACCCACCACAATACTACTCCAAAATGTTAAAATTCTGAACTGCAACAAGAAATCCTAAAAATAGTATTACCATGACCACCACTTCAATTGCCTTTTAGCCAAATGAAACAAGCTTTGATCTGTGAAATTTCATTTAATCCTTCTTATGGACAGTTTTTCTCCCAAAAGGTTTTCTAATATAGTCTCATAACACACCAACTTTTCAAATGAAGACATGTTTGAAAAGATTTTTTTCAAACATCTCTTCATTTGAAAAGTTGTTTTGTTTGAACAAACAAAAAGTTTCAAACAGAAAGTTATTTTTGTTTGAAAAGGCTTTTTTCAAACAAAATACATAATCAATGTAATTATTCTGGTATTACCACATCCTAGTAAAACCATTGTGAGATTCAAATTTAATAAGTTCCCTTAATTCCCATTCATTCTTAATTCAATGACAGTAAAAACAGAATTTACAGCCACAAATTAGTTTTCACTTCAAGAAAAAAAATGTTAGAATAAAAGGAAAATCTGGCTTTAGCAAGTAGAAGTTGGAATGGCATCTCCAGATAATGGGAAGAAACCTCCCCCCAAAATTAGTGGACCTATGCAATGATCATCAATGGTTGCCAGGAGAACCACATGAAAAGTTTTGGGCAACTTTACAATGCATGTAGACTGACACCACCTGAAACCACTGATTGGCAGCAGTTTGACTGTGATAGACTGTCTAGGTGTGTGAGTATATGTGAATGTTTAATTCTACCTGGAGTTCTCTTAGTTTCCTGGATCTGTGATCTGTTGCGTTGTTATCTTAGAAAATTCTTGGCTACTATGTCTTCAAATATTTTTTTCTTCCTCTTTTTCTATCTGTAAACAAATGTATTTCTATTGACTTTTTTAAAAAGTGTTTGTTTTCAGTATATATATATGTAGTAAGTAAATTATCTAGCTCCTTACGGTAATGGCCATGATTACAAACAAGTAAATTTCTTATTGATGGCAACAATTTTTAAAAGATAAATAAATTTATTTCCCTTGACTTTTTTTTTTTTTTGAGACGGAGTCTCACTCTGTTGCCTAGGCTGGAGTGCAGTGGCGTGATCTCAGCTCACTGCAAGCTCCACCTCCTGGGTTCACGCCATTCTCCTGCCTCAGCCTCCCAAGTAGCTGGGACTACAGGCGCGAGCCACCACACCCAGCTAATTTTTTGTATTTTTAGTAGAGATGGGGTTTCACCGTGTTAGCCAGGATGGTCTTGATCTCCTGACCTCATGATCCGCCCGCCTTGGCCTCCCAAAGTGGTGGGATTACTGGCAAGAGCCACCACACCCGGCCCCTTTGACTTTTTTAAGAAAGTATTTTAGCATGTATAACAACAATTCCCTACCTCTTTGAGGTCACGTATAACAATTAAGAATCCATTCTAATGAGCAAAGATTGATATTTAAACATTAAAAGCAATGATGTGCCTCTTCTGAGTAGCTTAAACTACTTTCACATCTATCGTATTTCCTAAAAAGCATATATTTCTTTCTTCATTAGTGGGAAGAGTAGCTGCTATTATTATTTCCCTTAAATTTTGTTTACTGTATAATGCCTTCTTTCCTCCTTTTTTCTTGCCACTGTCTTATTGAAGAAACTGGGTCGGCTACCCTGGAAAATGTTTGGCCTCTACTTCTTCAAGTAGTATTTCCTGTAAACTGTAAGTCAGGTCTATAACCTTGATCAGATCCAGGTTAACTTGTAGGGGGTGCAGCAGGGACAGAAAAGAATGCTCCATGAATGGTACATCATATCCTTGGGTACGAAATACCTAGGTCCCCTACTTTTAGTAATGCTGAGTTCATCAGTGTATTCAGGTGGTGACAGCCTGATCCCTCAATGGCAGAGTTCCCCATTTTCCTTTCAATCACTGATGATCTTTTTCTGAATCAACTATTTTATCAGGAGTTGCACATGTGATTTTCTAATTATATAATTTCTTCCACATTTATTAGCTGAGAATCATCTGTAAAGAAAAATTTTCTCTCATCCACCAGCACCATCTGGTTAACCTGAAATACAGTTCATGTAGTCAGTTGGTAGAGTAAGGTATTCACTGGAGCCTTAGTCACCTCTCATAATGAACAATTTTGTTAAATAATGTATTATTACAAATTTGTGGATTTTTACACATTTTACGTTTTAATTCATTATAGTCATTATTCATTTTGATGATCAAATGGTCCTATCTTTAGCCAGTGGAAGCTCTTCAAGTCTTAGCTATTTCCTTGATATCTGACTCAGCAACATGTCCCAGGCTTATCTTGTTCACTTCCTAACTCAGACCTGGAATCAGCCATTTCTCCAAAAAATCCTGGTTCTTTTTCATGGGAGACAGTACTGGAAAACCACAATAGGGCACTGGGTAGAGGACAGATATCTTAATCTTATTTTACTAAAGAATAAATGCCAGTCCAAAAAAGGAAATCAGATCCGACATTCTCAACTTTCCAGTGGTAGCTAACTTCCTATTATGATTAAAAAACAATGTAAAGTCTTCACCATGGCCCATAAGACCATCAAACAATTCCTTACAGTCTAAAGTCTCTGTCTTTATGCAGCTCAATAGTTAATTCCATATAGTTACCTGAAAAATCTTCCTTTTGAATTTCTATAGAAGTGACTTAGTAGCCCTTTTAGTATAATAAATCTATGGAAATCTCCCGAAAGCCACACCAATTCTAGCAAACTTAAATTTCATTTTTGATACCTCAATTTTAGAATGTTTCATTCAATGCTCTAGAAAGCAAAAGTTGAAGAGCATACCTAATTTTGCATACTTTAGATACGATTTACACAACATGTCCCACAAGTACACTAACCATGCAAGACCACTGGGAAGCAGCATAGACAACTTGAGTAAACTGGCTTTAGAATTAAATTAACTCTTACTGGTGATAGGAGTTGCATTGTTGGGCGTGTCTGCTCTCAGATACTGAGTCGTCTGGGTGGATGGCTGAGACAGCCCTTGGGAACTACTGCTGGCACTAATGCTGCAAACAATTTTTGAGAGAAATATTTGACAAGTCAGTTTCAATGAGAAATTTCCTTTTTCCATACATACAAAATGCACATAGCCATTAAAACCAGCCTAAAATCCTTACGGAGATCACAATAATTCATGATGTTCCAATACTGATATTTTAATCTAACTCCTATAGAGCTCTATTTTTTCTTTCATTTCTATCTCCAAAATCATTAAGCGAGTTCATCTTATCAAAATTATTCAGAAATGTAGGTACTAGTGCTCAGACACCTCAGCTAATTGTCCTAAACTTCACACACAAATATGTTAGGGAACTACGGATCATCTCTCAAAAAAAGAGCCCATGTCATTCAATTAGATTGCTTTTTAGAAAAGAAGAAGAAAGACAGGCCTCTTTCAATGATGGCCCAATATCAAATGGCCTACAGATAAAGAAAGAGCAAACCAAATCAAATGTGCCAACATGCTCGGAGCTTAGAAAGGAGTATTGGCCAGGTGCGGTGGCTCACGCCTGTAATCCCAACACTTTGGGAGGCCAAGGCGGACAGATGACTGGAGGTCAGGAGTTCGACACCAGTATGGCCTACATGGTGAAACCCTGTCTCTACTAAAAGTACAAAATTAGCCGGGCATGGTGACGCGTGCCTGTAGTCCCAGTTACTCGGGAGGCTGATGCAGGAGAATCGCTTGAATCTGGGAGGTGGAGTTTGCAGTGAGTCAAGATTACGCCACTGCACTCCAGCCTGGGCGATAAAGTGACAGTCCATCTCAAAAAAAAAAAAAGTATCAAATTTGGTTCAAGTTTATTTAAACACAATACATTTTGCTTCTTCTACTTCCCCAATCCCTCCCTTTCATCCAACTTCTGGGAAATCTCTAGTACTTGAAACACTACACCATATTCTCTAAATAATACAGGACACCAAGAAGATGATAGGTTCAAATAATTGTAAACCTTGTGTTCAAGATTACTGCAAAGTAATGCTGCTCAAGCATGTAGTTTTGTCTTTTCAGTGGGGAGAAACCTTGTCTCGTGGGTACATTTCGGTCTCACTGCCTTAGTTCTTATAATTTTGCAGCAGTGGAGACGTGAAACATAGAAATTCAGCATGAAGGGTGAAACCAGATAGCAGGATAGGTCTTTCAATGCCTCTCTTAGCTACAGGATCAGCAGTGCCCAATCAAGTCTCCAACTTTCCTTAATATGCAAAATCTTTTAACTGACCACTTCCCACATAATAATTCTGTATTTTCAAAAACTGGTGATTTAAAAAAATACATAATAAAGCTGAGTGCGGTGTGAAGCCTGTAGCTGCAGCTATTTGGAAGGCTGTTAGGCAGATCACTTTAGTCCAGGAGTTTGACGCCAGCCTGGGCAACATAGTGAGACCCTGTCTCTGAAACAAAACACACACACACACACACACACACACACACACACACACACACACACGGCTGCTATGTAATCTATAACATTTATATATGAATGTTTATCAATTTCAAGAGCCCATACACAAATCTGAAAAATGTAAATATATAACATCCAGGCAATGAGGACTGTAAGTCTTTATGTAGCCTTTCTATGGCTAATAATACAATATACTACTATCTGCTATTGTAACCAAACATCTGTAGAAAGTCATAGCAAAAATTAAGATAGAAATGTCCTGCAATAAACATTTGGAGAGCACTTATAATATGCAAACCATTCTGCTCAGCACAACCATAGATCTCAAGATACATGTTTGCCTAATGAAATGCCCCCCCAGCATGCCTTCCCTGAAGATGTCCATCATTTTAGGTTATCTATTAGATTGGTGCAAAAGTAATTGCAAATTGCAGTTTTTGTCATTGCTTTTAATGCTATTGCTTTTAATGACAAAAACTGCAATTACTGCACCAACCTGATACTTCTTCTTGTGATGCTGCAGTTAGCCCTGTTTCTCCAGCAACTCTGCGAAGATACTTTGCAACTCAAAGAGACTATAATAAAGATTCATTAGGCTATCATCTGGTCAGAGTGCTGGAAGAGCTTCTTTGGCTCAACGTTATTACAGAATTGATCTATATGAGTTTATAATGCAGTGGGTATAGGTCAATATAGAAAAGAGATGAAGAGCATAAACCGTGAAGTCAGAACTGCCAGTATCATCGATTACTAGCTGTACGGCCTAGGACAAACTATTTAATCCTCTGGAACCTCAAATTCCCGTGGACAGAGTGTGCATAACACTATCCTCTGATAAGATTGCTAAAACGATTACATGAAAAATAAATAAGTAAAGCATTTATTGCCTAGCCCTCAAACATATCTTTATAAATTATTGTTACTAATTTATAGTATACTACTATAGTTATATTAATTATGTGAATATTATGCATCTCCAGTCGTTAGAGCAAAAAGGGATTACAGGACTCTGTTTTACAGTTGAGTACCACTCAAAAATCAAACCAGATATCAAAGCTGTTAGAAGTCCAGACTTCAATAATGGGGAGGGAAGAGGAGCATTACCATCCTCAAAAGGGGAGGAAATAAATGGGATTAAGATAATCTACCTCACAGGATTTTTGTGAGGCTCAAATTGTATGAGATATGTGAAAGTACTTCTTAAGTATTATCTGCAACCAACATCACTGATGACTAAGTGCACAGACACAGTCTCTCCATTAACTTAACAGTAGGTGGCACTCTTGTGCTACCTCAGAATTTTTGAAAAGACTGTAGGCACACAAAGGCGTTACAGGGACATCTATGTCAATTTTTCATTCCCTCAACAGATATTAAGTGGGTCCCTAAAATAAGCAAAGCACTATGCTAAGTGGTCAGAACGAAATTTTTTTTTGAATCCAAGACTTACTGTTATGATAGAAGCAAGAAGCAATTAGGGACCTACCCCTGACATCCATTAAAGTCAACACCTACATAGCTATATCACAAGAGGTGGAAAATGAGATTAAAATGTATATTTGCTAGCACTTAATAGTTTATAGCCAGTCTAAATAAATTATCAATCTAAATAGATTATCTCATTTGATTTTCAAAAGCAAGTAAAATTATGTATGGAGATACTAACCCTGTCTTAGAATGAAGTCAGAACTTTGGGAAAGATCATAATTTTCCTTCAAAACACTGACAACAATTTGTACTTTTCTATTTTTCTCTGTAACTCCACTTCATCCATTCATTCCACAAATATTTATTAAGTATCTACTACATGTCAGGTACTGTACTGGGTGCTAGAGATACAGCAATGAATGCAACAGACAAAGACTGTGACCCCTACATTCCAGTAAGGATTTTTTTTGTTTAATATCTGTCTCATCCAACCAGACTATAAACTCCACAAAGGCAGGACAAGTGCCTGTTTATTCACCTCTCCTTCCCCAGCACTTATGCCAGTACCTGGCACAATAAGCCGCAAGTGGGCCAGAGTGAGCCCCAGTGACAGCTCAACTAACACTGAGTCAATCAATGAACAGAGAAAACCACGCTTCCCTGGGACAGAAAACATAAACCAGACAGAATGGTCATTTCTGGCACAAACTATTGTGAAAAAAGCAAAGAATGATTGGTAAAACAAAATGGTTTTTTTCCTCCCTCTATTCATTGGTTATTCAACCAAATAGTTACTGAGTATTTTACTATGTGTCAGACAGTTAGGCATTAAATATAAAATCAAAGATTTTAAAGGGAAACTCTGTCACCAGTAATGGCATGGGGGCGGTGGTGGGGATAATGGAAACTGGAAGAGAAAAATTAAGATGCTGCCAGATGACAAGTTCAAGCATCCCACAAAGGAGTAATAAACTTTCCCACAGTCACAAACTAACAGGGAAAGACTACAGTAGAGACACGCTGCAGACCAACCCCTCTGCAGGACTTCAGGGTGAATGTAAAGAGAAGCTCTGCCTATCCAGGACAGACTCATCAGGCGTAACAAAGAGACTGAAAAGATCAATTTGCAGTGTTGAGAGAGGGAAAGCCACACACATGAGCTCCAACTGCCCTGGCATGGGCATATCTCAGGCAGTGTTAATTCTCTGCCTCTAATGAGATCTGTTTATAACAAGCAGTGGCTCCTAAGTGCCTGGAATGGAAGAACACTACCATCCCTTTCTAATGAATTCCACGGAGCCATGGGCTCCATCTAACCTCACCAGACTGTGTGAGGATTAACGGAGTTCATGAATGTAAAGCACAGGGAACAGTGCCTGGCACACAGCAAGTGTTTTATACAATGACAATAGTGGATTATTAACACATAGCTATTACAACACTGAGTCCCGCCTGCTCTGCCCTGCTCCTAGAAGAGCAATCCTGAAAAAGTTATTTAATCTCTTCAAGCCTATTTCTAGGTGGCTGTGTTAAGATAATACATATAAAGTACCTGGGGTACAGTACTGGTAAACAGAAAACACTCAATAAATGGTAATCCCAGTGGCCCCTATGCAGAGAGAGAAGCAGCAGATGTCTCTTAAATGCTGTTGGATAACTGGATGTGAGCTTTCTGGTCACCACTGTTAGCTTGCCTGGCAGGTAATAAATAATTGTTAATAGGACAGGAAAGGGCAGAAGAACTTTGTCCATCACTACTAGTGAGAGGTGAAGCTGGCTGGGCTTCTGGGTCGGGTGGGGACTTGGACAACTTTTCTGTCTAGCTAAAGGATTGTAAATGCACCAAACGGCACTCTGTGTCTAGCTAAAGGTTTGTAAACGCACCAATCAGTGGTCTGTGTCTAGCTAATCAGGTAGGGGACTTTGAGAACTTTTCTGTCTAGCTAAAGGTTTGTAAACGCACCAATCAGCACTCTGTAAAAACAGACCAATCAGCACTCTGTAAAACGGACCAATCACCACTCTGTAAAATGGGCCAATCAGCTCTCTGTAAAATGGACCAATCAGCAGGATGTGGGTGGGGCCAAATAAGGGAAAAAAAGCAGGCCACCCAAGCCAGCAGCGGCAACCTGCTTGGGTCCCCTTCCACGCTGTGGAAGCTTTGTTCTTTCGCTCTTCACAATAAATCTTGCTGCTGCTCACTCTTTGGGTCCGCACTACCTTTATGAGCTGTAACACTGCGAAGGTCTGCAGCTTCACTCCTAAAGCCAGTGAGACCACGAACCCACCAGGAGGAACGAACCACTCCGGATGCACCACCTTTAAGAGCTATAACACTCACTGCGAAGGTCTGCGGCTTCACTCCTGAAGTCAGTGAGACCATGAACCCACCAGAAGGGAAGAAACTCCGGACACATCTGAACATCTGAAGGAACAAACTCCAGACACACCATCTTTAAGAACTGTAACACTCACCGCGAGAGTCCGCGGCTTCATTCTTGAAGTCAGCAAGACCAAGAACCCACCAGAAGGAACCAATTCTGGACATACTAGCATATTGCAACTTTATTAAAAACTTCATAAAATGCCATTTACTATACGTAGGGCTCTGTTTTAAGAGCTTACTGTATTTCATTAAAACCTCACAACATACCTACTAGGTGTGTATTTCTGCTTTACAGAGGAGAACTGAGACACACATAGGCTATATAACTTAATCCATGTAGCCCATAAAACTAGTAAACAGAATAGCCAGGCTTCAAACAGAGATGGTCTGGCTCTAGAGTCCGTACTCTTGACCACTAGACTATGCTCTGAAAACGTGATAATATAAGCTGGTTTTACTCAGGTAATGTCTGGAAACTTTTGCCTGAAAACTAAAGAGAACTGGAACACCAATTCATGGATGGTAACTAATTATTTCAGCAGGCAGAGGTAGATGCCCCATGGAATCTGAAAGTTATTGCAAAATTCTGGCCTATGTGGGCTCACAGCCCTAGCACGCATGCAAGCATTCAAGGAAAACGCAACTCTCTGGCTATATCAAGACTGACTTCCAAATGTCATGCTCTTCAGTCACCTCTCTACCTGTATCCTCTCTCAAAGTCCTATCAAAATGTTCCCTCAATCGCTTCCAAATGCCATTTCTTCCCCTGTAAAATCTAAACCTAACTTCACCACCATCATGTACACAAAACATATTCTGAAACAAATCATATACGTACTTCCTTCTCATTCGTATCCCTTTTCTCTTCTTTCTCCACACAGAAATGGAAAATAAAACAGTGGGGACAAAGAGTACTAAGGGGCAGGTATTGAATCCAACCAGCTCCCTTCCCCTTCATATTCTTACGCCACAAATATGCTTCCCAGCTGCATGTTAAGACTAATTAGGACTGGTGACTCAACAATGAGTAAGACACACTGCTCCCTAACTGGAAAAAGCTTACATTCTAAAGGTAAGACAATTACACAAAAAATTATAGAAGAAAAAGTGCAATAACTGCTACGAGAGAGAGAGAGACAGAGACAGAGACAAAGAGAAAGGGGTGTTTGGGAGGCTTAGAAAAGACTTCATGAAAGAGACAGCAATGGAGCTGGAATTTGAAGAACGGACCAAGTTTGGACTGGTGGAAAATGCATGGAGGCTTGTGGGAAGAAGAAAGCATGAACAAAAGTCCTGAAGGGCAAAGTGTGGGGCGAAAGTGAGGAATAAGTGATCATTTGACTGGAGCGCAAGTAAGGATACAGCAATAAGAGGAGAAAAGGTTCAAAGAGTATGGATGATACGTCTCCACATAAAGGAGGGCTTTCAAAGAAGTCACAAAGCTGGGGCATGTCTTCAGGCAGCAACTGGAAATCACAGAGGAGGGAAGTAAGAAGTGTTTGTTATGAAAATAAACCTATCATTCCATCTGTACCTCTCACCCTAACTTGACTATAATGTCCTCCTTGTCATCTCTGACTCACTGAGGCTGGACAAGCACCTTTTGTATTCACACACTTTACTATACATATCACAGTCATCAAATTACATACTTTTATAATTACAGGTTAATGTAAAAGATTAAAATCTTGAAACTATAAAGTATATCATTCTTTCTTTCTGTTCCCAGCACTTAGCATAGTATCTAACCCAGTATATCTCAAACTGGCTGTACATTAGAATCATCCAGGAAGCTTTATGAAAAATACTGATCCCCAAATACTACCACAAACCAACTGCATCAAAATCTCTGGAAGGTGGACCCAAATACCAGTATGTTTTCAAAGCTTCTCCTTGACTCTAATGTGTAACCAGGTTGAGAACCAATGGTTTAAATCAGAGCAGGTGCTCAATACATGTTTACTGGATGGATGGAGGGAGGAAGAGAGAAAGGGAGAATGATGAAGGCAAGATCTAGAAGGAAGAAACAGGGCTATTTTGAAAAGGCAATGGTCTGAGGTAGAGTCATGTCAAAGGGAATAGAAAAAACTACTTGTTCTCCACTTCTTCCTCAACAACTAAAAAACTAATTTCTGACTTCTTAATTTTTAAAAAATAAAAATAAAATCAGAGAAACCAGAGACAGTGATTAGGTCATCTTATTTTTCCTTTGGCTGGGGCTTAATCATCCTCCCTCCTTTCCCTGCACCACTGTGCATCGATGTGTATGGGCTCCCACATATATACAAATAACTGCTTTCATTTTTTTTCTTTCCCAAAATATGTACAATACCTGTCATCCAGTTCAATCCTTTTCATACTATGAAGGTGCAAAACAGCTAATATTATTGCTACGAGAAATATTACTGCACAACAAACCCCTACACTAATATAAAACACACGCGTAGAAGTGGTTGGAGCTGCATGTACAGGATCATCTGAAATAAAAACAAAAAGCACATTTAGCTTTTTAAACAAATATGACTGCTTTGTGACCCAATATACATAAATAAGTATTCTGTTCTTTTCATGTGCCCATTCTTTGTAAGATCAGTTACCAGTAGCATATTGGTGGAAGTTCACATAATTTTTTTGATGTTTTTGTTGTAGTTTAAAAAAAATATTTTAGGCCAGGTGTGATGGCTCACGCCTGTAATCCCAGCACTTCGGGAGGCCAAGGCAGGTGGATCACCTTGAGGTCAGGAGTTTGAGACCACCCTGGCCAATATGGTGAAACCCCGCCTCTACTAAAAGTACGAAAATTAGCTGGGCATGGTGGCAGGCACCTGTAATCCTAGCTACTCAGGAGGCTGAGGCATGAGAATCGCTTGCACCTGGGAGGCAGAGGTTGCAGTGAGCCGAGATCGCTCCACTGTACTCCAGCGTGGGCGACAGACCATCTATGGACTATTCTTACCAAAAGAGTTGGTTCTAAATCTAATCAAGTGCAAAATCTACCTGCCAGTTTACAGAAAAAAAAAATGTTCAATGATTTCAGGAAGATGCAGAATGTGGGAAAGTCTATGGGACAAATGGTATAATTTCTTCAATAAATAAAATTAATAAAAGGGTTGGTGGTTTCTGATTAATACAAAAGTCAACAGACCTTACTAATGGATTGTACCAAAGTAGAAAGAAAAAGAAGAATGAAAAGTTTTGGCTTAAGCAATAACTTGGATAAGGGTACCTTTACAAAGATTAAAAAAAAGAAAGAAAAAAGATTTTAAATAGAATTTTTGGCTAATGAGTATAACAGTCACTCACAAGTGGTATACATAAAACATACCAGTGCATAAAATATACTACAGCAGTGCTGTCCAACAGAACTTTCTGCAGTGACGAAAATGTTCTCTAGAGTACTGTCCAATACAGTAGCCACTGGTCACCTGTGGCTATTAAGCATTCAAATATAAGTACAACTAAAGCTACTGAAATGTAGTTAGTAAAACTGAGGAACTGATGTTTTAATTTTACTTCACTGTAATTAAAGTTAAAAAGCCACATGTGGCTAGCAGTTACCATACTAGACAGTGCAGATCTATATATTCTTCATATTTCTTCAACAACAATGTTTGGGTTAGAGGAATCAGACATCATTTTGTTGCCAGGGACCACTGACTCACAGAAGACTGAGTGACAGAAGGGTCCACAAGTTTATAAAAACATTTATTCTTTTTTGAGAGTACAACAGAAATTGTTTTGCTTTTCTGTTTTTAAAGGCTCTATTCATTAAATAAAATGATACTCAGCTTTATATTATTTTAAAAAGAGAGGCAAGCTGGGTGCCGTGGCTCACACCTGTAATCCCAGCGCTTTGGGAGGCTGAGGTGGGTGATCCCTTGAGGTCAGGAGTTTGAGACCAGCCTGACCAACATAGTGAAACCCCATCTCTACTGAAAAAAAAATACAAAAATTAGCCGTGTATGGTGGTGCGCACCTGTAGTCCCAGCTACTCGAGAGGCTGAGGCAGGAGAATCACTTGAACCCGGGAGGCAGAGGTTGCAGTGAGCCAAAATCACACCACTGCACTCCAGCCTGGGTGACAAAGCAAGACTCCGTCTCAAAAATAATTAACAAATAAATAAATATATAAATAAGAGAGACAAAAAGAAAGCCTCAGCAACAGGGAAAATAACCCAATGACACAGCCACAGCCACACACACACACACACACACACACACACACACACACGCAGAAGCAAACTGAGAAAAAACACACAGCAAGATACAAATGACATAAGCAGGCAGAGTGGAAGATGCAAACAGAAGTAGAACTGGTGTGACTGGAGATTCATGAAAGATTTGATCACGAGTACTCACATCATAACTCTACTGAACAAAACTTGAGGCATTTGGGGTTTATCCTAAGTGAGATGGGGGATCATTGCAAGGTTTCAAGCAAAGCAATTTCACACGGTCACTTAACAAAAAATGACTGCATGATGTGTGAAGAATGCCGTGTAGGGGAGCAAGAGCAGAAGCAGGGAACAAGTTAGAAGGTTACCAGAGTAATTCAGAGAGACAGCACTGGCTTGGACAAGAGTGTCACAGTGAAGATGAGAAGTAAGTGGATTTGGGAACACAGTCAACATACCTTACTAATGGATTGTACCAAAGTAGAAAGAAAAAGAAGAATGAAAAGTTTTGGCTCAAGCAATAACTTGGATAAGGGTAACTTTACAAAGATAAAAATAAGCAGGTTGGGGATGTGAAAATCAAGAGTTTTGCCCAAGTTAAATTTGGAGTACCTAGTCTACTAACTAGGTACCTCATATCTCCATGCACAGACGTTAAACTGACAGATATACAAGTTTGGAGTTCTGGGGATAGGTCAGGATAAAAGATAAAACTTACAGCTTTCAAAAACACATGGAAATAAGAAAAATAAAACTTTTCTAAAATTTAACCTTCCTATCAACAAACAATAAATCAGAACAGATTAACGTAGAGACCAAATGACTTCTAGGGCAGCTAGACTTGGCTGTAGCCTGAATGAAGGCATGACTTTCATCAAGAATTACCTTATGCCACAGGAAAGCTATTCAATCTTGGGAGGGACAGAAAAAAATTCTGAATTCTGGAGGCATATGTTAGCAGTACTGTCCAAGCACTTTCCAGAGCAGAGCCAAGGATACGGCTCTGCTGGGCAGATCCCCCTAGATGCGCCCTGCTCAATTACCTCCAAATTCCAGGCTTTCCTATGCATTTTTCCCATTCCCTCATTCATCCTTCATTTGCCACCATCTGGTCACCCTTCAGCTCTCAGAAGAGCTGTCACTGTTCTCAGGAAGCTATCCTTGGGTTCCCAAATCCCCTGTGCTTGCCTTATCATAGCTTGCCATGCTATGTTGGTATCATTGCCTATATTGCCTCGTCTATTTCTCCCACTACATTATAAACCCCCGAGGAAAGGATCTCTTTGCTCACAGTTTAGTCCTCTGCTTCAGTCATACCGCCTAACACACCACAGACTCTCCATAGGTACTGGGTGGATGAATAAATAGAAAGGGCGGGAAGATGAGAGGCAGCAAGGAAGACACAGACAGAGGCCAAGAATATGCAGTACTGCTCTTTGTGAGAAGTAATATCCTACTAGCATAAAAGAAATGGGCAAAGTCACCAGAATTTTAAAAGTAAACTTTGGCAACAGTGACATTTTTTTTAATGTTTTTTCTTTCTTTTCAGAAATATTCCAGCAAGTAGACGATATGTCACATTATTTTACAGGCAAAAAAATTCCCCTTTGGGACATCCAGATACTCTGTGCCTCCCAAGGTGATGAAAAGACAAAATAGGCAGCACAGAGTACCTACCATCTATGGACTATTCTTACCAAAAGAGTTGGTTCTAAATCTAATCAAGTGCAAAATCTATCTGCCAGTTTACAGAAAAACAAACAAACAAACATGTTCAATGATTTCAGGAAGATGCAGAATGTGGGAAATTCTATGGGACAAATGACATAATTTCTTCAATAAATAAATAATATTAATAAAAGGGTTGGTGGTTTCTGATTAATACAAAACATATATCACCCAACAGTTGTGTAGGCTTCATTTGGATCTTGATTCAGGAGGAAAAAAAGACATTTTAAAGACAATCGGGTTAATTTGAACATGGACTATCTATTGGAGATACTAAGCAACTGCTGTTAATTTTGTTATATGTGATAAATCAAAATGAATAGGTATTAGGTGATTGTGGGGGTTTTTTAAAGGCCCTTTTAAAGGAGATCTACACTGAAATATTTATGGGTGAAATAATCTGATGCCTGGGATGTGCCTGAAAATACTCTCCTCCACCCCTAACCAACCACAAAAGGAGGGAATCAATGGAAGAACAATGGCAAAGTGTTGATCATTACTGAGGCTGGGGGATGGGCACATGGGAGTTCATCAAAGCGTACTCTGAACTTTTATATACTTGAAGTTTTCAAAACCAATTTTTTAAAGTCTACTTGCATGAAGAGAATCTAGTATCCTTTTAAGATACTGCTATTAACACTACCGCAAGAAGAGTAAGACCCAACGATGTCTTCATGTCAGAAAAAAAAAAGAAGTTTGTAATAATATCTAAACACAACCGATACCAAAAAATAAAAATCTACTTTGCATACCTGCTCTGTAGGTTTAAGTAACATAATATCTTTAAGCTTACACCTTCACCTGGATGAAATTAGCTTAAGATTAGGTCCAGACTGCAAGCCAGATTTTCTAACCCTCTGCTAATAAACATCTTACACATATTTCATGGTCATACTTTAATTATGACTACTCAAAAATATATGATATTCTTGCTTGTAAAACTTTTTAGCTTACTCGTTACAAAATACGTATAAATTTTAGTTCTCAAAATATTCAATATTCTAACAGTTTCATGACCTATCCACCAGTCTACAAAGCACCAGCAAAATAACAGCATGGTGTCATTATCATTTGATACCATGAGGCCTCCAAGCTTCATGCAATCATGTTTATATGCAGTCAACCATTTTTCATTTCTAATAATGGATAAAGATAATACAGTAACACTTACAAATAGTTCTGCTAGTGTTTTTGTCCAAGGCTGAAGTTTTTACTTCTTCAAGTTCTGAATTTAAAGGAGAAAAATGATGCTTTAGAAATTCTCTTTTCCATGAAAATCCTTAATTACTATAATTATCAGAACATTGCTGGAACTCAGCAACAGGTATGTGTTGCGAGATAATGAAAGCTATGTTACTATTCTGATAATCACCACTACAGTCACCAATCAATAGTCTATACCACTGTTAGCCAAAGGGTGTTACTTCTAGATGCTCAGTGAAAATGTTCCTATGATCAAGAAGTTTGGGAAAAGCCACATACTATAGTGTCTCTTTGGAGCTTCACAGTGAACATTAGAATATAAAGACTGAAAGGAGTTATGGGGTCACAAAACTTGTCTAACCCATAATTCCCATCCTCATATGATAAAAGAAACTTTTCTTGCTAGTAACACCTACTAACATTCCATATAGTACAGATGTTTTCTGTTGCAGACAGTTTTTGAAATATAGTAGGCTGGAAAACCAGATAAATAAATACATTAGGATCACATAATAAAGTAAGAGTCATGAGCCTGAACTGGATGACTAGGGTGGCCAAAACCATGACCAACAAATACAGAGGGCCAGAGAAAAACTTAAGTCTAAAACAGAATAGAAAATTACTCCAACACAGAATTTTAATGTTAATTTCACACACATATTAAAGAAAATGGAGAAAGTATGTGACCATTTTGAGTATCAGCTGATCATTAACCTTAGCAGATATTAGCACTGGTGGGATCCAGAGGCCACACCATGTCTGGTTATCATTCTGCCTTACTTAAGAGTAACAGATGAAGCACCATGGTACAGTCATGCCCATCTCTCTGAGGATAAGGAACTGAATGTTTTACACTCCTCACTGGCTAGCTGTGGTAGCCTAGGTGGCCAAGGGTCCAATCTCCTTATATCAAATATATAATGACTACATTGGAGTAGAGAGTCTCTGAAATCTCCTTTGTCTTTAACATTACATGGAAGTTGGTATATAACTGAATATAGTAGAACTGAAAATTGTACCAAAACACTAAAGCTGAAAGATGCTAACTCTTCTTTCTTAAAATGTCTATTCAAATGTAGTGCAGCTTTTTTATTGGCATGTACCCAGACATTAGCCAATTCAACTCACTTGTTGGCCTTAGGTGTTTTCATAACACTCAGCACTGATTTCAATTGGGAAATTTATTAAAAGAAAGTTTAACAAAGAGGCTGAGAGAACAGGTCTGCATCCTAGCTGCACCACTTAGCTATCTGATCTTGACAAGCTAGATTCTCTGAAGCTCAGCTTCCTTTTCTGAAAATGAAGACAATGAGAGAACCCATTGCCTAGGGTTGCTGTAGGGATTAAACAGGTGTAATACCTATCAAGCACTTAGAACACAGTAAGCACTGAGGGTTTGCGAGGTTTTTTTAAAGTATATTTCCCCCCCCCATCTTAGATACTAACCAATTCTACCTACGTGACCTTGTAAATTTGGGTCACTGTAGCTTTGTGGAACTTACAGTGAGTGGGTTGGACTAAACTTGTAAGGAGAACTCTAAAATTCTTTGATTTATGACCTAGCATGCTGGAACTCTTTCATATCCACTCGATTTCTTCAGTAACAGATAATTCAAAACCAAAAAGAACTAACTTTGCTAAGTACCCACATACGGTATTCTAAGTTTTAGGCTAGATTTAATGAACCGTAAAAAACAACAAACCTCTGAAACAGGTATTATGCCCATTTTACAGATGAAAAAACTAAGCCTCAGAGAGGTTAAGTAACTTGTATCAATATCCTGAAAAGAGCAGAGCTGCCATTCCAACCCAGGTCTATCTCACCCGAGAGCAATGCTTCTGCATAAAAGTAACTTGATAAGGGAAACACAGTTAACATAGTTACTCAGAAGTCCCAACAGATTTTTCTTATTTCTTTACCTCTTCAACCATTTTAGCACTATTCCTAATGGAAAACATCTTAGCAATTCTGACAAAAGATTTGAGAAAGCATGGACTGAATGAGGCCTGAGTGAGATTCTTGGCTACCAACCATCTGGGATTATCTCAAAACTTCACCTGCCAGTGCTCTTTTCTCACTTGCAACTATAATCATGAGTTGGACATACTTAAATCTGTGAAAAAACAACAAACTCTATTTTTCACCTTCTCACATACATGTAAAACATATTTTGGTAAATAAATTCCTTACTTTTGTAGCACATTTTCCTTCGTTTAAAATTTAAGACGGTAAAATTTTTTGAAGAATTTACTGTCAAGTTGAGCTGCATTAGTATCATAACTTCAGAATCTACTTTGCCAGTACAGGAAAGCTCTACCCGAAACACTGTTTAAAAAAGATAAGAAAAATATTTTACATTTTCTAAAAATCAACATTAATGCCCCAAAATGATTCTTTTAAACATTTTAGAATTACTTATTTTTGCTGCAAGAAAACTAAAAGTAATACATTTAAATAAAGTAACTAAACAAAAGTTTTTAGAGATCTTCAGACTACCACACCTCTAGACATTAAGCATTTAATTCATTATGGATATAAAAGTTAGTATTAAAGAACAAACCAAGACATCAATGAAGAGATAATTGTTTTCAACTTCTGCTCATTGTTTTTAATACACCACTTTGTCTCATAAGTCCTGCTATTCCAGTACACTAAAACTGAAGGATCATAAGGCAAACCTTAACAGACACATCAGCAATAGTAACAACAGAAATTACATGATCAAATGGAAAGACAACTCACTACCAAAATGCAAGTATGTCTGCTCTTAATAAAAAGATTAAATATAAACCTGTAAATGAATCTGATAAATTGTCAGCTATCACCTTTCTCAACAGAAATTGATTTTAATCCATAATTGTAACAATGGGATAACAGACTTCAGTGCATATAATTTTTTTCCCCAATCTTTAAGATTCTTTTCCTACAAATTTAAAACCTATCATTCTACCATCTGTATGACTGCATTAAAGATATGGGCATTTCTAAATTCCTTTACTGCCCATAAAAATTTAAGCAGCCCTCCTGTGCTTTATTTAAGCTTAATGTATGTCACTGATAACAGTGAATATGACTGCCAGAAAAAGTTTCACAACACTATTGTGGCTGATACTTTCAATTTTTAAAAATATCCATTTCTTACAAATACCACAACTTCAAGAGCCTAAGAAGTTAGCTCAAAAGCAGTTAAATTGGTGTAAATAATACACTTATTCATTTACTCAGACTGTACTGAGTGCCTATCCTGCACCATACTCTATGCTATGCATCAAGGGAATTGCTAGATATGTAATCAGTGCAAAAACAGTTAAATATAAGGTTCTAAGGGGTAGGAAGAATAGAAGTTAACAAATGAAAGAAGAGAAGGTGGCAGAAAAAAGACAGTGCAGATCTTGAGTCTTGCAGAATGAGTAGGATGAATAGAAAGGAGTTCACGAGCAGAAAGAGGAAAAGATGATCCCAAATACTGAGACCAGCACATGCAAAGGCTTGAAGATCAGAACTGCATGTAGTCTGGAACTGCTACAACTCTGGGGCAAGTGCAGCAACAAGGCTAGACAGGCAGGCAGGGGCAGATGGTAAAGGATCCAGGACACAAGGTGGTGAGTCTGGAATGTTCAGTTGATGGGAGTGGAGAGCACTGATGGGCTTCACGTCACAGGGTCAAACATGACCGTGCAAAGATCATCTGGGCCACAGGGTGAAATGTGGTGCCTAATCAAAGGGAAACAAGATCAGGCACAGGGACTCATGTGGAGGTAAGTACCAGCAATGCAGAAAAAGAGACAGGGAGGGCGGAGCACAGAGAGTTCCAGAAGGACAGAAAAGAGAGAATGGTTTAAGAACACAGTGCAAATATTTACAAAAATTACTTTTCACAGTACTCATACATCTTATGCCTATCAAGTAATACACACTACACATCAGTAAACTTCTGTTTTGGGGCCATAGGGGATGCAGTTGAAAAAGTATGTTAACTCTGTCTTTGAAGACTCTTACTTACCTGATAAAGTGCGTGGAACTTCCCCCTGAACAGAAATGTTGACCTGGGGCATATCCATTGCCAAAACATTGTCCACTTGGAATCCCAGCTTATATTCAACCTGTAAAATAGACAAAAATAAACAAAATGGACCTGTGATAACAAGAAGGATACTATCAGCTTGACTTCATTAATTGGCTCATTAATCAATGGATGAGCCTTTCATATGTACAAATAATCTAGCTATAAAAAAATGCAAATTGTCAGAAACAGTCCTAAGAATTTTCAATTGGATAAAAATTCAACCAAGTAAGCCACCCTCTATTTTAAGTCCACAACAGGACCACCACTCTTCCATAAAACCTGCCATCTAGGGTCAGAAATCCTGCTGAGAACTATGCAGCACTGACAGAGAGGCCATGGAGAGCCAGATATGAAGAACCAAAGCGGTGAGATATGTAACTGACAGACCATAAATAGCTACCAATGCCTTCTCTGGTTGATAAATGAAAGCCAAGCTCGGAGGGCCTCCTTGTGGCTGGTGGAGGAAGGTCTGCTCTGCAGACCCACTCACACAATAAGCAGATTCCAAGGTAGATTTCTCATAGAATATCTAAGTCACATCCTCTAGTCTTGCTCTCACCAAAAAGAAAGTTCATGTTTAGATCCCCATTTGACCTCTGGATCTACTTCTTAAGTGATTCAGAATCCAGAAGGGAAGACAGGCAACCCATGAGATGTCTCTAAAACACCAATGTTATCTATCAATACTTGGCCTACCCAATGTGGCTTAACAGAACCAATCAGCATCAATAATTAAGGCTCTGTTGCTATGGAGAGTTCATGAAAGAAGCAGCTCAAACTGCAAAGCAATAGCTGAAATTCAGAATGGCTGCCAGCATCAAGACTTTCAATGAAGCCCTACAGTTCACATCACTCTCTGCCCTGCCCACAGGTTCTTGATAACTATGGTATCCCTCTCTCATTCAGTGGTCACAAAAGGTATCATTGGTGGCAGACTGAGATTTGCAGAGCCACGAGGCAGCAGGTTGGGAAAAGAGTGAGAAGAAAGATGTTCGATAAACCATTCTTCAAGAAACTTAACTAGAAGAATGGGAGACAGATGGTGAAGTGGGGGGTGTTCCAAAGCTTTTCTTTGTTTTTAGATGAGATATTCAAATATGTATATATGCTAGTGAAAAAAGCTAACGAAATGGTACATAATAAAGATGAAAGAAAAGAGGGAAAGAGTATCATCCCAGATATAAGGGAAGGGATGGCCCTTACGCTTGGGCTAAGGTGGAAGGCGTTGTTACCCATGAATAAGAAGGGCTCAGTCCAGAATTTGATTCCCCTTGGGGTTTCTCCTTTCACACTCTATTTAAAGTGTCTTAGCTAAACACTGTAGGGGTATGCAAACATTAAACTCTTCCTTTGCAGTTAAGATAGGTACGTAAACAACTGTTAAAGGCTGTGTTTGATAAGTGCCACATTCCCAACAAAGGAAATGTTCTTGCTGCAGCACATCAGTGACTTCGAGGTACCTTGGCTAGGAAGTGTTCACATTCACCTTAGCATATCACAATACCATTGCTGCCACCAGGGGGTGCTAGAGAGCCACAGCCAAGCAAGTTTGGGCAGGGAATGAGCAAGCTCTCCAGCAATACATCAAAGAATGCATTATACATCCCTACACCGATGCTATCTCTGAACAGGACCATACATGAAGGGTAGGTGCACAAAAGAAATCAGCACCGCCAGCAAGAACTGGGTTTGGAACCATGAGACCATGTGACTCTTAGGTAAATTTGTAACTTCTCTGAGTTTCCATATTTTGTAAAATAAGGGTAATACATGTTATGAGGATCAAATAAGATCATTAATGCAATACATACTGTTAGCCTGGCACAAGTCTCCTCTGACATCAGCAGCATCAGCAGTCATTCCAGAACAGCTACCTTATTGCCATGCTGCACTTCTCCATAATCATCAGCCCACTGCTGGCCCCAGGGATTCTGACACAAACCCTCCTGGGTCTGTCAAGAACACTGTTGCAGGCCTTCTGTTTTTTCCCCATTCTGAGAACCTCCCTATTCAGAACAGCCTCCTACACTCTCTGCCTCTTCACAAATGTCTTCCCACCTTCTCCCACAACCTGGCTTTCCTCAGAAGTCATCTGTTCCCCTTCCTATCATTCAGTTCCTACAACACCTGACCCTCAGGGCCTAGACAGTAGGGTCGGCACTCTTTAGGATCACTAGGTCCTTCCCAGACATCCCTTCCTCATGCCCTCATGCAAATCCCCTCTACTTTGAAGTTTATAACTTCTTTTTTTGAGACCGAGTCTCACTCTGTCACCCAGGCTGGAGTGCAGTGGCGTGATATCGGCTCGCTGCAACCTCCACCTCCTGGGTTCAAGCGATTCTCCTGCCTCAGCCTCCCGAGTAGCTGGTGGGACTACAGGCACACGCCACTATGCCCAGCTAATTTTTGTATTTTTAGTAGAGACGAGATTTCACCATGTTGGCCAGGATGGTCTCGAACTCCTGGCCCCAAGTGATCCACCTGTCTTGGCCTCCCACATTGCTGAGATTACAGGTGTGAGCCACCGCGCCCGGCCGAAGCTCACAGCTTCTACTCATAATGGCTACTTCTCATGCCATCAACACCAATAAGCCACACAGGACTTGCAGAGGCCTTGGTCTCCTGCCATGTTCTCCCTGGCTTCAATATTCAGTATTCAATATCCTGACACGCTAAAGAATTACTTCACTACCAAAACAAATGCAAAAATGCCATTCTATCAAAGATCCCATCACCACCTCTGATTCCTACAAAACTAGTTCTCTGATTCCATCACTCCAAGTCAGCCAACATTTATGAGGCACATTTATGAGCCAGGTGCTGTGTTCATAGCAGGATGCAGCAGCCAGTTAAAGCCACTTCCCTTCTCTCCAGTATAGCCGTGAACACCTAGTTTCATGTTCTCCACAGCCCAAGCCCTAAAGAAGGCAACATTACTGACAGTCATATTGGCACCTTCAGCTGGTTGACTCCTTCCAAACCCTCAAAGGGCAGCTCTAGCATCCTGACCACCCCTTCTTACTCTACTCCTGCTGCTCAGCACTGCTGAAGGAAATCCATCCTACAGAAAAGGAGCTCTTACACAACAATGACCTCCAGTCTCAGGGGAGGCCCTTAGTTCTACTCAGCAATCCCTTCCTCACTGACCCTCTTTTCCCTCGTCTTATTCCAACCTTACAGGCCTTCCCCACCTCCTCACACTCAATGTTTTTGTCCCTTTCCACTAGTACAGAGGAACCCCATTTCTGCCTTTCTTTTCAACACCCCGGCAGATCTATTAGAGCATCTATTCTTTTCATTCTAGTCCCAAGGAAAGGTCCATTTTCCTCTCCAAATGTAAATCCTTCAATCCTAGTACACTAGGGTTCTAGCCCATTTCACCACTGATGGGATATCTTAATCGTCAATTTCTCTCACTCTCTTTTACCTTCAATCCCTCTCAAGTGTCCAATTACCTACTAGGCAATTCTATCTAATTATCCTACAGCCTTCCAACTTAACAAATTCAAAGCCACACTTACTATTTCCCCAGAAACTTGCTGTCTCCTTTATTCTAGGTCTCAGTTATCACAAGGAGAGAAGGAGCAGACCAGAGACCAGAACCCCAAAGTAAGCAGAGAGGGCCTGGCAAAGGGGTCCAGGGCCATAACTGCAGTTAAAAAAGCAGCTAAGACTGGCGCCTGAGCATCTCAGTGTGGCAAGGTGAAAAGGAGGAGAGAAGGGAAGGAAATGAGGCTGTGAGTGTAGCTGGCCAATGAGGGCACAGGGAGAGGTGCAAAGGGCTGAGGAGGAGATTTGAGAAGGCAGCCCCTTTGGTCCTATCAGCAGCTTAGAGGAATATGAAGCATGAAACTGTGGAAGCCTCCTTGCTGGCTCCTTTTTTGAGGAACTGTCTAAAAATGGGAGGCATTCACAAGGTAGTTCTCTTTTCCCTCTGCAGTCTTTAAGATATAAATTTTAAAACTGCAGTTTCTGGGATTAGAGAAGAAATTGCCAATTATTGAAGTCCAATTTTCTCTAGTTTGGCATGTATCGATCTGTAAGGACTCTCACTTGCCAATCATCCTTTAAAGAAACAGATCTGCTCAAAAGTTAAATGTACAGTCTACTGGGACAAAGAAATTTGAACAGCAGTTGTTTATCAGAATGTAGAGTGAGCCAAAATACTTCAGAAAAGAAACTACAGGCTAGGCGTGGTGGCTCACACCTGTAATCCCAGCATTCTGGGAGGTCAATGCAGGTGGATCACTTGAGGCCAGGAGTTCAAGACCAGCCTGGCCAACACGGTAAAACCCCGTCTCTACTAAAAATACAAAAATTAGGTGGGCATGGTGGTGGGCACATGCTACTCGGCTACTCGGAGGCTAAGGCAGGAGAATCACTTGAACCTGGGGGGCGGAGGATGTAGTGAGCCAAGATCGCACCACTGCACGCCAGTGTGGGTGACAGAGTGAGACTCAGTCTCAAAAAAAAAAAGAAAAAGAAAAAGAAAATAAAAGGAAAGGAAAAAAAAAGAAACAAATTACCAAAAATATCAACATTTGAATAAACTGAAAAATAAACATTTTTGCTTATGTTCCCTTACTTGGAAACAAATGGCAATTACAAATAGGAAGCTGGTAAGTAAAGCCATTTCCTTCTGGAACACAGAGAGTACAGATTTAAAGTGAATACACTTGTCTACAGCCAAATAGCCTTTTAATTTCTCTGAACTTACTAGAAGTAATGCCTTTCTCATAGAAACCTCACTCTGCAAAGGACACAGCTGCTGGCCTCCAGCAGTGCCTGCTGGAACTCTGGACAAGTTCCCTGCAACTCCTAGAAAATGATGACGAATTCCTGAAAGCACAGAACAGCCATGGGGTAAGGGTGGGTAGTGGGAATATTCTGCTACATTCTGGCAAATTTTCGCTTTTCAGATATCTAAAATAGCTACTGACGGCCAGGCGCGGTGGCTCATGCCTGTAATGCCAGCACTTTGGGAGGCTGAGGCGGGTGGATCACGATGTGAGGAAATTGAGACCATCCTGGCTAACACAGTGAAACCCTGTCTCTACTAAAAATACAAAAAACTTAGCTGGGCATGGTAGCGGGCGCCTGTTGACCCAGCTATTCAGGAGGCTGAGGCAGGAGAATGGTGTGAACCCAGGAGGTGGAGGTTGCAGTGAGCAGAGAAAGCGCCACTGCACTCCAGCCTGGGCGACAGAGTGAGACTCTGTCTCAAAAAAAAAAAAAAAAAAAAAAAAAAAAAGCTACTGACACTTAACAGACACAGTTACATGTTTCTCCTGGATATTGGGGAATGTTCTGGAATACAGAAGAAACTATCTGTTAAAGCCTCTCAGTAGCCTGCTTTTAAGTGTGTGGTCTTGTGAAAAAGAAGCAATACCAGAGTTCTACTCCCAACTCAAAATGCAATTAACACAATGGTCTTTCCTGACCACTCACTAAGGCATGTGTGACCTATGCGCTAAGAGTAAGACAGCTTCAAGCCTCTGAAGAGACCACAATCTGTGTGGCAAGACAAAATGGCGAAAACACTGAGAAACAGTATTACCAGAAGCTGTGATATGTGAAACTAATGTTAAAGTATCTACGATGTTGAACCGACACATATCAGGGAGCCTGCAGATCTCTGGAAGCAAATATTTCATCTTCTGGCAAACCTTAAAAAGCAAGAACCGAGGGTTTCTGATAAAGTATTAGAGCTTGAGAGCCACGGCCCTCCTTCTGAAAGTTCATGATTACACCTCAGGGTTAAATGATCAGGTGACAAACCCTTCATCAAGCCTCCCCTGCCCTCACGTGTGACTTTCCCATTTCAGGTCATCTCTACCTTCTGCTTCCTCTAACCCTACTTCTCCTACCTTAAGCAAATCCCTTTCCAAATCTGGGTCTTAATTTCCTCACAGGAACTGATCAATAACCAAAGTACAACTATATAATAATAAGTAATACAGCCATTTGAAGGGGGAAAAAGTACAACTCTGTATCAAGTGACAGAGATCCTTGACCAGGATATTGTTCAGTGCTCTGCAAACTGCAGAAAAGTAGGTGGTATGTTAGCTGTTGAAAGATGTATATATACATATATGCATGGAAGCTTATATACACACGAACTATTTCCAAAGGAAAGACAATAATCAGGCAACAGTGGCTGACTCAGGCAAGGGGAACTAAGTGGCTGGATTGCTCAGGGATGGTACTAGAAGGTGCAAGGGACTTATTTTTCACTGTATACCCTTTATGCTTTTTAAATTTTTACTATGTGCATATATTATCTACTCATAAGATTAATTTTTAAAATAAATAAACGTAATCAACTGTGCTAAAATCACCAGAGATTATTACCTAGAATTGGGAACTGCAATAGTGGCTGAAGCCTGAAACTAGATTAACACAGACATATTTCCTTAGTTTTTTACTAAAAAAACATCGTAAGACGGTTACTTTCCTCTAAATTTTATACCTGTTACAGATGAACTTGTGAAATCAGTTTAGGTTTATATTCAACCCACTCATTTTTCCAAACTTATAACCTCACTCTATTATGAGTAAAATATCTGAAAAATCCCATTTGTGCAACTACTGTCGAGTGTACCCAGCCTATATGTTTTCACACTTCCAGAAATAGAAAAGTCACCACTCCTAAAGCCGCACATCCCAACTCTGAAAAGCCCTAACTGCTCAGAAGCTCCCCATTTGTTGAGCTGGGCCCTGTGGCTTCTACCTGCACATCTCTTCTGCAGTTAGTACCACGTGCTATACCAAGCACAGAGGATACCCTTTAAGGTGCTCAGCAAGTAGGAGGGAGAAAGAAAAGAAAATCAACTATTACAATATTCTTAAAGTATAACTAGGGCTATGAGAGAGAAGGGCACTGTGCAGACAGAAAAGGGCACCTGACACAGCTGGAGAAGAGGTGACAACAGGTCACAGCTTTATGAGGTAAACAGGAGTTATTCAGGTAAAGAATGAAAAAACGGCATTTGTGGCAAACAGCAGCACTGTGACAGGTCACAGGGCATTCATGAAATTCCAAGACAGACAAAAATGACACTAAATGACTGGCTAGATAGGAGGCAGAAAAGAAAGGCCGAGACCAGATCATAAAGGCCTCCTACGAAATCAAGAGCTTTATTCCAGTAGCAACAGAGAAGCCTAAGGTGGCTTTGTGGAGGGTGCAACAAGAGGTCAGTCCAGAGGAAAGGAGACCAGTTAGAAGACCACTTCCGAATCCAGCAAGAAACAATGAAGGCCCAAACTAAGTGTGAGGCATTGGGTCACAAGAGAGGTAGGAAACAAATTTAAGATGTAATTATTAGAGAGAATCAACTAGATTTAGAAAGTATAGGAGAAGGAAACTAGGATCCCTTCTACATTTCTGGCCTAGACATGAAAATAGTCATACCCTCCAAAAAAAATCAGGAAACTTCTGCCTCACAAAGAATATCATACCAGCAGTGGCAGCCCAAATGTGCACTAATAATATTTATACCTGCCAAAGAGGTAACTTAGAAATTATGCTCTATAAAATAATGTGAATGATATGGGAGTACAGTTACAGCTATACCAAGGCTTCTCCTAACCCAAAATGTACCATGCTAACACTGCTTCCCCTTCAAACATATATATTCACCCGAGCCCCTCCTACCTGCTCTCTCCCACTCCAACTTCCCCCTGTAACAGGCTCCTAAGACTCAGACACCCATTACCAGCAACATCAGGGCCCTGAGCTCATTCCAAATAACAAACGGTGTATTTTAACTGTTTTAAAGGAATCAGTAAAAGAAGGTTTTATTTTGTTCAGTCCTGACTGCCACTTCCCACATTGCCTTTGTACTCACAAATCACTACCCATACACTTGCCCAGGAAACCTTCTCATATCAGCATTCTTTTTTCCTAAGTGTGCCCAGAAATATTCACACTCTGTTCAAAGTCAATAGAAGTACCTAGAACAGAATTCTCTAATAAACCTTTCACCATTTTGAAATACATTTATTATTTGTTTTTATATGTATCAACATCAAAGGTAAGAATAACAACAAAGAATTAGCTATCAACTTTTTGGAGAATATAAGAAGCTTCTCTGCCTGAAAGATGTTCATAGAAACACTGGACCTCAGAGTTGCAAGGGAACTTAAAATTCAGTAACAACCACTCCACAAATACTTGAATTCCTTCTATAACAGCCTTATTGAATGGTTATCCAGTGTAGGTCTGACCTCTTCCAGTGAGAGGAAACACACTACCCTCACCACACCACAGGCTGAAATACGAAACTAGTTCCAAAAACAGATGCAAAAAGTAGTGGTTGAAAGGATGATGAGGAATGAGATTTTTTTAAAAGATAGTTTCAAATTATCTCCCCACAAATTACTTACTAACTATATATAAAGTAAAAAACTTGACAGGGGAGAAATCTGGTGACAAGAGTGTTCGGAGTTACCACCACCAGTCATGGGACAAATTGGCACCTTGTGCACTGGGAAGGACAGCACCTTTGTGGTATCACTGCCAAAGAGATATTCCTGAATCTAATCATGAAGAAACCTCAGACAACACAAACTGAGGGGCATTCTACAAAATTACTGGCCTGTAAGTTTCAAAAATGTTAAGGTCAAAAAACACAAAGAAAGGCTACGGAACTGTTCCAGACTGATAGGGAACTAAGAGACATCAACTAGTAAAAAATTAGCTATGAAGAACATTGTTGTGATAATTGATAAAATGTGACTACTGTGGATTAGATAATAACATAATAATGTCAAATTTTCTGGTTTTGATCATTGTATTTTGGTTGTATAAAGAATGCCCTTTTTCTTAGAAAATACTCACTGACGTATGGGGAGGGGGAGGGAGAGGGAGACTGGAAGGCAAACAAGTATACTTAAAATGTTGGTATTAGAAAATGAAGGTCAAAAATAAGCACTTATTCACTGGTACATCTGGCAGTATCTTTCAAAGTTTTAAAGACACACACATTGGCCTAGCCACTTGACTTCTCAGCAGTAATTTACTATTCAGAAATAAGGCCACAAGTGCACAAAAACTTCTGAACAAAGATGTTCTTAACATATTTATATACATACACACACATATATATGTACATATACACACACAGGGATACACATTAACACACATTTTTTTCTGTGTTTCTATATTCATCAAAAGCAAAGATTGAAAAATTTTTAAATAAAAGAAATAGCAAAGGTAGAAACATCAATAAAAGATGAACTACCAATTGTTTTCATCATCCCATTACCTGGATTTTGCCTATAAAATGAAATGAGGGAAACTGTGTAATGGTGAAGGGAAGCATTGTTTGAAATAATAAAATGCTATTAAAAATCCATGTGTCCCATCAACGAGGTACTTCACAGATAGCAATATAGCATACATCCATACAATCTCATATTATAAAACCACTAAAGAGAATGAGTGAGAGAAAAAGAAAGATGCCTAGATAAGTTATTCTGTAGGGGAAAAAGTACTGTTCAACATACATGTCTAAAAATCCCTTTTTTGTTTAAAAAGGGAAAAAAGGGGACTTTGAAGAAGTTATACCAAACTATAAACAATTACTTCTGAGTATAGAACTACAAAGTCTTAACAGTTCTTTTTCTTTTTTTTTTTTTTTTTTTTTTTTTTGAGACAGAGTCTCACTCTGTCTCCCAGGATGGAGTGCAGTGGTGCGATCTCGGCTCACTGCAACCTCCGCCTCCCGGGTTCAAGTGATTCTCCTGCCTCAGCCTCCTGAGTAGCTGGGAATACAGGTGTGTGCCACCACACCTCGCTAATTTTCGTATTTTTAGTAGAGATGGGGTTTCACCATGTTGGCCAAGATGGTCTCGATCTCCTGACCTTGTGATCCACCTGTCTCAATCTCCCAAAGTGCTGGGATTACAGGTGTGAGCTACCACGCCAGGCCTAGTCTTACAGTTCTTAAAACATTTCTGTAATATTTAAATTTTCCCAATAATCACTGTTGTTTTCTAAGTAGAAAAAAATGAAGATTTTTAAAAATCTATATTAAAGTGGCCAATTTAAATAACTTGGAGCAAATATTATGACAGACACTACTCTATAATACTTTTTTTAAAAACTCTACAATAGGTATTCTTATTTATAGTAGCAAGACTATTTTTATTTCCTGAATAAAATCCTATTCAAAAGCCTATATAAAGCTGATAAAAGAAACTGAAGTTGGTTGGGTACAGGAGGCACCTCCATGCTCAGCCTCCGACTCTTTGACTTAGGAGAAAACTTACCATGTTTGAGGGACCCAGGCAGTCAGAGGCAATGTGAAGAATTCAGCAACAAGTAGCCCAGGCAAGAGATTCTTAAGTGATTGGGTTTAGCCCTTATGGGTAAAGAAGCCTCACCACAGGACACATGGGGGCTGCATCTGCTGTACCTTTCTTACACCGTTTCTCCATGAGTGGGAGAACTGTATCCATTCTGTCCAACATGTCTAAAAAGCCTATCTTACCAATCTCCACCCCTACACCCATCTCCTTTCACCACAGCAGCACAGGCATTATTGGGTCCAACTGTACCCTTTTCAAGCTAGGTCTGGATCTCTGTTTGAAGAGCCTAAAAGGATGTTAAGTGTTGTGTCATGTGCTAATCAATTAAATGATAGCCACCTTCGTTTTAAAGGATTCAAGAAATTTTAGAGGAATAGGCCAAATATTTGAAATATAAATCTGAAAAGACTCAGTACTATTATATCACATCACCAGCGGACCCTTCAGTACAGACAGCAGCCCAGTCCTCAAACACAGCCCTTGCCTCTGTGGCTGGGTGACCCTGTCATGATGTCTGTGGTTAGCCACTCTCTTACCTTGGACTTCGCATGCCAGGTGAAGTGCAGGAAATTTGTCTCACTGGGTACTAACAGACTAAAGGATAGAGCGTAGTGACTAATAAGGTCATTTCTCACATAATAAAGTTCTGCATCAAGACCTAGAAAAAAATAGGAAAAAAATAATTAAACACTTAAAATATTCTCAAAATCATCCCTATCAGTATTTCAAATACAAATAGAGTGAAGATAATATTGATAAGCAAATGAACATCACAAATGGCCCTAACATGGGCTGCCTTATGAAGCAAAAAAGACACGGGGTTTTATCATCACCAAGAAAGATGAAGAAATTGAGACTTGAAACAATTAAGCAGTTATCCAGCTGAAAACAGGTGTGCTAGAACTAGATAGAACTCTGGGAGCCACTCTGTCTTCTGAGGGCCAGTGTGATGCTCTTTCTTCTGGACACAGTGCTTCTTAGAGGAACAGCTACAAAGAAATGCCCCTTCCCCAAAAAATTTACGTAGACTTAGGAAGGGAGATTCAAAATGAAAGGGAGAAAGGCCCCTCGGATAAAACATAAGCCTGAGCCAAGCCTCAAGCCTCCAGCCAGAGATGACCTCCACCTCCTCTGACAACACAAGGTCCTTGCTGTTCTGATAGCATTTACCATGGTACACACTTGCACCAGGTGTTTTGCAGGCACATGCTGTCTTCCCTACCAAGACTACAAAGGGAAGAACACTATGTTTTTCATGGTATCTGCAGGACACAGCTCTCTGCACAAAACATAAATGCTTGTTAACCAAGAGGTTAGTACTATAGACAAAACAAAAATAAATGAAAAGCCTGGAATGCCGGAGAAGTGACTCCGAAGTTTCACTCACTCCCATACCACCTTCTCAGCCAGGGCACATACAATCTTCCATACGTATCAGGATCTCAATTTTGTCACACCCTTTTATCCTGCCTGTATTTAATATTTTTCTTTAAAACTTATTTAATTTGTTAAAATAAAAATTTTTAAGGCAAAATTTAATCACTACTTTTCAGTGGCAAATCAACAGTTACTGTTAAAAAAAGAGTTATCAAAAAAACAAAAGAAAAACAAATGTACTAAATTCTAGCTCAATTCTGGTGCCTACCAAGAAGGCAGTGAACTTGAGCCTAGCTCATTGTTTATAAAAAGGGAGGAGGGAGGTATAATCAAGTGTTTGAGAAATGTAAAAAAAAAAAAAAAAATCACACAGAGGATTTCTCCATGATCATCCAAGGAACTGAAAGACTAAGAGCAGGGAGTAACTTTCTCTTGAATTGATTTACTGTTATTTAAAGTTCTATCCAGGTGTCCCTCTAGTAATACATGACATATATATTCCACAAGTTAGAGGGGGAAAGATACTGAGGAGAACAGCCAAAATGCAAATTTCACATTTACTGAGCCGGCACTATGGGGTCTGAAACCTCACAGTATGCAGAGAGGTCAAGATGGAGATCTCATACCTCCTAAGAATATAGACCTAGAAACAAATCACTCTCCTACAGGTATTTATCCTGTAAAATTAGTTTTCTCGTTTCTGAACTAGGTGTAATAAAATCATTAATGCAGAAATGAAATTTAAGGCACGCCACATAGGGGAAAGCTGCTGAACTTGTAGGGTCCAACCCTACAGGGCCTGTGGGTTTTTCTCCTTGTGTGCGGAGCCCAGAGATCGTAGAAATAAAGACAAAAGACAAAGAAATAGAAAAAAGGCAGCTGGGCCTGGGGGACCACTACCACCAAGATGTGGAGACCGGTAGTGGCCCTGAATGCCTGGCTGTGCTGTTATTTATTGTATACAAGGCAAGGGGGCAGGGTAAGGAGTGTGAGTCATCTCCAATGATAGGTAAGGTCACATAAGTCACGTGTCCGACGGACAGGGGGCCAGCCCTTCCCTATTTGGTAGCTGAGGTGGAGAGAGAGAGGGGGCAGCTTATGTCATTATTTCTTCTATGCATTTCTCGGAGAGATCAAAGATTTTAATACTTTAATTCTGCTACTGCTACCTAGAAGGCAGAGCCAGGTGTACAGGATGGAACATGAAAGTGGACCAGGAACGTGATTGCTAAAGCATAGCATCGCAGGGAGACGTTTAGGCCTCCAGATGGCTGCGGGCGGGCCTGACTCATGTCAGGCCTTCCACAAGAGGTGGTGGAGCAGAGTCTTCTCTAACTCCCCCGGGGAAAGGGAGAGTCCCTTTCCTGGTCTGCTAAGTAACAGGTGCCTTCCCAGGCACTGGCGCTACCACTAGACCAAGGTCTGCTAAGTAACGGGTGCCTTCCCAGGCACTGGCGTTACCGCTAGACCAAGGAGCCCTCTAGTGGCCCTATCCGGGCTTGACAGAGGGCTCACACTCTTGTCTTCTGGTCACTTCTCACCATGTCCCTTCAGCTCCTATCTCTGTATGGCCTGGTTTTTTCTAGGTTGTAATTGTAGAACAGAGATTATTATAATATTGGAATAAAGAGTAATGCTACAAACTAATGATTAATCATATTCATATATAATCATATCTATATTCTATTTCTAGTATAACTATTCTTGTTCTATATATTTTCTTTATTATACTGGAACAGCTTGTGCCTTCAGTCTCTTGCCCCGGCACCTGGGTGGCTTGCCATCCACAGCACTAGCTGGGTAGCACTGCTTTTATTTATCCTAAAAAAGATACTGAAAGCAGAGACAGAAATGCAGACCCTTCTGCAAAAGCCTCTCCCTGCTGGCAGGAGTGTTAGCAAATATCCAGGAATGGAGGATTGGTGGTGCTGGAGAAAGGGGTTAGAGGAAAAATTGTAAATAATTTAAATTTGCCTTTTTTCTTACGTCTGGGTCTTAGTCTAGTCTAGATAGGTGCTGTTTACTTAGAAATATATGTCAGATAAATAAAAAGAAGAAAATTACATGAGGCAGTACTGACATGAGACAAACTAGGACTCAAGTTGAAAGGATTTCATACTAAATGTATTAATATAAAATTTACTAATGAGTTCATATTAATAAAAAACACAAGAAGATACAGTAGTACAACTGAAAAAAAAAAGGGCTTCAAATATAGAAAGCAAAAACCAACGGACAAAAAGGCAAAAAGAAACACACAAATCCACAATCACAATTGGAAACTAACATCCTCTCAGAAATCAAAAGATCAAAACAGTTGGGCATGGTGTTACACCTGTAATCCCAGCTCTTTGGGAGGCTGAAACGAGAGGATCCATTGAGGCTAGGAGTTCAAGACCAGCCTGGGCAACACAGCAACAACCCATCTCTATAAAAAACTTTTTTTAAATTAGCTGGGAGTGGTGGTACACACCTGTAGTACTAACTACTCAGGAGGATGAGGCATGAGGATGGCTTGAGCTCAGGAATTTGAGGTTACCATGAGCTATGATCACACCACTGTACTCCCGTCTATGTAACACAAGACCCTCTCTCTTTAAAAAATAAAAAGATCAAAAAAAAAAAAGATCAAAGGTCACCAAATTGAGTGTGGACATAGATGATTTGAACATATAATTATGGGACATGAAAAAGTGAGGGGGGATTAATCATGAATTAGACCACATGCATTTAAAATTTTTTTAAAATATAAAAACAGATTCAAACCAAAATCATACAGGCTACCTTCCCTGATCAAATACCATATGATAAAGATATTAACTATAAGGATGAAGCCAAAAGAGTATTATTTGAAAAGATTAATAAAACAGTTAAACCCTTCACAAGGCTGATCAAGGAAAAAAGAGAAAAAACACCAAACACAAATTACCAATACTAGGAATGAAAATGAAACATTACTACAAATCCTATAGATGTTAAAAAGATAAAAAGATTATTATAAACAACTTTGACAATAAAATCAACAAATTAGATGAAACAGAAGCACCCTTTAAAAACATAATTTACCAAACTAAAAGAAATAAAAATTTCAATTAAAAACCTATCCCAAAAGAAAGCTCCAGGTCCAAATGGCTTCATTAGTGAATTCTATCAAACATTTAGGGAAGACACAACACCAATCTTACATAAACTCTATCAGAAAATAGTTGAAGAGAATACTTCCTAACTCATCTGATGAGGCCAGCAGCATCATATTGATACAAAAAACTTACTAAAACATAATGAGAAAAGAAAATTACAGAACAACATCCCTTATGAACATAGATTCATTCTCCACAAAATATTAGCAAATTCAATACAAGAATACATAAAAGGATTAACACATCATGACCAACTATATATGAAAGGTTAACCTTTTAAAAATCAGTATAATTTACCATATTAACAAAATAAAAACCCGTATCATCTCGATACAGAAAAAGCATTTGACAAAATTCAAAACCTATTAATGATAAAAACTGTCAACAAACTAGGAATAGACAGAAACTTTCTTAGTTTGGTAAAGAACATTAAAAAAACCCTACAGCTAATATCATACTCAATGGTAAATTATTAAATCCTTATTCCTAAGATCAGAAACAAGGCAAAGATGTCCACTTCCACAACTTCCATTCAACCTTGTACCGGAGGTCCTAGCCAATGTATTAAGACATAAAAAGCACAAGGATGAAGTAAAACTGTCATTGTTCACAGATGACATAATCATATGTATAGAAAACACTGTGAAATCTACTAAAATACTACTAAAACCAACTAGTGAATTTAGCAAGGTCTCAGAATACAAAGCCAATACTTTAACATCAATTGTATTTCTATATTAGCAACAACTAGAAAATAAAACTTAAAAAATCAATACTATAACATTAAAAAACACCAGGGACCTAGGAATAACTCTAAAGCTATGTAAGATCTCTACACTGAAAACTATAAAACATGGCTAAGAAAAATTAGAGAAGACCTTAAAAAGTGGAGAGACATACTGTACCATTCTCCTTAGATAAGCCTGAATACTGTTAACATGTCAAGTCTCTCATATTGATCTGCAGATTCAAAGTAATCTTAATCAAAATCTCAATAGATTTTTTTGAAAAAATAAATTAATCGTGAAATTTACATGCCAACAACGATCTTGAAAATGAAAATGCCTTGGAAGAGGAACAAGGCAATTCAACTTTAGTATTTTCAACAAGCGATGTAAAGCAACTAGATGCATAAATATACAGAGAAAAAAAAAACCTTAAAATGAAAATTAAAACCACAATGAGATACCACCTCATTCCTGTTAGGACAGCTATTATACTGCTGGTAGGATTATAAACTAGTACACCATTATGAAAAAGACTTTGGAGGTTCTTTTTTTATTTTTTTTTAAGATGAGTCTTGCTCTGTCGCCGAGGCTGGAGTGCAGTGGCGCAATCTCAGCTCACTGCAAGCTCTGCCTCCCGGGTTCACGCCATTCTCCCGCCTCAGCCTCCCAAGTAGCTGGGACTACAGGTGCCTGCCACCATGCCCAGCTAATTTTGTTTTTGTATTTTTAGTAGAGACAGGGTTTCACCATGTTAGCCAGGATAGTCTCGATCTCCTGACCTCGTGATCCGCCTGCCTCGGCCTCCCAAACTGTTGGGATTACAGGCGTGAGCCACCGTGCCTGGCCTGACTTTGGAGGTTCTTTAAAAAATTAAAAGTTAAGGCCAGGTACAGTGGCTCATGCCAATAATCCCAGTGTGTGGGAGGCCGGGACCAGAGGATCACTTAGGCCCAGAAGTATGAGACCAGTCTGGGCAACATTAGCAAGACACTATCTCTACAAAAAATGTTTACAATTAGCCAAGCATGGTGGTGTATGCCTGTAGTCCTCACTACTTGGGTGGCTGAGATGGGAGGCTGGCTTGAGCCCAGGAGTTCGAGGCGGCAGTGAGCTATGATCGTGTCACTGCACTCCAGCCTGGAAGATAGAACAAGACTCTGTGTGTAGGGGGAAAAAAAAATAACTACCATATGACCCAGCAATCGCACTACTGGGTATATATCCAAAGAAAATGAAATTAGTATGTCGAAGAGGTATCTGCATTCCCATGTTTACTGTAGCACTATTTACAATAGCCAAGATATGAGATCAACCTAACTGTCCAACAAGGAATGAATGCATAAAGAAAATATGGTAAATGTACACAATGTAGTATTATTCAACTTTTAAAAAAATGGACATTCTGTCATTTGCTACAACATGAATGAACCTGGAAGACATCATGTTAAGTGAAATAAGCCAGACACAGAAAGACAAATACCGCATGACATCACTCATATGTGGAATCTTTAAAAAAAAGAAAAAAAAAGTTGATATCATAGGAATAGAGCACAGCAATTATTACTAGAGACTGAGGCGGGGAGGGGAAAGTGGAGGATGGGGAAAGGTTAGTCAGTGGGTACAAACTTACAGTTAGATAAGAGGAATAAATTCTGATGTTCTAACACACAGTAGAGTCACTAGTTAACAGTAAAACACTGTATATCACAAAATAGCTAGAAGAGAGGCTTTTCAAGGTTATTATCACAAAGAAATGATAAATGTATCACGTGATGAATACACTACCCTGACTGGATCATTATACAGCAGAGATATGTATCAAAACACCAAACTGTACTCTATAAATATGTACAATAATAATGTGTAAATAAAAAATAAATAAAAATTTAAAAAATAAATGTTTAAAAAACTCTTCCTAGGGTTACAAGTAAAAAAATAAATAAACCTTGACCCCTATCTTACATATCAAACAAAACCCAATCTGAGATATAAACCTAAATGTAAAAGCCAAAACTATAAAGCTTCTAAAAGAAAACGTAGGATAGAAGAGGCCCTGTCTGCCAGAGCGGAGCGCTCCCTCTCTGGGGCTCTGTCGCTCTTGCTCTCTGGCTCCCTCGCCCTCTCTCTTTTTCTTCTTCCCCCTCCGCCTCGCACTCTCTCTACTGCCTTCTCTCTCTCTCTCTCTCTCTCTTTCTCTTTCCCCCAACCCCTTCTGTCTCTCCTTCCCTCTCTCCCTTGCTCTCCTTTGGGCTGGAAAAAAAAAAAAAAAAAACGTAGGATAGAAAATCTTCACAACCTGGGGTAAGCAAAGATTTCCTGGACAGGTGACACAGAACATAAAGCAACCAGAAAAAACTGAAAATTATCAAAAATTTAAAACCTTATCAAAATTTAAAAATCATCAAAATTAAAAACTGAAGTTCATCAAAATTAAAAACTTCTGTCCCTCAAAAAACATTAAGAAAATGAAATTAAAGTCACAAACTAGGAGAAAACAGTCACATCTATCTAAGAAAGAACTTAGCTGGGGGAAGGGAGAGATGTTGGTTAATTTTTTTTAATGATTTGTTTCTAGAATATATAAAGAACCAAAAATTTTTTAACCAAATTAAATAAAATGGACAAAAGATGTCAGCAGACATTTCATAATTATATACATACCCAATAAGCATATGAAGAGGTGCTAAACATCCTTAGTCATCAGAGAACTACAAATGAACACCACAGTGAGAGCCATTAGCACCCAAGAGAATAACATTGAACGTTGGCAAGGAGGTGGAGTAACTATTATACAACTCTTACACATTGCTAAGAGTGTAAAAAATGTTCAACTACTTTGGAAAACACAGTTTCTTATAAAGTTAAACATACACCTATTCTATGATCCAAGAATTCCATTTCTGAGTAATTATCCAAAAGAAAAGAAAACATATGTCCACAAAAAGACTTATGCACAAATATTCATATCCCTCCCCCGAACGTTTTTATTTTTGAGACAGAGTCTCACTATGTTGCCCAGGCAGGATCTCAGCTCACTGCAACCTCTGCCTCCCAGGTACAAGCGATTCTCCTGCTTCAGCCTCCTAAGTAGCTGGGATTATGGGCACCTGCCACCACGCCCGGCTAATTTTTGTATTTTTAGTAGAAACGCGGTTTCACTATGTTGGCCAGACTGGTCTCCTGACCTCAAGTGATCCATCCGCCTCGGCCTCCCAAAGTACTGGGATTACAAGCGTGAGCCACCATGCCTGGCCATGTTCACAGCCCTTTTATCCACAATAGCCAAAACTGGAAACAACACAAATGTCCATCAACAGATGAACGGATAACCAACTGTGGCATATATATAAATGGAATGCTAATCAGCAATGAAAATAAGAGACTTTGTAACAATAGGGATGAATTTCATAGACTGTATGAGTGAAAGAAACTACACAAGAGAGTATATACTAATATTTCCACTTATATAAAGTTATAGAATAGGCAAAAGTAATTTATGGTGATAGAAATCAGGTCAGTGGTGACCCTGGAAAGGGGAGTGGAAGGGAAACTGTTGAATTTATTACAAAGAGGCATCAGGGAATTTCTGGGGTGATGGAAATGTCCTATATCTTGGTTGGAGTGGTGGTTACATAGGTGTATGCATTTTTCAAAACTCAACCAAGAGAACATTTAAAATCTGTGTATTTCATTATACGTAGTTTAACTAATTTTTTTAAAAGATGGAAAAAAGGAATTAACACTCAATGGTTTTTACCTCTCTGCTTATCTCAAGAAGCTTGCAAAATCATAGCATAGTATTTGTACTAACATAAAAAGTTTTAGAAAAAATTAATCTTAAGTGATCACCAACTTCCATATTTAAACTTCAAAACACCTTTCCCAGGAAAATAAAGAACTCTGTTCCTAATAACAATTTATTGTTATTACTGGTAATAATAACAAAAAATAATATGTAAGTAAGTTTTCCAGACACAGTTCAAAGTATCAAGAGCATCTAGGAGTTCTGTAAATTCAACTCCATGTTAAGCTAGATAAAAAGTACCTGTAAGCAGCCAGACAAGACCAAAAAAAAAAAAAAAAGAAGAAAATGCAGGCACGTCCTCAAGTCATACATGCAGTCATTTGATAATTCGTGGTTTTGTTCTACTAGAAATTTTATCTTATCTGTCAAGGAGACGGGTGGATATAGCCAATTCCTTCCCAGCCTCCTGGGAACATCTGTTCTCCCCAAATTGCTCAAGGTCTCTCTAGTTTTACCAGCCCAAACAGAAACTACCAACTTCAACAGAAACCATGCCTCCTAAGTAGGGAATATTCTTTTTGAACATAACAGAGCAACTTCACAACATTTCAACTGAAGACAGGGCAAAGACTGCAGTCAGCCAACTTTCTCAGGCTTCTAAAACCTAGTTGGACTTCAACTTGTGCTAGTAGCTTAGCACCCTGGCCGTCCACCCCTTATCCCCCTTCAATGATCTACTTCTATACTGTCACCCACTAATACCCCTCTGACTTCCACCAACCTCCTTATCCTTCGGAAGTACAACTTTCCCCTGGCCCTGTGGAGCCCAAAGGGCCCATTCTCTTACCCTCAGTGGACACTGCCCTGGATCGCCATGGCCACTTCAGATGACTGCTTGAGCACCCTTACCCAAAGTTCTGTTTCTTTACAATCATGCCATCAAACTATGCCACCCTCTATCCTTCTCAGTATCTCAGTTACCTCATTCACTGAGGATTCTGGGACCAGTTTATACAAGTTCTATGCACCCCTCTTCTATGTCTCATTAGGGCAGACTCCCAATGTCCCTGAGACTAACCCACTTTCAATCTGCCCTTCAATGTCTCTTTTATTCCTCAACTCCAACAATCTTCATCCATACCAAAGAAACTCATTTCTCATGGACAGCAGCAATATGCGAATTACTCTGCCTCTAAAATCTTGAACTATAGTATCTCAACAGCTAGTAGTTCTTCAGCTCTTTACAATTAACAACAGCTGCTCCCAGGGTCATTCTGTCTCCAGTATCTATAATCCTCTTGTTTCTCCCATTCTATTGTACCAATCATTTCCTCAGTTTCTTCTTACAGGCCTCAACCTCAATTACTTCAATTACTTTCTTACCAGTGGAGGTTTCCACTTTCACCCACCACAGCCTACATCAGACATACACCATCAGCTCAGAAAAAAACACCCAATCTTGAACTCACTCCTCTACTTCCTGTCCTCTCTGGTGCTATAATTGAATGCTGCATAATCCTGGATTAAGCCATTGCCACAAATGACTCACTACAAGATGATGCTTGTACCCTCAACAAATAAATATTTATAAGCTGCTGACAATTTAAAGCCCTGTGATCCAAATGCCTATGAACACCTAATGACCACCAAAATAAATTGTAAATTTAAAATTCACTACCATAGACTGAGGTGTTTAAATTGCAATATAATCATTAAACACAGTTGCTGTTTTCTGACTATAGGTTTTGAAAACACTTGTTTTGAAACAGATACTCCATTCTTTATTAGCTAAGGTAGTTATTTCCAGTTTGAAAAGGCTTGAAAGAAACCAATAAAATTCTGTTCAAATTTTCACGCATCAAATTAGCAAATACAGTCTGTTATATTGTGAGACATGTTTCTGTAACACAGCTTTTAAGTGGTAAGTAAGATCATTCCAGTATAACAAGTGGGTTCACATATTAATTTTCCTAGGCAAGGGGATCTGGAATAGCAGGAATAGAATTATAACTTTCAGTGAGAAAGAAAAAGATCCTCATTTAGCTCAGCTGCTGCCAAGCAGGAGTCCTCTCAGCTCTATTTCAAGAATATTTAAAATGAGCACCTGTACCCAGGACTCCCTGCTCAAAGGAGCATTCCCATCCTTTGCACAGCAAGCTGCACTTACTCTGGTGCCCACCTTTATGGCAACCACATTGGCTAAGAAAATGACTTTCATCTGTACTGTCTCAAGACCACACCCTATATGTTAATATCTCTCACTCTCTTCTGAGGCAACATAAGCCATGCTAAATGGTTTGACTGGGCTGCCCAAGTGATCTCACAAGGTACCAATTATGCTTTTGTTGGTGCTCTGCTTTAATTGCAGAAATCTTGAGTGGCTGGCCCTTAACCTTATTTTTCTCATAAATCCTGTTATTTTTAGTGAATAGGTAAACTTGAAGGGTTTTTATGGAATACATTTGATGTTATAACAGAAATGTTTATATTATTTAAAAATAATACTGACTGTTACACAGGTTATGACACGTAATTTGTGACTCTATACAAAGTTTTATAAATATTTATACTCTTTGACCCAATAATTCCATTACTAAAATCCATCTTAAGGAAACGAAAGACAGACACAAATTTTTATGTACAAATATATTAATAAAAATTAAAACTGAAGAAAAGTAACAATATAAACTACCAGCAACAGAGCAATAATTAATAAACTGTAATACATCCAGAAGATAGAACAACAGTTTTCAACAGTTTATCTTTCTTTGGAGGAGAGAGGTGATACCTCAAGTCATGATATCCTCTCAACTAAACTGCTCCCTGTTCATCTCTCTAACATATTAGGCTTCTTTGAAGACAGGTTTTAATGACCAAATAAGTGACTAAAAAACACTGAAAAAAGACTATGAAGCCATGAACAAAACTGTTATAAATACTGTAGTAAAATGAGTTTTGCTTAGAATATAACAGTAAATGCAAATTACAACATACAAACTGTATACAGCAAATTTCTAACAATGTCTGGCACCTAGAATAGTTCATGCATGTAACAGGTATTCAATAAACATCCGGTGAATCAAAGTTAAATATATATTCATATGCATGTTGTGTTCCACTTTAAAAAAAGGGAAAATAGCAAAATATGTTAACAGTGGTTGAATATAAATAGTGGATTATGGATGATTTTTATTATATGCTTTTATTCTTTTTCTTCTCTTAAATTTTCTATGAAAGTTAAGCTGGAAAAACAATAAAAGTGTTCAAAAACATGTTTAAAGAAATATGCATACAGCTGCGACAACTCATTAATACAAAAATACAACCAACTACTGTCTAAAATAACCCATGAAGGTTGATAAGAGATACAGAAAAGGCCCTCAAAAATAAAATTCAATTTAGAAAATCACATTTGTAACGACATTATCTTTGGTATATTAATGTTAACACCAGTAATGATAAATTATTAATGATTAAAACACTTTCCTCCAACTTTCCCTTAAAATACCCAGTTAAACCAAAGAGCAAAATTTGGCAAAGTACTATAAACTGAAGAGAAAGACCAAAAGAGAAGACCAAAACTTGGAAAAAATTTCCACATGCAACATTTGACAATGGGACTGAAATAAAATTATTGGGTTACCCATGCTATCTGAATGAGAATAACATGGAAAACCCTGAAGATGACAGGGAATGGAACAAAGCTTTAATTTTCAGGAGAAGAGGAAGCAGGCAAGGAATTCTATTTCTAGACAAACTCTCATCATATGCAAAAATAGTACTCAGAAGGCCTCAGGAAACACCGCAATTATGTATTCTTCCCAAAAAGTTTCTCTAAAACATACTGAGAGATTAATAAAACTTTTGTTTTTAATAGGGGATAGAGAACTGTTTTATACTGAGAAGAGCTATGCTTCAGGATGAAGGTATAATAATCATGAATCATCACTGTTCTGTATCAAACTATAAAGAATTTTAAAAACCAAAATAGTAGAAATATGAAGAGAACCAAATATAAGTATGACCATGGTACAAAACTATCAGTCTATGACTGATATTAGCATATAAAAGATATAGTTTATAGGTACAGCCATAATTAATACATCTATCAAGATGGTACTCTATAGGAAATGTGACTTACTTCAAATCATCTGTAAGATATTTACAAAATGTGATCAGCTATAAGGAAAAGCATAATCAATTTCTTAAAGGAAAAAATGTATAGGCCACAATATGACCACCGGGCAATGGTAAGAAGGCAGGGAGTGAGGCAAAACTGAACATACACATTTTTAAGTACCATCTATCTCAAAGAGTTACCTATATTCTTAACCATCACAAATGGTTTCAACTACATAAAGAAAAAACAAGAACATGAAAAAAAATTGAAAATACATTCATCAAAAATTGTCAATGCATGGTTAATATATGGCATTTTTCTTCTTTACAAATATTTTCCAAATAGTCTATAATGAGTATATTTTCTAGTCTATATCTTTTCCTGTATATTTTCCAGTCTATATCTTTTCTTGTATATTTTCCAAATAGTCTATAAATGAGTATATTTTACCCTAATAATCAGGAAATAAAATTAATGAAATAAAAGAATTTTAAACAAATTTACTTTTAGAAAAAGATGAAATCTATAGAGAATATCATACTTTATCTCTCAATTTTAACTCCTTTTTCTTTCCTTCCCCATCATACGCTTGAAAAAAATTAAAAGAGAAAAGCAAAAGACACATAAAGACAGGGGCTAGATAACCTAGTTGTTTCTAATTACTATTAATTATTAGTGTTTCAAATACGACAACAGCAATCAAATGCAGTCTGAAAGCAGGGACAGTGGACAGCAGGGGTTATTACTGTCAGGGAGTGTTAAGCATCACAGAGGTTAAGTGAGTAGTGAGAAATGATTAGAGAGGCAGTGAGGGAAACAATCTATTCAGTAATGCTTTAAGGAACCAGTTCTGTGGCAAGCCAGGAGCAGGGTAACTCTTTATGAGACTAGGAAACAGAGCCTGGTTCCAATAGAAGGGAGTGACTGAGAAGGAAGGTAGGTGTGCTATAGTTAGGAAATTCCAAGGGCTGAGACAGATCACTTCTAAGGTGGTCATTCCAATGAGTGCCTTATTTGGGAAAAAAAAGAAAACTGGGAACTGGGACACCCGCATGGTCAAAGGAAAAAAAAAATCAGGGTAGGTTCTAATATCCCTTTGGGATAAAGGGAGGGAATAAATGAAAATTAGAGTCAGGGAAATAAAGTCACTGAGTATCATTTTGTAGAGGTCTGGTGACTCCAACAATCCTAATGAGTCAAAGGTTATGTAAGTAAAGATCATAGAAATCAAAAGAAAAGAGAATGCTGAGACACTGTAGTGGGCAAAACAATCCAAGTAGGAAAGGAGAGGTATAATGCATAATAAGAGCTGGTCCCTCAATGAACAATCCAAAAAGGAAATTAGAAAACAATTCCATTTACAATAGCATCCAAAAGAATAAAATACTTAGGAATAACTGTACACTGAAAACTACAAACATTGCTGAAAGAATTAAAGACCTAAATAAATGGAAAAACACCCATGTTCATGGACTGGAAGACTTAACACTGTTAATATAACAATACTACCCAAGTGAGCTACAGATTCACTAAAATCCCTATCAAACTTCTGACTCCCATTTTTGCACAAGAGTAAAAGCAGATCCTCAAATTAATATGAAATTGTGAGCAGGCCAAAATAGCCAAAACAATTTTTAAAAAGAACATAGTTGGAGGACTCACACTTCCTGGTTTCAAAGATCACCACGAAGCTACTTTAATCAAAACAGTGTAGTACTGGCATGACAGACATGTAGACCAACAGAAGAGAACTGAGAGTCCAGAAAGAAAGTTACATATTTTGGGCTGATTAATTTTTGACAAGGATGCCAAGAGACAAGGGGGCTGTGCTGGAAAGCAGACAAGAACAAGAATGGACAGCCACGAACTAAAGAGGTAGCATTTTGTCATTAGAATGCACAGAATTTTTAAATTCTGATTTAGGATGAAAATACTTCAGCTGTTCAGTTACATTAACCAGACTTAAATTTCCCATTGCCAATTCCAGCAAAGGAAAAATGTTGCTCTCTTGTTAGAAAGCATGGCATTTTTTCAAAATTTTATTTTTAAACAACTCAAATTCAAAGCTAAAAAACCAAAGTTATTCTTGCAAAACTCTTAAGGCTTATCAAAAAAAATTCATTTTTCCCTAGACGATTTTAAGTTCAAATTTATTTCAAGGTCTGTGATCCACATGAACTGGCCTAACTCAAGTTCTAATAATTCAACAGTTCAAAAATTTTTTCCAAATGATTTTAAAAGTTGACTATTGGTTTCTCAAAGCTGTACATATGGTTCATTCGTGCTAAATCAGCAAACCATCTCTCTTTATTTTAAAAGCCACCTTTATAGCACTTAACAAAACATATTTCAGGGAGTTGTTTCAAATGTCCATCTTCCTATTACCTTGCACATCTCACAAACAAGGCTGGGGTCTTAGTTTACTTGTAACTACTTAAATATTAGATGCATGAATGGCTGGCTGTCGATAAAAGTCAACTACATCAAAGATGGGTTTTAAAGAAAATGGGTTTTAAAGAAAATGATACTTTAAAGAAAATGTCAAGAACCATTAGTTAAGGCAAAAAAACAAAAGTGATGTCATAGAAAGAGAACTAAAGCAGAGTTCACAGTTCTTACTTCCCTTCCCCTGGCTTCACCAGTAGGTAGCTGAATGACCTTTGGCAACCAATTACTTAACCGCCCTCTCTAGACAACAATTTTCTCAACTACAAAACAAAAAAGTTAAACCAGATGATGTTAATGTCCCTCTCCTCAGCCGCAAAATTCTATTACTCTATGATATCATCCATGGTTTCCTAGTGTCAGCCAAAACACTATTATTTTATTATATCATCCACAGTTTCCATATGCCATTTAAACCTTAAGTAAAAATTCATTTAGTCAAGATAATCTTCTAGATTCTGAGGACAGTGGTAATATGAGCCATTAATCAGAGAAAAAACCAATATCACTTAACATGTATTAAACCACTGAATACATTTTAATGAATGCTAAAAGGAAAGTAAACAAGGAGCTCTTATTTCAAATGCTCTTAGGTTATGGAAAGTAACAAGCTGAAATCGATAAAATAACAGTTTGTTCATCAGAATGTAATAAATCTAGCTGTGGTCATATTATGCCTAGAAAATTAGCTGAGACCTAATGTTTAACTACATTATAAGACAAGGAATTAAAATATTAGACTGTAGAACAGGGGCATCCTTTCCCCATAGTTGAATAAGCATGTAAATCTTCAATCCCATAGCTGTTCAAGCAATAATCTGTGGATTAAATATGATTTTTCGTGTAATTCTCTGCCACATTCTTCAGCATTTCCTCATATATTTGTCCTGCAACCCTAAGTGTCTTGATAGAACTGTCTTGAGAGTGTATGTTCATACACAGAAAGGAGGATTAGAGAGAGCTTTCCAGAGAAAGAACGTATGCATGACCAACAACAGCAGACAACATAAATATACCCCTTCTTCCCCTCCGTCCTTCAGACTGCCTTCTTTCTGCCTAAAGAAAAGCAGGTAAGCCTACCCTTTTGGTCCTGATAGGTGGTTTAGAAATCAGCTTCAAGAAGACATGGAAGGGAATCTCCTGTTCCTCCCAAGGAAAAGCCAGGAATCTGCAGGCACTAACTTTTCCTAACTGTGCCACTTCAGGAAGTAAACATGATATGTCGTCAAAATCAACACAGAACAGGCACAAATGTTAGAATACAAGCAAGGACACTGAAACAACTATTATACCTGTACTCCACATGGTCAAAAAGTTAAGTAGAATCATGGAAAATACAAAAAGACCCAAGTCAAATTGCTAGGGCTGAAAACTATACTGTATATAAGATGGAAAATAGACTGGATAGGACAGCAGGTTATGCATTTTGGGGAAAAAAAATTAGAAATTGTATTTCCTAGCTTTTCATTACTGATAAAGGCTTTTGCCGGAATCTCTCTTGAATACTTCACATCCTCCAATTGTAGCGTGGGCCAACAGTCTATTGAGAGACTGCTCTGTGCCAAGCCATAAGGTAGCCTCGGTGCAGTAGGGGAGAGACAAAATATGATGGGTGCAGTGATACAGGTCTGCTTATGCAGGGTATGGAGCTATGGAAGTCGACATGGGAGGCGCCTTACCCAGAGACAGCAAGGGAATGGGAGAGGCAAATTAGGCAACTCCAAAGAAAATAAGTTATCAAGACCAGGCATAGTGGCTCACACCTGTAAACCCAGCACTTTGGGAGGCCAAGGTGGGAGGATCCCTTGAGCCCAGAAGTTTCAGACCATCCTGGGCAGCACAGGGAGACCTCATCTATACAAAAAAAAATTTTTATATTAGTGGGGTATGGTAGCTCACACCTGTAGTCCCAGCTATTTAGAGGCTGAGACAGAAGGATCACTTGAGTCTGGGAGATCAAAGCTGCAGTGAGCCGTAACTGCATCACTACACTCCAGCCTGGGCAACAAAGAGAGACCCTGTCTCAAAAAGGGGGAAAAAAAAGAAAAGAAAAGCAGCTATAAAAAATTAACATATGTAAACTTCCATTAGTAAGTATAGCTTCAGTCTAATTTCCCTTTTGGATAATAACTAAGCAGGCCATGGGAAATGATCAACAGAATGATGACTCCAGTAAGGCACAGGATAGTGAATTTTTTTGTAAGTATGATTCACTTGTTTACTCATTTGTTCCACTTTTAATGAAAACCTACTACATGTCAGATACTGTTTTAGGTGCTAAAAATAGAAAGTGGAACAACCTAAAAAGTGTCTATTCAAACAGAACTTTCACTAAAGGAGATGGAAACAACCAAAAAAGTATCAGATGCTTAAAACAGTGTGATAGCACAGAGAGGCACTGGGGATCAACCCTAGGAAGATGAGCCTCTCTGGGGAATTGACATTTTAAGTTGAGATCTAGAAAGTACCAGCCATGTAAAGATTTGGGGAAAGAACGCAAGGCAGAGGTGCCATCTAATGTAGACTCCAGGGTGAGAAGGAGTCTGGCACCAAGGGAACTGAGTGGTGCAGGGAGGGGCAGGGATAAGAGTGGATCCAGGTCGTAGGCAAGAAGAGTCTCTACATATACATTTACATATTTATAAATCAGGAAAAGCTCAACAGCTTAGATATTTGATATTTATAAATTCTTAATTTCTTAATAATGTGCAATAATGGTTATTTTAGATTTTTTAAGAATTTCTTTCAGATATACATATTGGAATATTTTTATGAAATTATGTCTAGATTTGCTTCAAAATAATCTAAGTAGAGGATAAGGAGAGTGAGGGCAAATGAGTGGAGTAGGGGTAAGGTGGTAGAGATGAAACAGAATTGGCTATGAGTTGAGAACTGCTGAAGCTGGATGACGGGTATACAGAGATTCATTATATTATTATGCCTTATTTTGAATTTTTGAAATGTTCCATAATAAATACATTTTTAAAGCACCTTATTTAAAATATAAGGGAGGGAGTATTTATAAATACAAATGCCCCATTCACAGGGGACTTTTTAAAGGTGCAAACTACTGTCTATGATACTGTAGTGGATATAGGACACTATGCATTTGTCGAAACCTACATAACTTTTCAACAGAGTGAATCTTAATATATGCAAATTTTCAAAAAAATTCATGTAGGAGGTCAGATCTTAGGATGTAAAACAGAATATGACATATACCAGTTTTTGTGACACTCAGGTGTACCCATTAAGCTTTTCATCAGGAGTCCCTCAAAGGCCCCAAAAGTCTAGAGGTCCTAGCACAGTATACAAATTTTAGTATGTGTGGACATTCATGCCTTTTTCTAGGGAAAGGGCCTAAGGCTTTCACAAAAAAAGGCTGAGAACCACTGACATTTCTCCTTGCCTGCAGCTTCTTGGCTGAAAAGTAACCTTGCTATTGCTCTTAATCTAATGACAATATCTCATTCATTTTATGATTTCCCTGCAAGGGCATTACTACACAGCTATTGCTGTAAGCAAATAATAAATACCACCAGTGAATTTTACAATTCTGAAAGTTGTGACAAACACATGCATATGCACATAAAAAAGGTGGAGGCCTGGTATGGTGGCTCACACCTGTAATCCCAGCACTTTGGGAAGCCCAGACAGGGTTGGTGGGGGAGGGAAATCACTTGAAGTCAGGAGTTCGAGACCAGTCTGGCCAACATGGTGAAACGCCATCTCTACCAAAAAAAAAAAAAAAAAGATACAAAAATTAGCCACGCGTGGTGGTGCACGCCTGTAGTCCCAAGCTACTCAGGAGCCTTAGGCACGACAATCGCTTGAAGCTGGGAGACAGAGACTGCAGTGAGCTGAGATTGCACCACTGTACTCCAGCCTGAGAGAAAGAGCAAGACTCTATCTCAAAAAAAAAAAAAGAAAGGTGACAAACTATGTATTTAAGTTCCCTTTACAGTATCACCTTTTTATAATATCATATTTCATTTAATCTAAAGTACATCCTTATTTTTTGTGCCACTAAGAAAGAAAAAAGCTATTAACTGATGACTCTCCCCACTGATTATAACATGGTTCTGATTTCAGAGACGTTCAAATGTGGAAAACCTGTACCTCCTGTAATTAATTAAACATGGCATTCAAAACGTTAATTTACCTGAGCCCCATCTCAGATCAATTCAACAAATTGCTCAGGGTAGGTCAAGGAATCTGTAGTTTGTTAAAGCTTCTCAGATGATTTTGGTTAAAGACTAAGTCAACTGTCAACCTTCAAAGGCAGCACAGTAGAGAAAGCACGCACTTTGGAGTCACATAGCCCCACACATCTCTGTGACCTACAGCAAATTCTGTTAATTGCCCACAACCTCAGCATCTCAGCTTTATCTGTTTAAAAACAAACAAACAAAAAACAGTCAATGCCACCGACTTCCTATGGTTGATAAAAGAGAACATATGTAAAGTACCTGGCATACAGCAAGATACGCTCTTCCTCCTCCTCCCTAAATTACAGGTGATCCCTAACTAGAGACTTGTGTGCTGTCTATTCCAGCTTAAAATTTATATAAGAATGAGAATGAGGCCGGGCAAGGTGGCTCACGCCTGTAATCCCAGCACTTTGAAAGGAGGCCAAGGTGGGTGGATCACCTGAGGTCAGGAGTTCAAGATTGGACTGGCCAACATGCTGAAATCCCATCTCTACCAAAAATACAAAAATTAGCTGGGAATGGTGGTGGACGCCTGTGATCCCAGCTACTCAGGAGGCTGAGGCAGGAGAATTGCTTGAACCCAGGAGGCAGAGGTTGCAGTGAGCCGAGATCATGCCATTACACTCCAGCCTGGGTGACAAGAGCAAAACTCCGTCTCAAAAAAAAAAAAAAGATAAGAATGAGACCTATGAAATCCACTCAGCATTATCACTGCTGAACACACAAAAAGAATCATTCAACAACTGTTTATTATGTAACTGAGCAATACACACACGTTTATTTTGGCACATTTTAAGAGGACCTTCACAAATGAATGCTGTTTAATAAAATTTTTATTAGAAAATATTGCACTTGATTTACATCAACAACGCACAAAAATGTATACCTTTAAGTGTGACATAATTTTAGAGTAGCTAATGGTTCTGTTTCATGTACAAGTTTTTGTTTTGCTTTAGGATGTGTAGCTGGCAAGATTTTTCAGAACATTGGCGTAACTGCATCAAAACACCAAAAGTAATGCTATGGAACTTCTCAACTCAGGTGCCTGAATAAATACTCACATGTTTGATTTGTCCCAAAAGTGATTCTTAAAATCCAAACAGCATTTTAGGCAGCACCTTTGGAATTGACCAGTCAACTCAGGATGTGACTCACAGGGGACAGGTTTAGCCATAATTGGATAGAGTTCTCTCACATGTGTAGCATGAGGAAAAAAAACAACCCTCAAACCCACAATTGCACAATGTCTCTGCCTGTCTCCCAATGAAGAACACATGGATTCAAATAAATACCAACTCCACCAAAACGCCTAGGGTTAAGGATTTGCTGCAGAGTGCTAACCTCCCAAAAACCCACCCAGGATCTGGGCCCTCTGGCAGGTTATGCCAGACTCATGGGCAGAGGACACCTTCAACCCTCCACCCCTCCTCCCCACCAAGCATGGGCTCTGAGATTTAGGAGAGAGGGGTGCTGGGAGGAGAGGAATACATGGTTCATCTCCTTTTTCTTTCCCTTGACCAACCACTTCTCCCAAAAGGAAAGGGTCCTTTGGTTCAGTTGCCCAAATCTGAAACCCTAGATTCCTCTGTGACTCCTCCCCTTTCTTTAGCCCTAAAGTCTCTTCTACTAAGTCTTCTCCAAACTCACCAAATTCCTCACAAATCCATCCCACCCCTTCAACTGCCTTAGTTGATCCCTCTTATCATCACAAGGTTGGCTCTATCTCATTTCCCAGATCCAGCATTTCATTCTCCAAAGCCATCCTTTTCACTGGGGCCAAAGTTATCTTCCCTATAACCCAGACCTGACTGCGCACTCTCCTAGTCTGCATTCTTTAGCAGCTCACTGAAGAATTCACCTGTAAGAGTTCAAATTCCTACTCTAACCTCAGCCTACCTTCCAGCTTTATCCTGTGGCGCTCCATGGCTTTGCTAATTTTTCACCTCAGCCACATTAGATTTTTCCTACCCCACAATTTCACACAGCTGCTTCCACCCTCTATGTCTTTGTTCACACTACTTTCTCAGCCTGGTATGAACTGCTCTTTTCTGCCTATCAAATTCATCCTTCAAGATGAGGCTCAAATGTCTTTTTTTTCCCTGGGACAAGTTTCCTAAACTCTCTAAGCCTGTCTCCCCTCCGCCCTTTCCACAGTCAAAAGTAAGTGCTCCTACAATAACTTATGTCAACCAGCAATATAACTCTTATCTCTGTTACAGTCATAAATGCAAGTCTCCCCTACAAAATTCTGAGATCTTCAGGGAAAGGAGTGTAATAATTTTGAATTGTCATTTTCTACCACAATATATGGTACTTGGTTTAGCTTCAAAAAAATTTTCTGGACTGATTTGGGACACAGTGATTTCAACTAGTATTGACTTGATTTTAAATAAAATGTGAACATTCTTGACTTTTCCAGAAGATATTTATTTTAAGAGGAGAAGCAAGTTATCCAAAGTTAATTTCTAACTGGTGGGAGATGGGGCCTCTTCCCAAAAGTCCCCCTGACCCCTATCACCACCACCACTGTTGGCATAACCAGTTTATACCATTCCCCACCCACCCACCAGCATGTTCTTCCCAAGCTTCTGGCACTGCCCAGCCATATGCCACCTTCACAGGCTCCGGAATTCCACAGAGCTCAGTACAATGAAAATTATCAATTAAAGAACATGGGAGGATGCAAGAATAATTAGCATAATAATAAAGACCACAAACAAGCACCTGTGGCAGGAGGCTTGCGGTTCTACTCTTTGAGTTTTTGGTTAATTGCACTCCTCCAGAGCTGATAAAGAGACAGTATGAATTCAGGTCTCAGGCAGGACTGAGTCAAGACCTGGCCTTCTACTCACTGTCCAAAAGGCCCTGAATCAGGGTCCTCATCAGTAAAATGCAGAAATGAATGCCTACATTGCAGCCTGTTATGCAAGTAACAGGCTTGTAAATGCAAGCGATGAACCAGGGCCCAGGAACACAGGAAGGCCAACCAGAGTTTAAAAGCTTCTGAAGCTTTCGGTGTTTCAGAACTTATACACTTCCATCAGGACCGTGTGCCCTACTACTACCAAAAAACCAGGCTAGTCATTAATACATACCTACTCTAAGATTATTGTTTTCTCATTTCTCTGTGTCACCCCAAAATTTCTATGTTGAAATCCTAACCACTAAGGGATGGTATTAGCAGGTAGGGCCCTTTGGGAGGTGATTAGCTCATAAGAGCAGTCCTCATGAATGGGATTAGAGCCCTTATAAAAAGACCCAGGGGAGCTCGTTTGCCCCTTCCACCATGTGAGAACACAGGGAGAAAGCAGTATCCATAAACCAGGAAGAGGGCTCTCAGCAGATATCAAATCTACCAAAGCCTTGATCCTGGACTTCCCAGCCTCCAAAACTGTGAGAAATAAATCTCTGTTGTTTACAATCCACCCAATTTATGGTACTTTGTTACAGCAGCCTGAGCAGACTAACACTCATCTATAAAATGGAAATGACAGTACATAACACAGGGATGACCTCTATGCCCCACACAGACAAAAGACAGCACTTTTAAAAGTGTCAACTACTACTACAACCACCATTAACTACTCGTAATATTGTTCATATAAAAAGACTGCCACACGTCATCTTCAATAGTTAAACCCAAACCCTAACTGCCATTTACACATTGTGGAATGACCATAATCCCTTACCTCCATTTCCTTCCAAAATTCCTCTAAAATGATAGTTTAAAAAAAAAAAATCACAAAGACATCAAACCATAAGGACAAACAGAAAAGGAAAGACAACATGCTTTTTTAAACAAACTTTTGCAAGATGGCAAAGTACTTGAAGGAATGGTCACTGCCCCTCAGGACCTCCAAGAGGCTCAGGTCTTGAGGCACCAAGGAGATGCCAAAGGCTGATGTGAGGCTTAGCCTAGACAAGGGGGGAGCCACCGAAAGAGGTGTTCAAAGCTTTTGGATCCCCAGTTCCAGCAGGAAACCCAAAGTTTTTTCTGAAGAAACTGAATCACAGTGACAGGAGAACTGTAGCCAGAAGTCGAAGGCTACAGCCTCCATCCCTCCCTCAGCCAGGTAACCCAAACCCTGGCAGCTGGCATATCACCAAGCATACCAGAGGCAGGAGATGATGATTTCTTCATTGTGAACACTGGCCCCAAACGAGATGTAAAGGTGTTGATATTCGGGGCAGACTCCCAATGAAAAGTCCACCTGAACTCACAAGTCACTAGACCACCAATACACACATGTTCTCTCCTCTGCAATCAGCTCCTCAGGATCTTTTTCTTCATTATAGACAGTCAAGGATCACCAGATATTTATGACTTAAACAAACAAAGAAAAGATCCCTGAAATGAATAACCACACTGGAGGAAACAGAAGAAATATTAAAAATATATTAAACACAAAGAAAAAATAAAAATACACACATCAGAGATAAGTAAAGATAATACATCCATAAAATAAGATGCAATGAAATGGAAACAGAAAAAGATTCTAAAATTTAAAAACATGATCATTAAAATTGAGAACCATTCCCCCCCTCCCACTCCTTCCAGTACAAAGAAATACGTAAGACATGAGATTAGTTAAGAAAATTTAAAGATCATTTGTAGTGGGTTCAACAACCAAACCAACAGACATCTCAGAAAGAAATACACACACACACACACACACACACACACACACACACACACAGAGAGAGAGAAAATAAAGGGTGGGAATTATTAAAAAAAAAAAAAGCATTTCTGAAAACTAAAAAGAGTCTCTAGATTGAAAGGACCCACTAAGGTAATACAAGAAAGAAAAGGAAGAAAGGAAGGAAAGAACCAACCAACCAACCACACAAAAACTTATAAAACTTCAGAATGCCAGAGAAAAAGAACCTGAGCTTCAAAAAAACAGAAAAAAAGAGGCATCAGAATGGCTTTGGACTTTTCATCAAAAACCCTTAAGACAGAAAACTGTGAATATGCCATCAAAATTATGAAAAAATGTATTTCTACTTAATATTTTAAATTCAGCCAAACCATCTATAAAGTATGAGGACAGGATAGATACATTCAGACATTCAAGGCCTCAAGTAATTTATCTCCCATCATTCCTTCCTAAGAAGCTACTGAGGATACATACATAGTAGCAAAATGAAGCAAACCAAGAAAAAGGAAGACAGGAGATCTAAAAAACAGAGGTTCCAAGACAGGAAAGAAGTAACAGGAAGTCCCAGAAAAAATAATCGTACTATCTAGATTGGAGCAAGAGGATGGAATGCTCCAGACCAAGAAGTCTCTAAGAGGAAACCAAGTGGCACTGATAGATGATTTAATGTGCTACCTGGAAAAAAAAAAAATCAAAAGGCATTTAACATACTTCTTGGAGTAGTTGAGGGAACACAGCCAAAGATAAATAGGTAACGAATCAAAACGCAATTTTGATAAAATGCAATTATTTGCTGTGGGAAAAACAAAAATGTATAAAAAAAATCATAAGTCACTATTTAGCAATACCTGTGTACACAATAATGTAAATACTGCTATTTTTACAAAAAAGTTACGTAACTACATTGGAGGATTTAAGAGAGAAATGAGAAAGAGCTCAGTTATGATACTAGAAAGTCAAAGACTTATTCTACATTGATTTAGAATGACGAAAGTAAAAAAAGAGGAAGAAAAAATAAACAGACCTAGCTGAGGTAGTAGCTACCCCTGGAAAGTAGAGCCTGAGGGATAAAAAAGACAAAAGCAAGAGCCTGCTGTGTTTGTCAAAAGTCTTTTAAGCCGGATGCGGTGGCTCACACCTGTAATCCCAGCACTTTGGGAGGCTGAGGTGGGTGATCACCTGAGGTTGGGGGTTTGAGAACAGCCTGACCAACATGGAGAAACCTCGTCTCTACTAAAAATACAAAATTAGCTGGGCATGGTAATGCGTGCCTGTAATCCCAACTACTGGGGAGGCTGAGGCAGGAGAATCGCTTGAACCTTGGAGGCAGAGGTTGCGGTGAGCTAAGATCATACCATTGGACTCCAGCCTGGGCAACAAGAGCGAAACTCCGTCTCAAAAAAAAAAAAAAGCCTTTTGGTTCTCTTAAAACTATATGCATATATTAACTGGATTAAAACAATTTATTCTCATATCAAGGGTAATTAGTTCAATTTATAAAGTTGTCACTATCAACTTCATTTATAAGTTTCTTACTTGGAACTCTAAACTGTCTTAAAAATATTATAAAATAATGGTTCGTTTCCTATGCCAGCGTTCAGAAGGCACAAAATCTGTAGTGATTCTAAAATACGGTGCAAAGCTACTATTCCAAGAAGCCTTAAGTACCATAACAGCTTCTGTGAGAGACTGCATTCTGAGAATTCGGAGTGCCTTGTACACATCTCAGTACACATCTCAGTCCTACCCACTTGGCTCTTCCCTACCTGGAGGAGCCAAGGAATTATTTTAAAGGTAGAATGTATGAGGGAGATGGGAAGGGATGGAAACAACGAACCTGAATCTGGCAGGATGGAGTGACTAGAGATCCTCTGTAACAGGTCAACCCTATTTGCACTAGAGAAAATACTACTAGAAGTCTCTCTCGCCCCCGGGGATAGACAAGGGAGTTAATTGAAACAATGCTTCCTACCCTCCCAGCAACAGCATTTCTGGGCATAAATTGGATGCTCATCAAACAGGAGCTTCCTCTGCTGCAAATACTGCTAAGAAAATTAGTTCCAGGCCAACCTTTGAATAAGGTAACAAATATATAACTCAAGTGCTAATTAGCAATGATTTATTTTCCACCATGACATAATCAAACTTCTACAGACAAAATCTTCATTTCATTCGATAAAACTTTGCAGCCTATGTCAACACTGTTTCATTTTTTTCAAAAATATGAACTAGGCCAGGTGCGGTGGCTCACACCTGTAATCCCAGCACTTTGGGAGGCCGAGGCGGGCAGATCACGAGCTCAGGAGTTCAAGACCAGCCTGACCAACATGGTGAAACCCTGTCTCTACTAAAAATACAAAAAATAGCCAGAAGTGGTCGCTACTTGGGAGGCTGAGGCAGGTGAATCACCTGAACCCAGGAAGCAGAGATTGCAGTGAGCCGAGATCACGCCACTGCACTCCAGCCTGGGTGACAAGAGCGAGACTCCGTCTAAAAAAAAATTAACTGTGTGACCTTGAGCAAGTTACTTTAAAACCCCACTTTCCTCATCTCTACAATAGGCATAATGCCACCTACCTCACTGGGCCCCGAGAAAATTAGAAGAAATTATGTGTATAAAGCATGTAGGGGCAGGTATATGGCAGGAATTCAATGTCAGTCCCTGGTTGTCTTCTGTCTCCTACCTACACCTCTGACTTTGTTTACCCATGTAAACAAAGTCACAAGCTATATAAGTGCTTTTAACCAAAAAGCCTTTACAAAACCATGCATAATACGTTAATATTTCTAAAATTAATGTGATATGAGTCGTCTTGTATTATTTTTCCTAAATCTTAGTCTTGTGTTCCAAGTACTACCCCAAGTAGAGTTTTAATTCAGCTAAACTACATTCAGCTAACTCAGCTAGACTAAGAAGGATTAAGAATGAGCACGACTTCATAAAAAGAGCATTCTTCTTTGGCTAAAAACTGCAAATCCGTACATGTAATGTCTAAAGAGTCTGCTTTCAGTAATTCCATTTCTACACTGAGTCAATCTCAACACACCTCAACAAAGTCTTATTACTTAAAAAAAAATAGAATACTGACAAATAATGGATGCAATAGAGAATAATTTTTCCCCTCAAACACTCAGAAGCACCACCTTCAGATGAAATAAAGATACTGCCATAATAACAAAAGAATGCAAACGTCTAGGTACCAAGGACTTCCTTTTTGGGGGGTCGTTCCTGTCAGATCTTCCTCTAAGGGGTCATTTCCAGAATCCACAAAGTCCTAACATAAGACCCCAGCAATTTTTCAAATTAATTCCCCAAACAACAAAGCTAAGCAAGTAAATGGAACCACAAACCGACCCAAGACTAAGTTCTTGTTTCCCTTCAAGATACTCAAAAGTAGGAGAGTGGCCCAGAAGTACAGAGTCAGTCCAAACTCCCAACACACCCAATGCAAAAACCAAAAAGGTATTGAAACTAAAAAGGTCTGCTACCTGGCGATTCATTCACTAAAAATATGCTTAGAATCTAAGCATATGCTCCAAATCTACGTCCCAAGAGTTGGAGGCTGCCACGAACATTTGGTGCCCTTATAACCTCCCCTTCTTTCTCTCTCGTTTTTTTTTTTTTTTTTTTTTTTTTTGTAAAAGGGTAAGCACAGAGCGTGGCCTCTACTGGAGCATCAAAACCACAGCAAAGGGTTTGCAAGTTCAGTCTAAAACGTGAATTTCGAGATATTCAAAATCGAGGGCCCTAGAGTGACACACATAGAAAGCGTCAAAAAAACTTCGTGCAGCAAGGAAAAAAAGTTGTAAGGGTGACTGACTCTTCTAGGGAGAAGGGCTAAGGAGGCAGTGAGGAGGATGGGATGGGGTGAATCTGGGTCTATCGCGGCGGGGCAGCGAGGGCGGCACGAAGGCTGACCCAGAGCTGGGGACCGGGCAGGGACCACACCTCCCAGCCAGCACGGCAGGCAGAGACCGGGCCGCGAGGCGAATCCGGGCGCGGGGGGCGGGGAGGGTACTCGCCCGAGGTCCACGGCTCGCAGACTGATCCGCCGGCGGCCGGAAGCTGCCCCAGCCGGCCCGACCTGCCCGCCCCGGCCTCGGCGGCCCCACTCACCGATCAGCCGGCGCACCTCGTCCTCGCTCAGGTAGAGACTCACGCTGGGCCCCGCGGAAGCCGACTGCAGCTCCGGGGGCCGCGGGGCGGGGGCGGCGGCAGCGCCAGGCGCGGGCAGCAGCGGCAACAGCGCAAGCAGAAGCAGCAGCGGCGGCGGCGGCGGGGCCCTCAGGCCGCGGGCCCCCGGGAGGCAACTCCGGCCCGGCCGCCCCAGCCGCGCCGCCCCACGCATGGCCGCCGCCGCCGCCGCCGAAGAGGAGCGTCGGCCGCCCGCCGCACCGCCGCCCACCCCCGGCCCCGAGCCGCTCACAGCCCCGAGCCGGGGGCGGCTGCCCAGCTCATCGCACCGCCGGCCCGTGGCAGCCAGCAGTGGCTTCAGACCTCCGGAGCGCGCCGCCGCCGCCGCCTCCTCGCTGCATCGTCCGGAGTTGGGGGCTGCCCGCGGGACGCGCCCGTGCGCGCCGCCGCCTCCCCGGGAGCGCGCACGCACCTTTCGCTCTGGGCGGGCCGGCCTGGGCAACGCGCTGGGGTTTTAAAGTGCCTCGGCGGGCGAAGGGCTCGGGTCACCCTCTCCGCAAGAGCCGGTCCCCGCCCCACGCGGTCACTGCGTCTAATGTTTGCTTGTCTATTGTCTGTAACCCTCCTTTCCCGACGGACGGGCCAGGCTGGAGCCACCGGCCGCGCCTGCAGCTCAGTGGGCGCCCCAGGTCCCCGGAAACGCCTGGATGCGGCCGTTCTGGTTGCGAAAAAGCAGCATGCTTTCCTGTTTAGTGGGAAAACTCAAATAAATAGAAATCATCCTTTATCTTACCATCGGTGATCAACTTTATCGTTTCCGTATCTATTATTAGAATTTATACTACATATATTTGTTTTCCAGAAAGATCTTAGCACGCTTTACTAACCCTATTTTTACGTTACAAAATTTTATTTATTTTTATATTTTTATTTATTTATTTTGAGACGAAGTCTTGCTCCGTCACCCAAGCTGGAGTGCACTGGCACGATCTCGGCTCACTGCAACCTCTGCCTCCTAGGTTCAAGCCATTCTCCTGCCTCAGCCTCCCGAGTAGCTGGGATTACAGGCGCCCGCAACCATGCCCGACTAATTTTTTTGTATTTTTAGTAGAGACGGGGTTTCACCATGTTGGCCGGGTTGGTCTCGAACTCCTGACCTCACGTGATCAACTGACCTCGGCCTCCCAAAGTGCTGGGATTACAGGTGTAAGCCACCGCGCCCTGCCAAATTGTTATTTTTTTTATAATCGTTCTGCATCACTATAATCAACCTGCCTTTGGGGTTGTTAATCTGTGGTCCATACCAGGCTTCGACAGCCTTCCAATAATATGAAACTGTGTGCAAAAGTGTATGTGTCTCCGTGCGTATTTGTGTCCACGTCCATGTTTCTGTGTGTTGTGTGTATGCTTGATTGCACACAGAGAGGTGGTATGTCATCATTTGTTCTAGGGAGTCCTTGTGCCCTCAAAGAGGTTAAGAACTGCAGATAGACCTCGTGTACTTAAAGGCGGTGGAGCCAGCCAGTGCATGGACTTCCGGGCCTCCTGATGTATTTTTGTGAGCCGCCCACCATCGCGGTCAAACTTGCACCAGTGCCCCCTCTCTTGGTGAGGCTCCAAGGGCCCCTGCCCTGTCCTGGGACACCTCGTCCCTGCGGACAGGCCCCCGTCCTGACCCCAAGGCTCTCGCGGGGCCGTGCCTCGGGGAGCAGCTGCTCTGACAGCTAGGCCTGGCTTCGGGGCACAGTTGCTCCATCGCAGTGAGGCCCTGGGAAGCGGTTATTTTTATCCTCAGGGAAGGGTAGGGAAAAGGAGAGGCTGATAAGGAGGGAAGTGCTGGAACTTGATTTTCTCCCTCCCTAGCAAGATACACGGATTCCATTTAGAGATAGGCTGGCCTCAATTTGTCAAGCTTCAGCGCCTCAGCACAAAATCTTACACCCTTCATCCTGCCGGAGGAGGCTGAGAAGAGGAAGAGGGGAGGAAAAGTGCTCCATCAGAGAAGGCTTTTAAGCCACAAAAGTCAGCAAAAATACTTCTGTTGGGACAGCCACTGCTACCAGGGTTCTGCCAGGAAGGGCTGGAGGCTCAAAACATGTTGTGTGAACAGGAATCTCAATTCAGATGGGAAGCATTTTTTTAAAGGATGGCATATTCTTTGCACTTTTAAAAAAGCTCACAGTCCTCAAAGAATGAAACTCCTAGCTTCTCGAGGTTCTTTAATTACTAGGTCTTGTCAGTGACTTCTTCAGGCGGCCTATGATGTAAACAGCAGAGAGCTCCCACTCAGGCCTGGCTGGGTTCTGGTACTTGTTAATCCTGTGGTCTTGGGAAAATTAAACTCTCCAAGCCTTGGTTCTCTCATTCATAAAAATCCCGGGATAATGCCCGACTCCCAGGGCTTTTACAGGATTTAATTGGAGAGGGATACAAGTAAAACATCTAGGCAGACGCTGGGTAGGTGTCACACCTGTTGTTATTGTAATTACAAGGAATCCTTTCCCTTTAATGACCACTTCCTGTGAAAGTTTCATCACCAGTTACCTCCAAACAGTTCAAACCTGGGACCCTCATGAACCTCATTCAATAGCACTGAGCCTGGCCCAGAGCCTGAGCTCGATGAAGACTCGTGCCAGGCATCACGCTAGGCACTGGGGACACAGGAGCGAGCAATGTGCTTCCTTGAGAACTTTGATAAACAAATGTTTTCATAAATTCTACAAAGACAAGTTCTCAAAGTGTGGCCCCCAGACCAGCAGTATCATCACCTGGGAACTTGTAATGTAAATTCCTTGGACACTGCCCATACTAACAGGTAGCAGCTCCAGGGCTGGGGCCCAACAATCTGTTTTCCCAAGCCTCCTGGTAATTCTGATGCTGCTGGTCACTCCATTAATATCTCAGCTCTCCTGTCTCTCTTTTGGTCAGCTGCAGTTGCCTGCTTTCTCCCTTACTCGCTCAGTCTGTTCCCAACACAGCAGACAGAGGCATTCTGTTAAACGTCAGCCTGATCATGTACTCTCTGGCTTTCAGACCACCAGTGGTTCCCCAACTCACCTAGAATAAAAGGCAAAGTCTTTCCAAGATGTCAAGGTAGTTCTCACTCTCCACCTTTCTCCCTTCCCTCTGACCTTATCTTCTGCTCACCGCCTACTCCCTTAGTTCCTGCCACACCACAAAGGCTTCCTTTCTGTTCTTCCAACAAACCAGACACAATCCTACCTCAGGGCCTTTGCACTGCTGTTCCCTGTCTCTGGAATGCTTCTGTCTGACACCCACATGGCTTCATCTCTTACCTCCTTCAAATCTATGCTCAGATGTTAACTTCTGAATAAGATTGCAAACTTCCCCACACTTTAATTAAACCCTTGGAGAAGGAATTGATTCCCAGTCTCTCTCTTGCTGTCTCTGCATGACACTTGGTCTCACACAAAGGTCTTCCCACAATCCCCAGCCCATCCTGAAGAGGAAGTTTCCTCTCCCTCCCCTAACAAGGTGTGGGTGGCAACTTCTGAAATTTCCCAAAAAGCCTCAGCATGAAAATGAGAAACCATGACCACAGCCTCCTGAGGTTTCTTTGCCTTGGGGAAATGAAAGCCACAGTCATCAACACAATCCACACATTGGCCCTCCACTCTTGGTTTTGTTTGTCACAGTGGTTGACCTTATTCTCCTCCTCCAGGAGACATATTTCAGCATGGCCAGGAAATACCATCAGCAGGACTTGTACTTTAAAAAGCCAGTCTTGGACTTGAGATGCCATGGGGTAGATGGGTAGATGGGAGCGTGGGGTCAAAGCTACACAGAGATGATGGGTGTTCCATGTTTGACCTCTGGTGTGGGCTGAGAATACCTGGTGCCCGCAAGGACAGACACCCAGAGACAACTCAGCAACATGGACCTGACCCAACCACTCAGCTGGGTGGGGGTGGGTGGTTGGAGAAGGGGTGGCTCCAAGTCCTGAAATCAGCCTCGTCTTTTGCCAGGAGCAGTTGGGAATGTGGCTCTCTCTATAAACCTTCTCCTTCCACAAGTAATATATTAAACCATTTGCACTGTAAAAGAGTCAAGCAGCACAGAAGTATGTGAAATAAAATATAAATATGTCCCTCCACACACACCCTCGTCTCTCTTACCCACTGCCCAGTTTGATGTATGTTCTGAGAGCCCTTTCTCTAGGCAGTTACTCACACATATATGGGTTTAAACACACAATTGTATGTGTGTGCTCTTTTTCAGCCTTATAGAAATGGACAACACAACAAAAAGTTGTGATCTACAGGATTTGCTTTTTTGACTGATCTAAGTAAGTTGAGATCTCGAGGATGTTCTCATGACAGGGCATACAGAGGCATCCCTGTGGTGTTCTTTTGGTTGGGATGAACTGATGGATTTTACCAGTTCTGGTAATACACATCAAATCCTTGCACATACATCTTTGTGCATATGTATAAATATTTAGAAGAACAGATTCTCTGAAATGGAATCTTCAAGTCCAAAGGAGTTATGTTTTAATTTTGATAGATTCTGCTGAATTGCCTTCCAAAAGATTTTACAAATATACATTTCCAAATGTGGCATAAATGAGAGACACAAGGTAATAGGCCAATGTTTTTCATTTTGCTGTTGACAGTCTAGTGAAAGAAAAATAGCTTATTGTTGTTTAATCTGCATTGCCCTCATCACTAGTGCGGTTAAGTATCTCATATACTTATTGCATATTCAAATTACTCTTTGAAATATCTGCCCACATATTCTATTTTTTAGTTAGCTTATTTGTCTTCTTATTGATTTATGGATGTTTTCTTTTACTGTATCCCTTGTCATTTAACTTTTCTTATGATGTTCTTTACTTAACTTAAATTTTGGATTTCTATTTTAGATAAATCTGACAATCTTTTCCTTTATGGCTTCCGCATTTTGTGTCTTTCAAAGGTCCCCCAATTAATACTTTTTGTATTTTGTACTTTTTTCTCTTAAAAAATAGCTCCTTAATCTATCTGGAATTTATGTTTATGTATGGCACATGATACAATTTTATTTTTTCCATATGGTTAACCATTTGTACCAAACACTAGTTATTACATTTACTGAATGTTCCTTAGTGGCCATATCTAACTTTAAACAAAACAGGAATTTCAGCCTGCTTTCACTTCCCTCTTTCTTCACATACCTTTCACATTGAGATCATGTAGTTCTACACTGGCCAGTATAGTAGGCACTAGCCACATGTGGCTATAAAGTACTTCAAATGTGGCTGGTAGGAATTGAGATGTGCTGTAAGTGCAAAGTACATGCCAGATATTGAAGACTTGGTATTAAAAAAAAAAAGAATGTAAAATATTTCATTGATAATTTTTATATTGGTTGAATGTTAGAGTGGTAATATTTTAGATATATTGTGTTAAAATATATTATTAAAATGTATTTCATATGTTTCTTTTACCTTTTTTGACTTTACTAGAAAATTATGTTTATGGCCTGACATTTCTATTGGGCAGTGCTGATCTAGATATTAGTTCCAGGTTGTTCAGCATTTCATTTTAAAAATTACATTTTTCATAGCACTTTAAACAATTGACAAATGGCATTAGCTACAGTAACTGAAACTAAAATAGGCAAGTGATCCTATGAGAAGTCACAGTATTATAGGGCATCTTCACTTGTCATAAGCATTTTTTTTAACCACAAACCTCAATGTTGAATTGTTTAGCTCAAATGTGCAGAATTTCATTCTCCCCAAGGTGAAAAAGAAATTCGGCAAAAATGATGTCTATCATCAAAGTAAATTTTATATTGGCATGTGAAATATGAAAAACATTCCTTATTCAGTGTCTTGGGCTGAAAGCCTGGAGAAGCCTCTTTATTATCCTACAAGGGAGCCAGGGATCTTTGCTAAGTTGGAAGAAAGTGAGCATCTCACAAAAGAATCAGGGTGGCCACCAGAACCTTGTAATGGGGATGCACAATGTGGGGCCAAAGTGAAGAGACTTCCTTGGGCTGAGGGGACTTAAGAATCTAAAGAATGGGTCATGCAGGTGATGGACACAAATTGTCCCCTGAAATCTGTTCTCTCCTTTGTCCATACTCATAGAATTTTTGCTGTGCTAGTTTCACAGCCTTCCCTGTACTTCACTAAATTCTTTCGAGTAGAATGTGAGCAAAAGTGATACGCGCAGCTTCTGCTTCCTCACTTTCTGTGTGAGTGGCGATGGTTCACCTTGATTGCGGAGGTAAGCAGGGTGCTTCGAGGGAGAAGAGCAACATGGTGGACGAGCTCAGAAGCCTCTGGGGCCACATGAGCACAACCTACTGTCAGCTGAGACTGGCCGGACTCTTATGTGACAGAGAAATAAACTTTTATCTTATTAAATCCATTTGGAGGTCTCTTTGTTACAATGGCTTTGTCTTAACCTAATTTAATGTATTTAGTCTGGCCTCTCAGAAGACAGGACCTTATTCCTGGAGAAAACCTAGGTGATGTTCTTTTAAATTGTGAGGAGGTCTCCACAGTTGAGGAAAAGGTACAACTGATCGAGGGCGACATCATCATCAGTTTTTTGTTGCTGCTGTAACAAATTACTACAGTCCTCATGGTAATAAGTAAGAGCTTATTCTAACACAAGCAGTAAGCCAGATTTCACCAACCTTCCTATCGTGACAGCATATTTCTCTTTTTTCTGTAATTTATTTTGTGTATTTATCTATTTACTTTTGAAATTTCTGCTCAGAAGCTTTTAGGTCTTCCACAACTGATAATTTCTCTTTGTTTCATTCTCATATTGGTTTCAAGTCACCTACATTTGCAGAGTCATGTCTTTCTGCTTAGAGAACATTAAATGTTTCTGTTTTATGTCATAATACGTTTCAGGCATTTTCCTTTTTTGTTGTTGTTGTTTTTGTTTTTTGTTTTTGTTTTTTTTTTTTTTTGAGACGGTCTCACTCTGTCGCCCAGGCTGGAGTGCAGTGGCGCGATCTCGGCTTACTGCAAGCTCCGCCTCCCGGATTCATGCCATTCTCCTGCCTCAGCCTCCTGAGTAGCTGGGACTACAGGTGCCTGCCACCACACCCGGCTAACTTTCTGTATTTTTAGTAGAGACGGGGTTTCACCGTGTTAGCCAGGATGGTCTCCATCTCCTGACCTCGTGATCCGCCTGCCTGGGCCTCCCAAAGTGCTGGGATTACAGGCGTGAGCCACCGCATCTGGCCCAGGCATTTTCTTTGTTTAAAAAATTAGGGCTTTTTGTTGTTGTTGTTGTTGTTTGTGTTTTTGTTTGTTTGTTTTTGAGGCAGTGCCTGACTCTATCGCCCAGGCTGGAGTGCAGTGGCGCCATCTCAGCTCACTGCAAGCTCTGCCTCCTGGGTTCAAGCAGTTATCTGCCTCACCCTGCTGAGTAGCTAGGTTTACAGGTGCCCGCCACCAAGCCTGGTTAATTTTTGTATTTTTAGTAGAGACAGGGTTTTACCATCTTGGCCAGGCTGGTCTTGAACTCCTGACCTTGTGATCCACCTGCCTCAGCCTCCCAAAGTGCTGGGATTACAGGCATGAGCCACCGCGCCTGGCCTGTTAATTTTTAACAAAATTATATACAAATATAGTTTAAAGAGTCAAATAGTTTGTTTTGTTGTTGGTTTATTTATTTATTTATTTATTTTTTGAGATGGAGTTTTGCTCTTGTTGCCCAGGCTGGCGTGCAATGGTATGATCTCAGCTCACTGCAACCTCTGCCTCTCCGGTTCAAGCGATTCTCATGCCTCAGCCTCCCAAGTAGCTGGGATTACAGGCATGTATCACCATGCCCAGCTTTTTTAGAAGAGTTGGGGGTTTCTTTTTCTTTTTTTTTTTTTTGAGATGGAGTCCCGCTCTGTTGCCCAGGCTGGAGTGCAGTGGCGCGATATCGGCTCACTGCAAGCTTCGCCTCCCGGGTTCACGCCATTCTCCTGCCTCAGCCTCCCGAGTAGCTGGGACTACAGGCGCCCGCCAACACGCTGGGCTAATTTTTTGTATTTTTAGTAGAGACAGGGTTTCACCGTTTTAGCCACGATGATCTCTATCTCCTGACTCTCTATCCGCCTGCCTCAGCCTCCCGAAGTGCTGGGATTACAGGCGTGAGCCACCGGGCCCGGCCCCCAAGAGACGGGGTTTCACCATGTTGGTCAGGCTGGTCTCAAACTCCTGACCTCAGGTGATATGCCTGCCTCGGCCTCCCAAAGTGCTTGGATTACAGGTGTGAGCCACCATTCCACAAGGCATATTACCAAGAAACAACATTACCACTTGTTCTCCATTCTCACCTGGCAGCTGCTTTAAACCCCTTTAGCTGTTTATTGACTTCTATCACTTGAAATAATATGTTTATATGACCGACCTGTTGGTTTTTCTATTTTGGGCATTATGTATTAAAATGATTTGCTCCTTCAGAAAACTATGTATATTTTGCTCTCTTTTATACCCTCCAAAATACCACACACATATAACTGCCTGTTCTTACTACCATCATACCATAAACACTGTTTATATAGTTATGACTGTGTAAATGCTATTCATAGCTTAGCCATGTGACAATAATTTTTCCTTTCTTGCACAGCCCTTTTCCCCACTAAAGTTAGCATGTAGTTCACTTGCTTAGGTTTCTACGTATTCATCAATAATTCATGCCCAAACTCATCCCTCGGTTGTTTAAAACTTCTCTCAATGTATTCAAACACATCAGCTGATCCATCAGTTTCATCATCTTGGACATTTGGATTAATTATTCCCTAGATGCTGTAAAGTCATCATCTTGCAATGTTCCATCATGCAGGGACCTCCCTGTGTAACTCTTTTTAGATTCCCTGTTTCCTGGATAGCGTCCTTTTTCTTGATTTGCCTTCTTTATATAGTGGGCACTTCTTCCAGCACTTCCCTAAGAAAGTATACATGGAAGATAAGTATTTTGAGAGTTTGCATATTTGAAAGTCTTTATTCCAAACATCTTTATAAACACTTTATTCATAATACTGACTAAGCATAGAATTGTATGTTAAAAATAACATTTCCTTAGAATTTCAAAGGTATTTTTACATCGTCTTCTGCCTTTCAGTGTAACTTTTGGAAAGTCAGATGCCATTATGATTCTTGACCCTTTGTATAAAACCTTCTCTCCCACTCTCCTTTTCCTCCCCTTGCCCTCTGCCCTCTGGAAAATTTTGGAATACTTTATTCCTGATATTCTGAAAGTTTTTAATGTGTACCTTGATGTGTTTCTATTTTAATCAGTTGTCTAGAGTATTTTGTGGATCCTTTGAATCTGCAAACACTGGCTATTCAGTTCTGGGATGTTTTCTTGAATTATGTCCTTGATGATATCCCCACTCTGTTTTCCATCTTCTTTCTAAAATTCCTATATTCTGGCTGTTAAAGCATCTCTTTGCTAATCTTTCTAACTAATTTCTTTAATTTTATCTTATAACTCTGCTCGAATTTTTCATTTCCCAGAGCTTGTTTGTTCTCTTAAATGTCCTTTTTAATGGTGTGTATGTGTATATATATATATATATATATATATATATATATATATATATTTTTTTTTTTTTTTTTTTTTTTGAGATGGAATCTCGCTCTGTCACCAGGCTGGAGTACAGTGGCACAATCTCAGCTCACTGCAACCTCCACCTCCCAGGTTCAATTGATTCTCCTGCCTCAGCCTCCCAAGTAGCTGGGACAACAGGCGCCCGCCACCATGCCCGGCTAATTTTTGTATTAGTAGAGACGGGGTTTCACCATGTTGGCCGGGATGGTCTTGATCTCTTGACCTCGTGATCCACTCGCCTCGGCTTCCCAAAGTGCGGGAATTACACGCGTAAGCCACTGCGCCAGGCCTAATGGTATATTCTTGCTTCATAATAATTATCTTCTCTTACAGCTCTGATAGTAATAATATATTTTTAAAACACTTCTTAAAAACTTTTGAAAAAGTTTTATTTCTCTGTATAGTTTTAATTTTTCCGTTTTCTTTTGTTTGTTTTTAATCTTAGTCTTTATTGTTAGACCAGTTCCTGAAATCATCCTTGCCTGGTTGCTCATTGAAGAGAGGAGCACTAAAAATTGAATTGGAAACTGTATAGATATGGATGGAATCTGTTGACTATGAAATTCTCAGTGGCTCATCTGGCCACTTATTTAGGAATCCCCAATGTCCATATCTTTCCACGTATCTTTTGGGCTGGTCTAATTTCCCACGGAATATTTTCCCCATCTCTTGACCAAAGAGTACAGGCCCAACTAACAGCATTCCAGCAGCCAAGGGAAAAGAAGGACCCATAATCCTAAAATCAATATGTAGATAGAATATCTCAAAATCTTCCTATTTTTAATATGGTACTCTTGCCTTCAACTTAACCCTTAGTTTTATCCTCTCCAATATTTAAAACTCCAGTACTTTGCCAGATTTGGGGAGGTGGTGTGAGACATCTTGCTGTGCTGAGTTGGGGAGGTGTCTTAGTCCATTTAGTGTTGCTGTAACAGAATATCTGAGACTGGATAGTTTACGAAGAAAAGAGGTTTATTTGGCTCATTATTCTGGTGGCTGGAAAGTTCAAGATTGGGCATCTGCATCTGGTGAGGACCTGAAGTCGTTTCAACAGTGGAAAGTAGAAGAGGAGCCAGCATGTGCAAAAGGGTCACATGGCAAGAGAGGAAGCAAGTGGGGGTAGGTGCCAGACTCTTTTTAGCAACCAGAACTTGAAAGAACTAACAGAGAAAGAATTCACCCCCAGGGAGGGCATCAATCTATTCATGAGGGATCTGCCCCCATGACCCAAATGCCTCTCACCAGGTGCCACTACCCAACCTTGCAACATCAGGAGTCAAATTTCAACATGAGGTTTGTAGGGGACAAACATGCAAACTATAGCAGGAAGGTATCTGGAGGTTTAACAACCTTTTAGCTCTTTAATCTATTTAAACAACTCTCTTATTTTCAATACCATCTTCATTTTCACTTGCAAAGTTAACTGGTTCCACCAATTCCTGAGTCTTTTGGATGGATTCTCTGCTTTCCCTATTTCTGCCTTAGAATTCCTCTTTCTCAGATCAGCAAAATAAGTTACTACATGTCCTGCTTTCCAGCTTTGAACATCTTCCTGCTATTGTCTCCTCTGCCATATTTTTTGTCCTTGTTTGTTTATGCCTTTAAAAAATCTCTTAATGGTGGTTTTAAAGGGATTTTAGAAGTGATTGTAGATTAATGCATGTTCTTGCTCTACTATCTTTAATCAGAAGCTTCTGTATTTGCTTTCTGTGTTAGTCAGCTCAGGCTGCCGTAACAGAAGACTATAGACTAGCTGACTTAAACAACAGAAATTTATTTTCTCACAGTTCTGGAGGCTAGAAGTCCAAGATCAAGGTGCTGCCAAGATGGGTTTCTGGTGAGGCCTCTCTTCCTGGCTTGTAGACAGCCACCTTCTTGCTCTGCCCTCACATGACCTCTACTCTGTGTCCCCACAGAAAAAGAGAAATCTCTGGTGTCGCTTCCTTTTCTTTTAAGAATAGAAGTTCAATTGGATTAGGGCCCCCACTATTCTGATCTTATTTAACCTTAATCACTCCCCTAAAAAGCTCTGCCTCCAAGCACATAGTCACATTGGGGGTTAGAGCTTCAACAAATGAATTATGGAGGGACACAATTCAGTCCATTACACTTTTCATTATAACTTTCTGGTGAATATAGCAAAGAGGTTCATATTGCAACTTTTCAATTGTTCTTCCTCTTGTACCTAGCTGACATCTCATTATTCAGTTAGCATTGGAAATGGTTTCTAATCACTTTCTGTTAGAGTTAATGGAGTTTGTTTGTTTGTCCATCATCTTTGAGTTGTTAATTTTTTTTACTCTGGGGATCCTCCAGTTCTTCTAATTGTGGAATACAATTAGTCCATATTTCAATTTCATTCTCTTCTTCTAAGCCTTTAGGATTTCAGCTATTACATGATTAATTCACTGAGTGCAGTATGTCACTTCGTCATGTCTCCTGGTTTCTATAGTAAGTGTTCAGTACTCTTAAGTCTAATGTTTTCTTTGAGGCATTGGAAGTCAGACTTCTTTTTTTCCCCCAAATACTTTAGCTTCATTAGCTCATATTTTCTTTCTGAAAGTTTTTAAAATTCCTCATAGAAACAGACAGGTTTCCATAGTTTTCTAGCTTCTCAAGTTGATACATACGTAAACTTAATTGATATATAATTTGCATGCCACAATTCACCTAAAGTTAACAATTCTATGAGTTTTAGTATACTTATAGAGCTGTGCAACCACTATCACAATTCATTTTAGAACAGATCAGTACACCTTTCTAGGAATTCTTTAGTTGAAACTACTGAACTTTCCACAGCTCTGAGACATGGTAGTTCTGTTTTTGTCTCTAGGTCAAATTCTAAGGCTGGGCATGGTGGCTCATGCCTGTAATCCCAGCACTTTGGGAGGCCGAGGCGGGCGGATCACCTGAGGTCAGGAGTTTGAAACCAACCTGGCCAACATGGTGAAAACCCGTCTTTATTAAAAATACAAAAATTAGCCAGGCGTGATGGTGGGCATCTGTAATCCCAGCTACTCGGGAGGCTGAGGCAGGAGAATCGCTTGAACCCAGGAGGCAGAGGTTGCAGTGAGCCGAGATCATGCCAGTACACTCCAGCCTGGGTGACAGACCAAGACTCCGTCTTAAAAAAAAAAAAAATTCTAAAAGCTTCACAGATACTAGCTTTGGGCTCAGATATCAATCTTTAGAAAGTTGGCCGGGCATGGTGGCTCACGCCTGTAATCCCAGCACTTTGGGAGGCGAGGCGGGCAGATCACGAGGTCAGGAGATCAAGACCATCCTGGCTAACACAGTGAAACCCCGTCTCTACTAAAAATACAAAAAAATTAGCCAGGCGTGGTCGTGGGCGCCTGTAGTCCCAGCTTCTCGGGAGGCTGAGGCAGGAGAATGGCGTGAACCCAGGAGGCGGAGCTTGCAGTGAGCCGAGATCCTGCCACTGCACTCCAGCCTGGGCAACAGTGCGAGACTCCATCTCAAAAACAAAACAAAACAAAACAAACAAAACAAAAAAATTAGCCGGGCGTAGTGGCGGGCGCCTGTAGTCCCAGCTACTCAGGAGGCTGAGGCAGGAGAATGGCGTGAACCCGGGAGGCGGAACTTGCAGTGAGCGGAGATCGCGCCACCGCACTCCAGCGTGGGCGACAGAGTGAGACTCCGTCTCAAAAAAAAAAAAAAAAAAAAAAAAAAAAAAAAAAGAAATTTGTTAAAGCTAGATTAATGGTGTAGCATGTCGTTTAATTCTCATAAATGTTTCATGTGAAAAGTATATATGCTCTACAATAGTTGAGAGCGAAGTTCTGTGTAATGTGCATTACTTCAACCCCTCAACCTTTTTATTGTGTTGATCAAATGTTCCTTCTTTTTACTCTTCTGTTTTTGCCTGATCTCTTACTGTGACAACTGTATGCAAATTTCTCCTTAAGATAATAGATTTATCTGTTTCTTCCTGTAGTTCCGTCAGTTTGAGCTTTATGTATTTTGGAACTATATTATTAGTGACATGGAAATTTTAAAGTGATATGTCTTCTGGAAATTTTGAGCTGTTTATTCTTATGTATGACTCATTTTATCTCCATTGATGCTTTTTGCCTAGAGTCTATTTTGTCTAAAATTAATAAAGCCATACCAGCTTGCCAGCTTTCTTCTTGTTAGCATTTGCCTGTATATCATTTTACATCCTGTCAGCTTCAACATTTCTGTGTCCCAATGTGTTAAGTGTGGATTTTGTTTTATTACATATGACAATATTTGTCTTTAACTTGAGAATTTAGTTCACTACATTACTGGAGCTACAGGTATATTTGGATTTATTTCAACTATTTCATTACAAATTTTCTATTTTCTTTCTTATGCTATTCTCCTCCCATGCCCCCAACCAATTTTTGCCTTCTTTTGGATTGATTTTCCTTCTCATTTTACTTTTTTGTCTCTACTTTTTTTGGAAGTCGTATGCTTTATGGCTGTTCTTTTAATGATTGTTCTGGTTATATTAAACTCATACTTAACCAGGTCTAAATTTAATCCATATATTTACCCTTCTCCTGAAGAACGTGAGAACATTAAAACACTTTATGATCACCCCCACCCCCACTCATTTGCTCTTATTGTCAACAATTTTAGTTCTAGCCTATGCCTACATGCACAAAAGTTTAATGCTACTATTGTTACTTGATTTTGTCAGTGCTTGCTTAGTTACACTTACAACCATTCCTTTTCGTATCTCAGAACTTCCAACTGGAATCATTTACCTTTTGCCTGAAGTTCATCTTTTAAATTTTCCTTTATGGTGATCTTTTGTGGTAAAATCTCTCTGCTTTTATTTGAGTAGAAATGCCTTATCTTATTCTAAAGGAAAAATAGTTTTGCTCATTACAGAATTCAGAGTTGCTAGAACATAGATGATATTTCACTGTCTTCTGGTTTCCATTATTCCTTCTGAAAAATTAATTGTAACTCTAACTGCCACTTTGATCACCTTGATACATTATCTGCCTCTTGTTTTTTTTTTTTTCTTTTTTTTTGAGACAGAGTCTTGCTCTGTCACCAGGCTGGAGTGCAGTGGGACGATCTCGGCTCACTGCAGCCTCCACCTCCTGGGTTCAAGTGATTCTCCTGGCTCAGCCTCCCTAGTAGCTGGGATTACAGGCACCCACCACCATGCCCAACTAATTTTTTGTATTTTAAGTAGAGATGGGGTTTCTCCATGTTGGCCAGCCTGGTCTCAAACTTGTGACCTCAAGTGATCCGCCCACCTCAGCCTCCCAAAGTGCTGGGATTACAGGCGTGAGCCACCATGCCTGGCCTCCTTATGGGTTTTTAAAAGGTTTTTTAAACTGATGTCTACAGTTTCTCTGGCATGTATGAAAGTGGAGTTATTGAGATTTCCGGAACTGGTGTCTTTCAGAAATTCCAGGAAATTCTCAGTTTCATTTGTAAAATCAAGGAGAGAAAGAAAGGAAGAAAGAAAGAGAGAGCGAGAAAGAAAGAGAGAGGGAGGGAGGGAAGGAAGGAAGGAAGGGAGGGAGGGAGGGAGGAAGGAAGGAAGACATTACTCTGAACTGTTTGAGAATAGGTTGCATACATCAAGCCTAAATACTTCATTGTGTATTTCATAAGAACAAGGACATTCTCTTTTATAACCCTAGTGCCATTATCAAAATTAAGACAGTTAACATTGATATAATACTGTTTTCTAATCCACAGTTCACATTCAGATTTCATTAATTGTCCCAATAAAGTTTTTATAGCTGTTTTTTTCCTGGTCCAAGATCCAATCCAGGATCATAAATTGCATTTATTTGTCATATCTTTTTAGTCGCCTTTAATCTGAAAGAGTTTCTTAGCCTTTCTTTTGCTTGAATTTCTTGCCCTTGACCAGTTATTGTATAGAATGTTGCTCAATCCGTGTTACCTCATGTTTCCTTGTGATTAGATTCAGGTTATACATTTTGGCAGGAATATTGTAGAATTGCTATTTTCTTCTCAGTGAATCATGCGTTATTGGCTTGGCCCGTTACTGTGATGTTAACTTTAAATACTTGTTTAAGGTGTTCTCCGATACATTTCCTCACTGTAAAGTTATTTTCCCTTGTAATTAACAAGAAATTTGGGGGGAGATACTTTGAGATTATATAAATCTCCTGTTCCTCACCAAACTTTTATCTACTAGTTTGATTACCTACTGATGATTTTTTAACTTTCTGATTTCTTCCATATTTAGTTGGCATTTAACCATAAGGGAGAACTTTCCGTTTTCTTCCATTTATTGATATATTTATATCAACTGAATTCATGGATTATTTTATTTGGTGGATTGTAATCCATTACTATCATTATATATATTTTTATGTTTGAATTGTCTCAGATTTGGCCAGTGGGTCCCCTTGCAGCTGATTCTTGGGTCCTTTTGATATGTCTCTAGCATTCACTGAGCATTTTCTTACTTTTTAGGAAAACAAAATATTTTTATCTCCTCTTGCACTTTTCTGCCCCAGCCCTGGAGTCATTTTTTCTTAGCAGCCCTAGTTCCTTTTCATAGAGAATGGTCTTTAGAAACCAAGATTTGGGAACTAGGTGTGCTCATTGTATATTGTTTGCAGGTCCTTTCAGGAGACAAAGCAGGGAAACAAATGTATTTATGTATGTATATGTCTGTGTATGTATGTACACATATACATACATACATCTGTAACATCCATGAGTTCACATCAGTACTTCTGATTCCAGTGCCACACAATTCCTTCCTCATTTCCTATTTGTAACTCAAAAACCGGGCTCCCATTATCCTCAATGGATCGGCTTATTTGCTTGATCCTTCCATAGGTAAACAAACTTCTGGCCCTACCTACTGAAAGTTCAGCCCAGGCACACCAATCTCTACCCCCACTTTCACCTGCAGGCATGTCAGTCAAAAGCTCTGCCTCCATGAAGGGGAAAGGAAAGAAGGAAAGGCCAGTTAGAAAGCTTGGCCCCTCATACACCAACCCCCACCTCCTGGGCACATTGGCTAAAATCTCAGTGACTAATTCACTTTTTTTTTTTGAGACAGAGTTTCATTCTTGTCGCCCAGGCTGTAGTGTGATGGTGAGATCTCGGCTTACCGCAACCTCCACCTTCCCAGTTCAAGCGATTCTCCTGCATTAGCTTCCCAGGTAGCTGGGACTACAGGTGTGTGCCACCATGCCCAGCTGATTTTTGTATTTTTAGTAGAGACAGGGTTTCACCATGTTGGCCAGGATGGTCTCGATCTCTTGACCTAATGATCCACCCGCCTCAGCCTCCCAAAGTGCTGGGATTACAGGCATGAGCCACTGCGCCTGGCCCACTTTTTAATCTATTATATGGTTCATTCATCTTTCTCATTTATAAATTTGCCATACATTGATTTTCATTTCTATATTCTCAAATTTTTGCTTCTCTACTGCAGCCAGTTCTTGCTTTTTAAAAACAATAATACAGTATTGAACATGTATTGAGTACTTATTATTACCTCATTACTGAGGTTTGTTTTCTCATGATTATCTCATTTAAGTTTTAAAATAATCCTATGAGATTGGTATTATTCAAATTCCCACTTTACAGATTAGAAAACTGAGGCACAACTTTCCCCAGTGCTATCCATACATCTCAGAGCAGGATAGAAATCAAAATTGATTTCAGGCAGTTTGTTTCCTGAGCCCATGTTCTTAACCATTCTGAAGCAATTGATTAGAGATATTTGAACTCTTCTCTTTGCTCTTAACTCTTTCCTCAGACATCAGTCTTTCTGTTTGTTAGTCTGCTGTTCTCTTTTAGGGTATCGGTTTTCCTCAGATACTTCCTGACTATTGATCATCTGCTCATCCTTGTTTTTATGATGCCATATTGGTTTTTGCGGATGGTGGTGAGATTGTACCTCTGCTGAGTGTGGAAACCTCTACTAGCTTATCTTTTGCCATGAGGTTTTTCTTGTCTATCCTGGGGGTGACTTGTTGCCAGGACATCACTCTGCATCTCTGGCCTCAGTACCCAAGTCACTGCTTTACCCTGGAGACAACACTGCTGCTAACCCTTGCTCGGCACAAGAGGAGCAGAGAAAAGGGTTTCACATGGCCTGTTGCTCCAAATTGCATATCCCAGTGGTTGCCCCAGGGTACCATCCCTTTTTTTGGGTCCATTGACTCTGAACTAGGAGCTGTTCCAGAACAACTTCCATTCCAAAAGCAGGACTGAGGGTATTTTAGGCTGTGGTTTTCTCTGATCTTTCTTCTCTGTTAACTTGATACCATCTGTTTTCTGTCTTTTAGAGGATGTCTTCATTTTTCTAATTCATTTATAGGAAATAAAATACTCCTGCATGACAAAACAACCATAAACAAAGTCAAAAAACAAGAGGCAAACTGAGAGAAAAATCTTTGCATTTCTTGTCCCAGTCAAAGCTCTGTGCTGTATCAAGAAATGCACTGCCTCTTCCTCCTCCTCCTTCTTTTCCTTCTATACCTCTTCTCCATTCTCCCCTTTCTTTAAATGTTGTCCACTTTGTAGAATTTGGTGCCGGGGGGAGGAAAAGTAGATATGGGCACCTAGTTTGCTACCTGGTTCCGTTCTCATGTCTTTAATTCTTAATCTCTAGTGGACACTATAATATTCAAAATAGCATAAGCCTTTTTCATTAGTGACGATTCTCCCCTGAAACAGATCAATAGGAGATAGAGGTTCATTTCAAGGAATTGGCTCATGCAGTTGTGGAAACTGGCAAGGGCAAAATGTGTAGGGCAGGCTTGCAGGCTAGAAATTCAGAGAATAGTTGATGTTGCTGTCTTGAGTCTGAGTCTGCAGGCTATAAGTTCAGGCAGAGTTTCTGTCTTGCAGTTTTGAGACAGAATTGGTTCTTCTTTTGGAAACCCCAGTTTTGGCTGTTAAGGTCTTCGGTTGATTAGATTGAGGCCCACCCACATTATCGAAAGTAATCTGCTTTACTCAAAGTCTGCAGATTTAAATGTTAATCACATCTTTAAAATACTTCAACAGCACATCTAGACTGGTGTTTGACAAAACAATGGGGCACCCTAGCCTCGCCAAGTCAACACATATAATTAACCATCACATGGGCCAGGCGCAGTAGCTCATGCCTGTAATCCCAGCATTTTGGGAGGCAGAGGCGGGCAGATCACTTGATGTCAGGAGTTCGAGACCAGCCTGGCCAATATGGTGAAACCCCATCTCTACTAAAAATATAAAAATTAGCAGGGCATGGTGGTGGGTGCCTGTAATCTCAGCTACTAGGGAGGCTGAGGCAGGAGAATCACTTGAACCCAGGAGGCAGAGGTTGCAGTGAGCTGAGATTGTGCCACTGTGCTCTAGCCTGGATGACAGTGGGAGACCCCATCCCCCCCCAAAAAAAATTAAATAATAATAATAATAATTAGCCATCACAGCCAGCCTTTCTATTCTTTTCCTTTTTACTGGTCATGATTATTTATGTTATGTATTGTTGTGGATGTCAAGTGAGTTTATAGCATGTTGACTCCTGTGCTCAGCTACACAATACTTCCCAGGCATCTGTGCTATTATAGTGATCACATTAGAGTCATTCTTACTCATGTGTCAGAATCACTCCAAGGTTTTTTCAACCCCATGTGGAGAGAAGCTCCATAGGGAGAAGGGTCTTATTGGAGTGAATTTCCCTCCCCTGACTTCATTGCTTTACCAAATTTGTCTCTAACATTTTCCTATCTTTTACTGCAAATATAATCATAGCAAATATAATGGCCTTGCTTGTGTATTTGGTGTATTTGTAACATGATACATTCTTGAGAAAAATCTTTTTTTTTTTTTTTTTTTTTTTTGAGACCAAGTCTCGCTCTGTTGCCCAGGCTGGAGTCCAGTGGCGTGATCTCAGCTCACTACAACCTCTGTCTCCCAGGTTCAAACGATTCCCATGCCTCAGCCTCCTGAGTAGCTGGGACTACAGATGCATGCTGCCACACCTGGCTAATTTTTGTATTTTTAGTAGAGACAGGGTTTCACCAGGTTGGCCAGGCTGGTCTGGAACTGCTGACTTCAGTGATCCACCCACCTCAGCCTCCCAAAGTGCTGGGATTACAGGTGTGAGCTACTGCGCCCAGCTGTTTTTTTTTGTTTCGTTTTGTTTTTTTTTTTTTTTATGGAACTATTAGGAGTGCCTGCTGTGGATTCATTAGCCAAAGAAAGATGAGGCATTTTTCCTCCCGATTCAAGGGGGTATGTAGCTCATGCTCTCCTTAAATGTGTAAGGTCAACCTGGCTCCCCAAAACCCAGAAGATCATTATTAGACACATGGTCTCAGAGCTTGGTTAAAGAAGCTAAATTGGATGAATTGGGAGTGGGAGCGGGCCCGAAGTTTGGGCTTCCAGGGAAGGAGGGATGTATCCAGCTGCCAAGAAAACTTCACTGAGGCTGGGAAGAGGAGTACCTCAGATACTGTAAGGAGGCTAGATGTCTGTGGACACCAACTAGTGGCCCTGGTTACCACAGGGGTCTCTGTAGCTGATGCCTGTCTGTGATGAAACCCCTGGGAGGGCCATTTTGGCGTCCTGCCTGGAATGGCAGTGCTGGTCCAAGCTGGAGTCCAAATTTGCACAGGAGTTACACTAGTGGTTCTCTTGGGTATCCACCATGACCAGAGTTGGCTCTTCCCCAGTTGTTCTGGACTAGACAAGCCCCAGATGCTTGTATGACCTGAAGGAAGGGGTAAGAATCACCGAAAATGGGCGGGGGGTGGGTGGCTCAGGCCTGTAATCTCAGCACTTTGGGAGGTCAAGGTGGGCGGATCACTTGAGGTCCGGAGTTTGAGACCAGCCTGGCCAGCACAGTGAAACCCCGTTTCTACTAAAAATACAAAAAATTAGCCGCCATGGTGTGCCCTGGTAATCCTAGCTACTTGGGAGGCTGAGGCATGAAAATCACTTGGGAGATGGAGGTTGTAGTGAGCCATGATTGAACCATTGCACTCCAGCCTGGGTGACAGAGTGAGACTTTATCTCAAAAAAAAAAAAAAAAAGGAGTCACCAAAAATAAAAAATGTCTAGTATAAGACTTCTTGCCAATCACAGTGGGTGGGCCTCAAAGCCAGATTTTATTTGAGAAAAATAAAGGTATATCATCCTTGTGCTTTGAGTACTGTAAAGCAGCCCTTTCTGTTTACTACATTTTCTTTTGTATCTGGCCTCATTCTCAGAATCCTTCAGCTAGATCTTGTCCTTTCTCCCAAAGCCTGTTCTGTGGAGTTCCTTCCTTTACTCAGAATATCCCTTCTACATAGAGTCTGTCTCTACTCCTATCTACCAGGAAAAACGTGAGCTCCTGCAGGACTTCAGGAGTTCCTCATCCTTCCTGCAGGAAATATCATCTTTATGGGTGGTCAGTTTGCATTACTTGAAACCCTTGCTGAATGTAATGCCTGTATTTCCTCAAAGCAAGGATTTTTCTGCAAAGTAAGCCAGAGTTCCCAAACTCTGTTCCACAATACACCAGCTTGATAAGAGGCTCATCATTGTTCCACCAAACTCCTTGTCCGATAAGTTTGGGAAACGAGCATACCAACACCCGCTTTTGGCAAATGAAATGTACAGTAATATATTGAAGCTTGTGAGAAGCTCTATTTAACTTTAACTCAATAATGTCCAGATTTATTTAACTGCAGGATACTTTTCTCATGGCACACTTATTGGCATCACCAGTTCTGCAGGCCCAGTTTGGGAAATGGGTGCAGTGGAAGGAACATTAGACTCACAATGAAAAGAAATATCCTCGTTCACTTGGCTCCCTTGGTGTCCCAGTTCCCTGCCCTTCCTTGGAGCAACGTCTTCCAATTTGCAAAACAAGTGAATAGACCTGATGTTTTCATTCAGACCTGTGACTGGATCTGACTTTTTATTTGACCACGATTAGAAAATTGGAGCCAATGGGGAAATGCTGAGAGTTTATCTAAGAGAAAGGAGACAGCTCTGAATAACGGCGAGAATACATAGATCTGCTTTCAGACCCCAACTCTCTGACCCCTTCCAACTCTGTGACTCCAGGTAAGTGGTAGGTCCTAAGTTGTAAATGGACCCAATAATGTCAACTCTGTAGCAGGCCTTAGGAGAGGATGGCATGAGATTGTGCATTCAAAGCAGCCAACCCATTGCCTGACCCAGAGAAAACATCTGCCACATTATGGCCATAGTGATGAGATCACGCCAAAGAGCCTGGTGACACTTTTTAGAAATTTAGGTATAATTGACTTGAACACCCACCTTTGTTTACATCAGGTCCTCCCCGTCCAAGCCCTTTGTTCCTAGAGTCTGCAGGCTCCAATTTCATCCTACCTGTAATTTCCAGAGTCACAGGGATGCCCTCCCACCTCTGCTCTCAGTTCTGTGTTCCTAGCAGATCCTCATAGAACATCACCCCTTTCCTCCATTTATAGGATCATGAGGGGCAGTGTTTATGTAATAAACTTTATTAAAGATGTAGGGCAAAGGGCAGTGGGGTTGAGGGCATACCTCCAGCCTCCCACTGAGATGGTGAGGTAGCATCCCTCCTAAGGCTTTCCTCAATTCTCTTCCCTCTCTAGATGCCTGCCAGCCCCCAAATCCCAACTTATTTCCTGCAGAGGAGTTTAGCTATCTCTTTGTTTTAAATTCCCACCTGTTCACCTTCTGTGTCCACCCAGGTGTTTTTTGTCTGTTTGTTTTGTTTCTTTGTTTGTTTTTTGAGATGGAGTCTAGCTCTGTTGCCCAGGCTGGAGTGCAGTGGTGCGATCTCGGCTCACTGCAGACTCCGCCTCCCAGGTTCAAGCGATTCTCCTGTCTCAGCCTCCCAAGTAGCTGGGGTTACTACGCGCATCACCACTTCAGGTTAATTTTTGTATTTTTAGTAGAGACGGGGTTTCGCCATGCTGGCAGGCTGGTCTTGAACTCCTGACCTCAGGTGATCCACCGGCCTTGGCCTCCCAAAATGCTGGGATTACAGGCATGAGCCACCAAGGCCGGCCCCACCCAGGTGTTTTGAAACAAAGAGCTTTGTGCTCAGAGGCATGCAAGCCTTTGGGGATGATGCAGCTGCAGTCTGTTATGATTTTAAATATTAGCTTTTCTCTTCTCTGTTCCAATTATAATTGTTACTGAAATATGCCTGGGAGAGATGTGATCTGCTCAGACAAGCATGTTAGAGGATCGTTTTGGAGAAGATGTAGAGGATGGACTGGAGGGGAAATGGTAAGGCCAGAGGCTGAGACACCAGGCAGTGTGGCTTTCCGACTTTCAAATAGACTGGGTAACAGAGGATGGGGACTGAACAGGGCAGGGAAGTGAGGGTGGAAATGGGGGCAGGGGAGCAGGTAGAGAGGGTCTGATCTGAGGGATATTTATGGAATAGGATCAATAGCTTGATGATAAGTTAAATAAAGTTTGGGGAAGTAGGAAGTGAGTGGCAAGGGCCAAGGATGAATCCCAAGTGTTTGGACTGGAAATAGGTGGTAGTGGTGCCATTCTGATGGATAGAAATTAGTAGCAATATTAATGCTAACCCTCTACCCCCTCCTCTTCCTCCTGCTGCGACTACTAATGATTGGGGACATTTCTTGAACATGGACAGATGTCAGACACTCTAATGCATGATTAACATATGTCTTAGTTCATTTTATGCTGTTATAACAGAATACCACAGACTGTGTAAGTTATAATGAACAAAAATGTATTGGCTTATGGTCTGGAGGCTGGGAAGTCGAAGACTGAGGAGCTAACATCTGGCAGGGTCTTCTTGCTATGTCATCCCATAATGGAAGGGCAAAGAGAGGGCAAGAAAGAGACAAGATGTGGCCAAACTTGTCCTTTTATAAGGAACCCACTACTGAGATAATGGCACTAATTGATTCATGAGAATGGTGCCCCCATGACCCAAACACTTCTCATTAGGCCCCACCTTCCATCACTGCTGCATTGGGGATCAAGTTCCCAACATATGGACTTTGGGGACACATTTAAACCATAGCAACATGCATTATGAGATATAATAAGATCACGTAATCCTATAAGAAACTACAGAAGAAGGAGTAACCAGAGATTTAGGAGAAGCATGAGAGTAGTCATGGTGTTCAGAAAAAGAAGTGTGTTAGGGAGGCAGTGGTCAATTGTGCTAAATGCAATGAGGTAAGCCATGAATAGAGGCATGCTCAATGCCTCTGCTGACAAAATGGGCATTGGTGAGGGAGACTCCATGGGAAGCAGAAAGCTGACTGCAAAGGTCACAGAAGAAAGTAGAGGCAAGGAAGTGGAGACCATGAATTCAGAAGATGTTTGATATAGTTTGGCTGTGTCCTCACTCAAATCTTAGCTTGAATTGTAGCTCCCATGATTCTCATATATTGTGGGGTGGATCTTGTGGGAGCTAATTGAATCACAGGGGCAGTTTCCCCCATACTGTTCTCCTGGGAGTGAATAAGTCTCATGAGATCTGATGTTTTTATAAGGGGTTTCCCCTTTCGCTTGGCCCTCATTTTTTCTCTCTTGTCTGCTGCCATGTAAGACTTGCCTTTTGCCTTCCACCATGATCATGAGGTCTTCCCAGACATGTGGAACTGTGAGTTCATTAAACCTCTTTTTCTTCATAAATTACCTAGTCTTGGGTATGTCTTTATCAGCAGTATGAAAACAGAGTAAATACAATGTTTTCAAGAAACTTGATGTAAGAGTGGGGAGAGAAGGAGCAATATCTCCATAGGGATTTAGAGGGATTCTTTTAAGATGAAAAAAATCTAAGCTCTTTCTAAGCCAAAAGGAATGTGCCAAAGTGGCCAGGTCCAAAATGAGGCTGCTCTTATAGAATATAAGAATATGGACAGTTTTCTAAAGAAGAGATACATGCAGCCAAGAAGAATATTTTAAAAAGCTCAATATCACTGATCATTAGAAATATGTAAATCAAAACCACAATGAGATACCATCTCACACACTGTTTAGTAATGGCTATTACTAAAAAGTAAAAAAAAAACAAAACAGATGCTGGTGAGGTTGCAGAGAAAAGGGAACACTTATACACTGTTGGTGGGAGTGTAAATTAGTTCAACCATTGTGGAAAGCAGTATGGCAATTTCTCAAAGAGTTCAAAGCAGAACTACCATTCAACCCAGTAATCCCATTACTGGGCATATGCCCAGAGGAATATAAATCATTCTACCATAAAGACACATGCATGCAAATGTTTATTGCAGCACTATTCACAATAGCAAAGATATGGAGTCAACCTAACTGCCCTCAAAGACAGATTTGATAAAGAAAATGTGGTACATATACACCATGGAATACTATGCAGCCATAAAAAGAATGAGATCATGTCTTTTATGGGAACATGGGTGGAACTGAAGGCCATTACCCTTAGCAAGCTAATACAGCAACAGGAAACCAAATACCACATGTTCTGACTTATAAGTGGGAGCTAAATCATGAGGACTCATGAACACAAAGAAGGGAACAAAAGACACTGGGGCCTCCTTGAAGTGGAGGGCGGGAGAAAGGAAAGGAGCAGCAAAAATAATTTTGGGTAGTAGGTTTAGTATCTTGGTGATGAAATAATCTGTACAACAAACCCCTGTGACACGAGTTTACCTATGTAGCAAATCTGCACATGTACCCCAGAACCTAAAATAAAAGTTAAAAAAATAAAAGAATATAATATAAGATTATAAAAATAAAAGGGGATAGCTGATGGAGCAATGTCCCAAAGAGGCAGGAAGAACTGGGACTGGAAAGCACAGTGTGGTCTGCATGTAGGAGGGACATCTCAGGCAGCTTCATAAACAGAGTCTGTTACAGTGCTGGGGCCAGAGATTGCTGAAGAGGGCAGTCCGGATGGGTTCAGATGTAGACATGGGGTAGGGAAGGAGGAGAAAGAAGTTAAGGAAATTCACATTTTGTTGCTTCTATTCTCTCTGAAATATCAACAAAGGTCATTTCTGGGTGAAAGCACAGAATAGTAGGGTAGAGTTGGAGACTGGATAACAGGGTTGAACATATGTATTTGTTGGTGAGGTGGACAGAAGATAGTATTGACCAGGGCTCTTCAAGTTCTGGGCATTGTTTGGAGTGAAGCCAAAACTGATAAGTGAAGTCTTCGAGGTAACACTAACATATGTGTTGAGCAGTTTGTTTGCAAAAGGAAAGAAGATGGCCTGTGGAATAATTCATATTTGCATGCAAATCCAGAGCAGTGGAAGGAAAAAGGAACAAGCTTGCAGAGGATGTTTAAAGTGACACATTACGGCATCTAGCTTGGATAGTTCCCAAATGAAACCAGAAGGGGCTAAAATAGAATAAGACATTTTTGCTTAAAAATGGCAGATTAAACACAACTTTTATCTCTCCAATTTCCCTAAACTCTACTCAATTGGCAGGAAACGGATTTTTTTAAGGGCATAAGTCAAATGACAAAGGGAATGGGAGCAGAGACAATGGTAACTACATTTTGGAAGCTGAAAGCAGAAGAACAGTGGCAACTGACTTACTTAGCAAAAACATAAGTCAGGAGTTAGAGACACCAGGTATCTCTGAAAGGAGGAATGCAAGAAGGACTAAGGATAGAAGACATAATTATATCTTTGAGAAGCATACAGATGCCCAGCTTCTCTCCCTAGCCCAAACATAAAACATGAAGTCTATGATCTGGAAATGATGAAGCAGAAGTCTTTCAACTGGAGGACATGCCCATAGATAGAAACGGAGGACATCCCCTCGGTTGCAAGAATAATTGCCATGACTCTTTTTGTGCCTTTTTGCTAATAAATATGTGAACATTTGGCAGAATTTAACATTGATCGCCAAGCAAAGTATGGGAAGAGACTTTAATAGCTATAGGTCATGGATATTTGCCAAAATAATCTAAAAGAGGTAAAATGCTCATTATCAATAGATATTGCCTAAAATGGAGAATCAAGCAGCAATATAATCCCATTAATCAGCAATATAGATGAAAAGATCAAAAGAGTCAACTGAAGGAATACAGTGAGAATGGGAGGGGAGGGCAGGAGAGGAGACCAGAAGACTGCTGTCTTTCTAGCATTTCAGATAACTATTTCACTTCTTAAACTATATGTGTATGTATAACTTGGCAAAAATAAAAGTGACATGCAAAGATTGGAATGGTAAATAGAAGGGTCCAGTGGAGCACCACGAAGGGGCCTCTGCCCACTCCATGCACTGAGCAGCCTGGCTGACCTCTTTCCTATGCACTAACTTGGTAAACACCCACATAACTTGTAAGACAGATGCAACATGAAGTATTCATTTATGGCAGACTAATAGCTGAGACATAAAAAACATGTTCACCCTCTCAGCATTCACAAATGGCCTGCTACTAACAAGAATGGCACACTTTCTTAGCTTCTCAGTTCAAAGAAGTTTTGTTCTCTGGTGGATGGGAGACAAAATAGCCTGCAAAGTATGCATAAATTTGGAGAACTGGTTTTCACCCTGTGTGTGTGTGTGTGCATGCACACGCACAGGCACACATATCCCTTTCACCTACATAAAAAGAGCTTTGTGCTGGGGAGGAGAAAGAGGAGACAGAATTATACAAAAAGAATAAATTGACAAGTATTGGAACACTCCCCCCACGACATGAGCTCTGATGTGAAGAGAAAGGGAAGGAGGAAAAAAGGAAACTTTTCCAAGGGAGATGAGGGGTACATAAGAGAAAGGAAGACTTGCAGTCTCAGTTTCCCCCCTGTAGTTGCTCAGATGGGTCCTGCACCGGGGGATGGGAGAGACATCAAATGCCAAGATGTCCACCAAAATCTGAATGACTCAATGTTTGTGAGCCAAGAGGTCCAGGAGAGGATGGAAGAGGTCAGGGAGAGCAAATAGCTTTTATTGCGATAAGCTTCTGGTAAGGGGAAGCAAGAGGAATGGTGGCATGATGCATTTAGATATGAACAGGTCCCAGTTTTTACAGGTCCAAATGTGGCTTGGAGGGCTTCTCTAGCTCATAGTGAGCCAGTAGTTGGCTGGTAGTGAGAGCCAACATGGTCCAGGTCAGGGGAGAGACACCTACCCACTGGGAGGATGAGCTTGGCCTGTCCCCAGAAGTAAGGGAGGAACAAGCCTGACCCCTAGAAGTGAGGGGAGGACAAGACTGAAGACTGTAGGATGGAACAGAATGTGCCACTGACGAGAGCTGTCAGAGCTGTGATCTCTGAGAGCACCATGGGCTGCAGGACATCAGTAGCAAACAACAACTTGGGTCCCTAAAGCATAGGAGACCTAAAAAGGGACCCACTTCTCTCTCCTTGAGGTGACTATGCAATGAGCAAAATTCTTAGATTATATCAAACAAGAGAGAGCAAGAGAGAGGAAGTGAAGACTGAGTTCCAAGTCCAATTTGTCATCCCAAATTTTGCTGAGAAGTCAAGACGTGGCACTGCATGCACCAGGGTCAGGTTATCTTCCAGGGGCCACGCTGGAGTCACCGAATTGGAAATTAAGACAAGCTGAAGAAATTAATAAGTTTCCATTTTGCACACTTGAGTTTTGTAAATGGCTGTAACTGGCTATTATTTCTTTTATACTTGTAATACCTTTTGACTTGAGAGGTCACAGAGGCCTGAAAACCTAGTTGTTGTAATAGTTTAAGAGCTATTGGTTATCGTTCACTGTCATTTACTAAGGGCTAAGTACTTCACACCCAGAACCTCATTTACTTCATAATATGGTTTGGCTGTGTCCCCACCCAAATCTCATCTCAAATTGTAATCTGAATTGTAATCCCCACATGTCGAGGAAGGGACCTGATTCGTGATTGGATCATGGGGGCGGTTTCCCCTATGATGGTCTTGTGGTAGTGAGTGAGTTCTCAAGAGATCTGATGGTTTTATAAGTGTTTGACAGTTCCTCCTTCACACTCGCTCTCTGTCTCTCCTGCCGCCACCTGAAGAAGGTCCTTGCTTCCCATTTGCCTTCTGCCACGATTGTAAGTTTCCTGAGGCCTTCCAGCCATGCAGATGAGTGAGTCAATTAAACCTCTTTTCTTTATAAACTACCCAGTTTTGGGTATGTCTTTATAGCAGTGTGAAAATGGACTAATACGCTTCTCATACACCCAGTGAGGTAGGCCCAATACAGTCTCCATTTTATAGGTGAAGGAGCTAGAGCTTAAGCAGGTAAGTTAACGGACTAACAGAAGCTTAGGTGAAACAACGTGACTAAAGTAGGTAGTAAGTAGCCAAGCCAGAATTCAGACTCAGTCTGCACTGATTCCAAAACCTGTGCCGACTTTAAAGAATGATGTGTCCAAACACTGCTTATCCACAGAGCCTGGTTCCCTAGAAAACAGCAAGTGTCTGGACATCAGGGAATGAGTGCACACATTTGCTTTCTGGAGCATTTGTTAGCAATCCAGAATGGTGCTGTTGAAGCCAGGAAGGTACGGCCAGTGGTATGGAATGGCAGCCAGGTGAAAGCCCTTATGTGCAATTTGGTGCTCAAACCTGTTAACAGTAGCAGTATTAAACCAGAGACCTCTGAAAGCCTTCAAGCTCAAGGCATGCTTTTTCCTGTGATTTTGAAACAGTTGAGGAATTTTCTAACTTTGGAATGTGTTTAACAAATTTCTGTTAAGTGAAGTATTCAGCTCAAGTTCTTTAAACTTGTGCCAAAGATCTGTCAACTTAGATCACAAGGGATCATAACATTCAAAGCTCTCTGTTCTGGCAAGATTCATCAAGCCCTGTTCATTTTCCCTGTTAAATTCTTCCACATCTGTCTTCTCTCTCTTCTTTCCCAGATCCCCACGTCGGCTTTCACCTTTATCACTTCCAGCCTAGCTAGCTGCAACAGGCTCATACCTTCAGCAGGTTCAGATTAAGCTCCACTCTGGGTCAGGAGACAGGCTCATTCTTAAGGACCAGCAAGTCTCCCTTGGGTTCAGTGCAGTGATGTGACCAAGTTCTTGACAAAAACCTGTGAAGGAGGTGATATGGCCACTTCTAGGCCTAGGGCATCAGGCCTGCCTCCTCCGCCTGTCTTCCCTCTTCCAGACTGGCTGGAACCCAGATCTGGTGGTGACCAAGTTTCTATAAAGCAGTTGATGAATTTACCAAGGAGGATAGTGGAGCAATGACTTGGAAGGATCAGGGTCCCTGAATGACCATGAGGAGCAGGTCTCACCTTCTGACTTTTTTATGGGAGAGAAAAAGGAACATCTACATAATTTAAGCAATTGCATTTTGAGAAATCTTTGTTGTAGACACTTACCTTTACCCTAACCATAACAGGAATATTTAATTTAAAAAATAGCATCCCAAAATATTCCTGGTGCTACAATTAAAGTGGAAAAAAACAGTTTAAGCAAGGCAGAAATTAGGAAAATGGAAGAGGAGGTGGCTGCCTGGCAGAGGGTACTTGAACTGAATCTTGAAAGATGAGTGTTCTCAATTAGCTCTATTCATATTTCTCATCTACTCATCATTGTTTTGGTTTGCCATTTTTGTCCATGTTACTTCTTTCAGATATAAACTCTTCTCATTCCTACTTTCTCTCTGAAGGCTTTACTGGGCTAACTATTCAAGATGGCTCACTCATATGGCTAGCAGTGGATACTGCTGTTGGCTGGGAACTCATCTGGTCTTATCAACCAGATGAGAAGAAGGCCTACAGTTGGCCTCCGCATGTGGCTTGGGCTTCTCACAGAGTTATGGCTGGATTCCAGGAATGAATGCCCAAGAGGACCCTGCAAAACTTTATGACTTAGCCTCAAAAGACCTAGAACCTCACTTCCATCACATTTAGTGGTTAAGCAAGTTACTAAGGTTAGCCCAGGGAGAGGAATTAGATGCTACATCTCAATGTGAGGAGCAGCAGTGGATTCAGGGACATAAGGGATTGGCAACAGCCTGCTGGGCGCGGTGGCTCACACCTGTAATCCCAGCACTTTGGGAGGCCGAGGCTGAAGCGGGTGGATCACAAGTTCAGGAGTTAAAGACTAGCCTGGCTGACATGGTGAAACCCTGTCTCTACTAAAAATACAAAAAAATTAGCTGAGCATGGTGGAGCATGCCTGTAATCCCAGTTACTTGGGAGGCTGAGGCAGAAGAATTGCTTGAACTGGGGACCTGGGAGATGGAGGTTGCAGTGAGCTGAGATCATGCCACTGCACTCCAGCCTGGGCTACACAGCGAGACTCCGTCTCAAAAAAAAAAAAAAAAAAAAAAAAAAAAGGAATTGGCAACAGCCATCTTTGGAGACTATCTCACTATACCACATAAGCATGGGGATCTGGAGTTATGATTGGTCCCAAATCGAAGTAGGTGACCGTCTTGCATTTCTTCATCTGCAAATCAGAGACCCAGGGAGATGATGCTTTTCCTCCTCCCTGTGTCAGTGAGAAGATGCCAATGTTATTCTGGGGATGGGAGAGACATCACATGCCAAGATGTCCACCAAAATCTGAATGATTCAATGTTTGTGAGCCCAAAGGACCAGGAGAGGATGAAAGAGGTCATGGAAAGCAAATATCTCTTAACTGGGGATAAAGGTGTCTGCTTATCTTTGTTTCTTCTGACAATCACTCACCACCCATCTTTGCCCACCGAATGTGGAGGTTAAGGTCAAGAATTGGAGCAGAGCTAAAATTGAGAAAGGACGGCATCATGCTAAACTTGGAGAAAGGTTTTCCTTAGCCCCTTTGCCACCTATTCGAGTCAGGCTTAGGACCCAGCATGGCCTCTCTCCTGTGTTGTCTGTGGCTACAGGAAAAGGAGACCATTCTTCCCCAAGCTACTGCTAGCCACATTGGCCTTTGAACCCTATGGTATACTGGATAATGCCCCCCACAAGGTGTCCATGTATTAATCTGCAGAAACTGTGACTATGTTGTTATATGGCAAATAGGAATTAAGTTTGCAGATGGCATTAAGGTCACTAACTAGCCAACTTTAAAATAGGGAGATTATTCTGGATTTTCAGGGCAAGCTGATATAATCAAAAGGTTCCTTAAATGTGAGAGAGAGAAGTAGAAGAAGAGCCAGAGTCAGATAAAAAGATTGACTATGAAAGCAGGGCTGCAGTGATGCAATTGCTAGCCTTTGAAGATGGCAGGGGGTCATGAACCAAAGAATGCAGTGGATTCTAGAAACTGGAAAAACTGCAAGAAAACAGATTTTCCTCTTGAGCCTCCAGAAAGGAATGCAGCCTTCCCCACACCTTGATTTCAGCCCAATGAGACCTATTTTGAACTTCTGAACTACAGATCTGTAAGATACTACATTTATATTATTTTAAGTTGCTCAATTTGTGGTAATTTGTTACAGCAGCAATAGGAAACTAATACAAACCCAAAGGACTTCAGTAAATAAAATGGGAGTCCCATCACTGGGGAGAGTGGGCCCTCACATCTTTTTTTGTTTGTTTGTTTTGTTTTTGTTTTTGTTTTTCTCTCTCCCAGGCTGGAGTGCAGTGTCGCAATCACAATCACGGTTTCATGGCTCACTGCAGCCTCTGCCTCCTGGGCTCAAGCAACCCTTCCACCTCAGCCTGGGACTGTAGTAGCTGGGACTACAGGCATGTGCCACCATGCCTGGCTAATTTTTTGTGTTTTCTGTAGAAATGGGGTTTCACTGTGTTGCCCAGGATGGTCTTAAACTCCTAGGCTCATGTGATCCACCCGCCTCGCCTCCCAAAGTGCTGGGATTACACGCATGAGCCACCGTGCCAGGCCCCTTAGATCTGTTTTGACAGATAACATTCAAGTGCAGGAAATATGTTCTCAGTACCAGTCAGGATGGCTGGAATGAGAGGCAGAGGAGCAGAAGCTGATAGCAGGCCAGGCTGTTCTGCCTAGGAAAGCACAGAAGAGAGGAGAGGAATGTGAAGAGAGAGCGCCAGTGGCCAGAGGAGGGAATCGAGTGTGTTTTATGAAGCAGAAGACTTCCCCTCTCCACAAGAGGCGGGGCTGGGAGAAACTGCTATGTTGGGTGGCATAAATTTTTCTGTATTGCACCTTTTAGTAAAACATCCAGCGAAAGCTGCCTTAACTCTACAAACTTTTGGAGATGGATTTGTTTGTTCTGAATGGTCTGCTGGGCCAAGTATGGCCTCAGAGCTGCCAGAGTTGCTGATTTAATAAATGTCTCATTTCCTTGACTAAAGAATAGATATTAGGGCAGGTGCGGTGGCTCACGCCTGTAATCCCAGCACTTTGGGAGGCTGAGGCAGGTAAGTCACCTGAGCTCAAGAGTTCGAAACCAGCTGGGCCAACATGGTGAAACCCTGTCTCTTCTAAAAATACAAAAAATTAGCCAGGCATGGTGGTGGGCACCTGTAGTCCCAGCTACTCAGGAGGCTGAGGCAGGAGAACCGCTTGAACCTAGGAGGCGGAGCTTGCAGCGAGCCAAGATTGCGCCATTGCACTCCAGCCTGGGCAACAAAAGTGAAACTCTGTCTCAAAAAAAAAAAGAAAAAGAAAAAAAGAATAGCTACTAAGGCCTGTCTGAGCAGTCCCTGCCCAAAGTCTAAGCAGGAAATTTAGAAAGCCAGAGGGACAGAGCAAGCAGGTGGGCAAAGAGGAATCAGAGAAGTGGTCATGCTACACAGTTCAGTTTGCTTGAAATAAGGAGCAGAGTTATCCCTAATTCCTCAAACCAACAATTTCCAACAACTTAATACTTTGTGCCTTGGGTTTAGAATTCAAAACCCAAAATAAGTTTCTTTACCTCTCAGAACAGTTTCCCCTACCAAGGCTGATTAAAAAGATGATGTTGGTGGCTTTTTTTTTTTTTTTTTCAGAGACAGGGTCTTTCCCTGTCACTCAGGCTGGAGTGCAGTGGTGCAATCATAGCTCACTACAGCCTCAAACCCCTGGGCTTAAGCGATCTTCCTCCCTCAGCCTCCTGAGTAGCTGGGACTATAGGTTCATGCCACCACACCTGGCTATTAAAATGTATATATACATATATATATATATATATATTTGTAAGACCAGGCATGGTGGCTCACACCTCTAATCTCGGCACTTTGGGAGGCCGAGGCGGGTGGATCACCTGAGGTCAAGAGTTTGAGACCAGCCTGGCCAACATGGTGAACCTCCCTCTACTAAAACTATAAAAAATTAGCCAAGCATAGTGGCACATGCCCAGCTACTCAGGAGACTGAGGCAGGAGAATCGCTTTAACCCGAAAGGCAGAGGGTGCAATGAGCTGAGGCCGAGCCACTGCACTTCAGCCTGGGTGACAGAGTGAGACTCCATCTCAAAAAAAGAAAATTTTTTTTTGTAGAGACTGGGATCTTGCTATGTTGCCCAGGCTGGTCTTGAACTCCTGGTCTCAAGTGATCCTCCCGCCTCAGCCTCCCAAAATGCCAGGATTACAGATGTGAGCCTGGCCCAGGTTGGTGGCTTTTAAAATGAATGTTCATTATTCCCTCTGCTCTCTACCTGTCTTTACTGAAGAACACAGGGTGGGGCGGGGGTGGGGCAGGGGAGAAGTGATGCTGTTTCTGCTTCTTCTCAGTTTCCCCACTGTTAGTGACAGAAGACCACCCTCGCCCAGCATGGAGGACTGCAGCTACTGGAGACAGTTCTGGCTTTGTCCTTGATGAGGGGAAAACAAGGCACTGGTCACAAAATGCTGAGGTGGCAAGTGTTCCCGAGGCTGCTCCATCTCAGGGCAGCCCGCTTCAAGGGCTTGTCCACTCAATTAGGTGGTAGGCAGACCCTCAGTCTCAGCTGTCAGATGCTCTGCATGAGATGGAGCTCGATTTCCATCACCCCTCATTTCTCTATGCTTGGCGTCCCCTGCCTTTGGAGATGATTCTTACTTTTAAAAAGCTCAAAACAATCCTAAAAGTTATATAGAACCACGAAAGCCCCAGAATAGCCAAAGCTATCCTGAGCAAAAAGAACAAAACTAGAGGAATCACATTACCTGACTTCACATTATACTACAGCGCTATTGTAACCAAAACAGCATGATACTGGTATAAAAACAGACCAGTGGAACAGAATAGAGAACCCAGAAATAAATCCATACATCTACAGTGAACGAATTTTCCATAAAGATGTCAAGAACATACACTGGGGAAAAGACAGTCCTCAATAAATGATACTGGGAAAACTGGATATCCACATGCAGAAGAATGAAACAAGACCCCTCTGTCTCGCCATATGCAAAAATCAGAAATTACAGGCGTGAGCCACTGTAAGTCAAATCAAATCAAAATAAATTAAAGACTTAAATCTATGACTTCAAACTATGAAACTACTGAAAGAAAACATTGGGAAACTCTCCAGGTCATTGGTCTGGGGAAAGATTTATTAAGTAACACCCCAAAAGCACAGGCAACCAAAGCGAAATATAGACAAATAGGATCCCATAAAGCTGAAAAGCTTCTCCACAGCCAAGGAAACAATTGGCAAGGTGAAGAGACAACCCACAAAATGGGAGAAAATATTTGCAAATTATCCATCTGACAAGAGATTAAAAACTAGAATATATAAGGAGCCCAAACAACTCAATAAAAAAAAATCTAATAATCTAGTTCAAAAATGGGCAAAAGATCTGAATAGATATTACTCAAAAGAAAACATATAAATGGGAAACATGTATATGAAGAGGTGCTTAATATTATTGATCATCAGAGAAATGCAAATCAAAACTACAGTGAGATATCATCTCACCCCAGTAAAAATGGCTTTTATCCAAAAGATAGGCAATAACAAATGCTAGTGAGGATGTGGAGAAAAGGGAAGCCTTGTACACTGTTGGAGGGGATGTAAATTAGTACAGCCACCATGGAGAACAGAATGGGGTTTCCTCAAAAAACTGAAGGCAAAACTGCTACATGATCCAGCAATTCCACTACTGGGTATTTGCCCAGAGGAAATGAAATCAGTATGTCAAAGAGATATCTGCACTCTCATGTTTATTGTAGCACTATTCACAATAGCCAAGATTTGGAAGCAACCTAAGTGCCCATTGGCAAACAAATGGATAAAGAAAATGTTGTGCATATATACAAAGAAGTACTATTCAGTCATAAACAGAATGAGATCCTGTCATTTACAACAACATAGATGGAACTGGAAGACATTATGTTAAGTGAAATAAGCTAGACACAGAAAGAAGAACTTTGTCTGTTCTCAATCATTTGTGGGATCTAATAATTAAAACGATTGAACTCATGGAGATAGAAAACAGAATGATGGATACCAGAGGCCAGGGAGGGCAGTTTTGGCAGTGGGGGGGGTGGGGGGAGGGGAAGTTGGTCTAAGTGGAAATGATTAATGAGTACAAAAATATAGTTAGATAGAATGAATAAGATCTAGTATTTGATAGCTCAACAGAGTGACTACAGTCAACAATAATTTATTGTACATTTAAAAATAACTAAAAGAGTATAATTGGAATGTTTGTAACATAAAGAAATGACAAATGCTTGAGGTGATGGATACCCCATTTACTCTGGTGTGATTATAACTCATTGTATGAGTAATATCCATCCATCCTATATCGAAATATTTCCATCCTGTATCAAAATGTTTCATGTACCCCATAAATATATATGCCTATTTTGTACCCACAAAAATTAAAAATAGGCCAGGCGTGGTGGCTCAACGCCTGTAATCCCAGCACTTTGGGAGGCCGAGGTGGTTGGATCACGAGGTCAGGAAACCGAGACTATCCTGGCTAACACGGTGAAACCCCGTCTCTACTAAAAATACAAAAAATTAGCCGGGCGTGGTGGGGGGCGCCTGTAGTCCCAGCTACTCGGGAGGCTGAGGCAGGACAATGGCGTCAACCTGGGAGGCGGAGCTTGCAGTGAGCGGAGATAGCGCCACTGCACTCCAGCCTGGGCGACAGAGCGAGACTCCGTTTAAAAAAAAAAAAAAAATTATAAAAAAGCCAACAAACAAAAAAACTCAACCCCTAATTTAGACTTAACATTTTTAGCTAATGCTCTCCTCTGCAATTGTTTAGCTGGTTAAAAGATAATACATTTTTGAAATATGAAAAATGTAAGACAAATTACTTCCTTCTTTGTAGTCTTCACACAAAGTAACCTGTGCTCATGAACTCAATTTTCACAAATTTCACAGCTTCCTGAACCACAGCTAGACTCAATTAAAAATATTGTACGTAGATAGGGGAGATGAGGGTTGTGGATTCTTCCCAGCCATCTCTCTATTCTACATCCTCGAATAATTTCTCAAATGCATTATCAAATTCACTGTTTTCATTTCCTTGCCTCTCACATTCATTTGCTAATCCATTCCAATCTGGCTTCCATCCCCCTGCTCATTGCACTGCCTGTCTTAGTTTGTTTTGTGTTGCTATAACAGAATACATGAACTGGGTAATTTATAAAGAAGAGAGATTTATTTTTACAGTTCTGGAGGCTGGGAAGTCCACGGTTCAGGGGCCTGCATCTGGGCCTTCTTGCTGCACATCCCACAGTGGAAGGTAAAGGGTGAACAGAGGGTGAGAACAAGAACAAGAGAGAGGCGAGAGAGAGCCAAACCTGCTTTTACAACAAGCCCACTCCTGGGATAATGACATTAATTCATTCATTCATGAGAACTTTGCTCTCATACCTTTATCACCTCTTAAAAATCCCACCTCTCAACACTGCTCCATTGGGGATCAAGTTTCCAACACATGGCCTTTGGGGGACAGGTTCCAATCATAGCACTGACCATGACTCAGTCACCAAGGACCTGCCTGCTACCATATCTAATGGTTACTTCTCTTTTTTCAGCTTACCTCACTTCTCAGCAGCATTTCATAGAGTTCTTCTAGAATTCTTCTGGCATTCCTCCTACCTCAATGATGGCTGCTCCTCAGCCTCATTTGCTGGTTTCTCCTTCTTACCTGACCTATAAGTATTGATTAGCCCCAGAGCTCAGCTCTGTGCCCTCTCCATTTTTCTGTCTATATTGTCTCCATAAGTGACCTCATCCAAATTTGTATCTCTTGCTCAACTCCTTCTACCCGAGCTCCAGATTTGCCTTCAGGAATGCCTTTGTGACAACTCTACTTGTGTCCTCAATAAGTAGCTCAAGCTTAATATGGTTCAAAGTCAAACGGTTTCCCTTGAATCCTGTTTCTCCTCACTATTCCTCACCTTGATAAATGTACTCTTTGCCATTACTATAACCACATTCAGTCTCTTCCCTTTTGCTCTCCTTCTCTTTCTAATCCATTAGCAAGTCCCATCTTTTCTATCCAGAAAACATATCCTTAATTCCTCCCACTCCCCCACTTCTCCAACTCCATCCTCTCTGTGGAGTGCTTGCCCCTGACTCCCCACTGCACACCACCTAACAACATGCACAGACATATACAGTCATGCACACACCTTCTCCCAGTCTCTCTCCTCACTCCATCTTGATTCTCCATCGCTTTGCCTTTATAGCTTTCATACCATTCTGTAATTGCATTATCTACCTCTTGACTGACTTCTTGACGTTCCCTCTCCCAAAGGCCAGGACTAGGGTGAGTTGAGAATGGCACTTGTCTCAGATGTAAAACTTAAGGGGGTTCCAAAAATACTCAGTAATCAAGATAAGCAAATTTTAATGCAATATACTAAAAAGTCAAAGTGCAAAAAACTTCCTGATGAGCAAACCAAATTCTAAGATCACTTAGTTTTATTTTATTCATACATTCTTCAGTATATATCTCTACAGATAAGAACAACAAAAAAGCAACCACAATTCCATTATTACATCTAATAAAATCAATATAATTCCTGAATATCATTTTACATTTAATTCATTTTCCTTTTCTCCCACCTCAGCCTCCCAAGTAACTGGTACTATAGGCTTGTGCCACCACGATTAAATTCTCTGAGATTTACTAGATTTTATTTATCCCTATATCTCATGACTACGTTTAGAATAAAATTTGTATTGGTGACTAAAAATATGTATTAGCATTCTCTATATATTAGCAGTAAGCCATCTCTCCACCTTCACTTAAACAGACAGACCAGGTGCAGTGGCTTACACCTGTAATCCCAGAACTTTGAGAGGCTGAGGCAGGTGGATCACGAGGTCAGGAGTTCGAGACCAGCCTGGCCAGCATGGTGAAACCCCGTCTCTACTAAAAACAAAAAAATTAGCTGGGCATTGTGGTGCATACCTGTAATTCCAGATACTTGGGAGGCTGAGGCAAGAGAATAGCTTGAAACTGGGAGGTGGAGGTTGCAGTGAGCTGAGACCACGCCACTGCACTCTGCACTCTAGCCTGGGTGACAGTGCAAGACTCTGCCTCAAAACAAAACAAAACAAAACAAAACAAAAACCAAAAACCAAAAACCAAACCAAACAAACAAAAAAACCCAAACAGACAAAAAAAAAAAAAAATCAAAGTAAGTGTTTGTTCTTTGTAATGAACTACCTGGCCTATACACCTCTTGGGTCCATCCCCTACTCAATCTTCATTTTAAAAGGGTTTCTGTGGACTGCAGCTACATAGCCTTCTTAATGCAGAAAACTGAATGTACCTGATGATGCAAATCACAGTATTAGTCTGTAACATAAACTGCCATTCGCTGTTATAGACAGCTCAAGAAAAAGAAAACCTCATGAATCCGGAAACAAAGGCCCCTGCCCTAACCACCCCCATACCCTCCAACAACTGTCAACCCTGTAGATGTTACACTCAAAAAAACAAACAAAAAAAGAAGGGCCAGCATGGTGGCTCACGCCTATAATCCCATCATTTTGGGAGGCCTAGGCTGGTGGATCACTTGAGGTCAGGAGTTCAAGACTGGCCTGGGCAACATGGCGAAACCCTGTCTCTACTAAAAATATAAAAATTAGCCAGGCGTGGTGATACATGCCTGTACTCCCAGCTACTTGGGAGGCTGAGGTACAAGAATTCCTTGAACCCAGGAGGCAGAGGTTGCAATGAGCTGAGATTGTGCCACTGCACTCCAGCCCGGATAACAACACGAGACCCTGTCTCAAAAATAAAATAAGGATTTTAGCAGTTGGACTTCATTCTGTGTCCTCTGAAGAGGACCTGATGGAAAAGAGGTTATTCAAATGGGCCATTTCCAACCCTGTCTATACTTTAGAAACACTAAGGGTTCAAGAGAACTAAACAAAAATTCTATTTCAGGCCCACCCCAGTCCTCACATGCCCCAAGATACTTTTGGACAAACTTCACTTTTATTTGTTTATTTATTTGGCTTAAGGAATTGCAGGAAGTCTTATACTTCCTACTTTTTGGAAAAATAAATGCCATAATTCTAAACTAAGTTTTATTTGGATTGCAGATTTAAGTGTCAAAAAAACAAACTACGGAAGACAAAGGGAAGAAAATAGAAGCAAATATTAATCAAATTTCAGGACAGGAAATATATTTGTAAGCTTTGAAGTGAAAACCAAAAAGAAAGAAAAACAAAAGAAAAAAGGAAGAAACCACAAAAGAAAAGACCGATGAATTTGAGTAAATACAAATTTAAAACTTCTTCACTACAACAAAAACGATGGAAATAAAATAACCAAAATGAAAAAGCAGAGACCAGAATGAGGATGATGAGGTGGAGACACAAGGCTGCTGTTACCACAGACAGAATAGTAACATCTTTGTTACATAAAGAATTTATAAAAATTGGTTTAAGAAATTAAGGCTTGAGTAAGTAAGTAAGCCAGCATCTGTGCTCACAAATTACACAAGTGGAAACATTGTTATAAACAAACGTGGCAAAAGATTAAAGCCTGCTATAATCACATAAATACAAATTAAAACAAAGAAAAAATATGATTTTTGCTCATCAGAATGGCAAAATCTAAAATAATCACTTCTAATCTTGGTGACAATGCAAGGGACAGATAATGATAGACAGTGCTTATTCACCATGCAAATCTTGGAAAGCACTTTGTCAACTTGACTTAAAAGCCATACAAATATTGTTATACTTTGAGCCAGTTATTCCACATCTGGGAATTTATCCTAGGGAAATAATCTAAAAGAAGGAAGAAATTCTTCTTGGTGATGTCACTGAGTGTTACTGATATCTCAGAGGGTTCTTAATGGTCTGGCTGTAGGTCCGCAATGCTTCTAGCAGGTCTGGGATCAGGGAGTGGAGAGCGAGGCAAAATTGGTGCCTGCCTTCCCCAGGAAATCATCCTGCCATTTGGCCTTGTTCAGATGCTTGGAGCTGGCTTATATTTGATCTCTTCGTCTTGTGTAAGCCAGGCCTCATTTGAGTTCTGCAAGCTCTGGGAGGTGGAACGGGTGAGTAGATAATCATCTATCTCTGAACAGACCTCTCACCTTTGGGGAAGATATGTCTCCTCACTCCTTCCCCAGAATTGTGCCTGGGAAGAGACATTAAGTTTTTACAGAATAACTATATGCCCTCCACCTCTCCTAGGCCTCTGGAAACTGTGTGAAGCCATGTGACTGATTCTAGTCAATGAACTGTGAGTGAAAGTGATGGCCTTCACTTCTGGCCTGATGCCTTTAAGAACCAGTATGTCCCTTCATCTTTCTCTTTTCCTGCTCTGAAGGGGTGATCAGATGATGCAATCACACTTCAGAAAAGCCTCCATCAGCCTGGATCTCTGAGACACTGAACTGCAGAGCCCCTCCCAATTCATTTTGGAAATGTGGCACGAGTAAGAAGTAAAGTTCTGTTTTATGTGACAGATTTGGGGGCTGTCTGCTACCAAAGCAAAGCCTGTCCTCTCTTCTCCTGGCTAATACACGCTGTTGAACTGGTGATTCTCTGCAGGGAACATGAGCCTGTGAAGGGACAGAAGGGAGACGTTTTGTGGCATTTGCTCTTGGCTGTCAGAGTCCTCCCAAATTACCCCTCCTTCAGTCTTGGCCTATTCAGAAAATAAAGTTATATTTTTAGAAATATTACTCTTTTACTTAAAAAATGTAAAACACCAGTAGAAAAAGAGATGGGGAGAGAGGGAGGAAGAGAAAAAGGTAGGGAGAGATGGGAAAGAGGTGGAGCTGAGCCAATCAGATTACCACTGTCTTTAAAAGCACCTCTGAAAAGCCCTAGTGAGGCCTGGGATGGTGGCCAAATGGGGCCTTGAGCAAGAAGAGTAAGTGGAGAAAGATCAGAGCAAGGCTGCCAAGGAAGAAAAACAAAAGCAAAACACGCCCTTGTTTCTGAACTTCCCTGGCTGTCCTTCCTGTCCTGGGTTTCATCATTGGTTCAAAAAATATTTCAACAAATATATATATGTGTATATATATGTGTGTGTGTATATATGTGTGTATATATATGTGTGTATATATGTATATATATATGTGTGTTTGTATATATGTGTATATATATGTGTGTGTGTATATATGTGTGTATATATATGTGTGTATATATGTATATATATATGTGTGTTTGTATATATGTGTATATATATGTGTGTGTGTATATATACACATATATACGTATATATATGTGTATATATACGTATATATGTATATATGTGTATATATGTATATATGTATATATATGTGTATATATACATATATAATATATATGTATATATGTGTGTATATATACATATATAATATATATGTATATATGTGTGTATATATACATATATAATATATATGTATATATGTGTGTATATATACATATATAATATATATGTATATATGTGTGTATATATACATATATAATATATAGGTGTATATGTGTGTATATATACATATATAATATATAGGTGTATATGTGTGTATATATACATATATATAATATATATATGTATGTATCTCTCTCCACCTTTTTTCTCTTCCTCCCTCTCTCCCTATCTCTTTTTCTACTGGTGTTTTAAATTTTTTAAATAAAAGAGTAATATATATATTTATATATAATATATATATTATTTATATATATATATATTATATTTGAGATGGAGTCTCACTCTGCTACCCAGGATGGAGTGCAATGGCATGGTCTCAGCTCACTGCAACCTCCGCCTCCCAGGTTCAAGTGATTATCCTGCCTCAGCCTCCCAAGTAGCTGGGACTACAGGAGTGTGCCACCACACCTGGCTAATTTTTGTATTTTTAGTAGAGATGGGGTTTCACTATGTTAGCCAGGCTGGTCTTGAACTCCTGACCTCATGATCCACCTGCCTTGGCCTCCCAAAGTGCTGGGATTACAGGCATGAGCCACTGCGCCTGGCCTCAACAAATATCTATTGAGCATCTGCTATGTGCCAAGCAGGGTCTGATGCTGGAGATTTGGCTTGAACAAAACATAGTACCTGCCCTCATGGACCATACTTTTTAGCGGAGAGACAGAGAGCAAACCAGTCTGTATGTATAATGTGTTATGCTAGAAGGTGGCACACATGTTATGGAGTAAAAGCAGGGAGAGGGGATAGAAGATAGAAGATAGGGTAACTGCAGTTTTTAAAAAGCTTTCAGAGAAGGCCTTCCTGAGAAAGTAATATTGTCTGAGCAAGACCTGCAGAAGGAGAAGGAGCTAGTAATGTGGTTCTCTGGTAACAGTGCCAGGAGTGATAGGAAGCCAGGGTGGCTGGATTGAGTGGACAAGGGAGAGCGTAGTAGGAGATGAGAGCCTAGAGGCGCTGAGGAAGGCAGATCTCTGGAACGACTTTGGCTTTATCAGCACTTTGAGCAAAGATGGGAAGTTATTGGCAGATTTTGAGCGGAGGAGTGATATGAGCTAATTTGTATTTTATTTATTTATTTATTGAGACTGAGTTTCGCTCTATTGCCCAGGCTGGAGTGCAGTGGCGCAATCTCGGCTCACTACAATCTCTGCCTCCTGGGTTCAAGCAATTCTCCTGCCTCAGCCTCTCAAGTAGCTGGGATTACAGGCGCCCACCACCACACCCGGCTATTTTTTGTATTTTTAGTAGAGATGGGGTTTCACCATGTTGGCCAGGCTGGTCTCGAACTCCTGACCTCAGATGATCCACCCACCTTGGCCTCCCAAAGTGCTGGGATTACAGGCGTGAGCCACCACGCCTGACCTAATTTGTATTTTAAAAGAATAACTCTGGTTGCTGAAGAATAGGGTTGCCAGAGCCAGCAAATAAAACTACATGGTGTTGAGTGAAATTTGAATTTCAGATAAATGCATACTTTTTTTAGTATAAGTATAGCCCATGCAATGTTTGTGACATATTTATACTAAAAAGTATTCATTGTTTATCTAAAATGCAAATTTAACTGAGTGTTCTGTATTTTATTGGCAATCTGTACCTGGAAAAAGATTAAGGGAATAAAGGTGAAAGAAGGAAGATCAGCTGGGGATATTGCAATAAACCAGGTGAGAGATGAAGACAGTTCAGACCAGGGAGGTAGACGGAAGGTGGCAAGAAATGGTTGAATTTTGGATATACGAGATCAAGTGTGTAATCACTCTCTCTCTCTCAAGCCTTTTGTGTGAGCCAGTTTGATTCATTTTACCACCAAAAATAGAGGAAAGGGGTGGTGGTCAATGGGGAGGATGTGGGTGTAGGCCTTCTGGCATATGAGAAGTTTGTGGGTTACACCACAAGTTTCATACCGTGTTAGAGAATACTTGAGAATAGAATTAGTCACTCAAAGGTAGAAAAAAGCCCAAGGTCAGGTGACAGTGCAGACAGAGCTCCTCTTCTACTCACTCGGGGACATGGGGATCAGACTCTGGGATGTAGCAGTAAAAACTTTGGCTGTGACACTTTCTTTTTGGTGTCTTCCCCTTTAGCTGGATGCCAGCAGACATCTGCTGGATGGAGGAAGAGTAGGAGAGAGCCTGTTGAGGGAATGTTGACTTGTGACTTGGTCTTTGCATTTAGATCTTTTTTTCTGAGCCAATGTGCTGAAAATTCTTACAGGGCAGAATCAACATCTTATAGGTTGCTGGAATTGAAGAGAGGTAGGAGCTCCTGTAGGAATGTGCTAAGTGCCAGCAGGTGTGTTGCTCACGAGCCAGATTTAGACATTATCACCCCTTTTTCAAGGATGAGAGTTTGGTGCAGAAAGTTCTGGCAACCTTCTCAGGGTTACTTTGGAGAACTTGTTTGAGTTCCCATCATTATCACTTGTCTAAGTCAAACAAACATCCCTTGAGTGCTAAAGACCTGAGAACCTGAAAGGAGAAGATAAGACAGCTGTACAGTTTTTATTCTATGAAGAGTTTAAAACCAAGTGTTTGGTCAAAAGAGACCCACAAAAACATAATCCTTACCAGAAGACTTTCCTCTCTGTATGCCTCCTGCCTCATTCATTCAATTATTTAGCAAAAATGTATTGAGCACCTTTTATATAGCAGGTTCTAGACTAGGCCAAGGATACACTGGTGAGCAAAAGATGGACTGTAAAGTCGAGGTTGGAAGAAAGAGGTAACCAGGTTAAGGATGAGGGATAAGGAAGATGTTCCAGAAGGAAAGCTTGTGCAAATGTCCTGTGGCAGAAGGGAAGGTAGATGATACCAGGGGATGAACAGAGAACAGAAGGGAGACATGGAGATGCCAGAAAGCTATGCGAGAGTGTCTGGCAGGTCATATTAAGGATTTTAATTTTCATCCCAAGTGCAAGGGGATGTTGTGGAAATACTTTAAGTAAGACTATGACAGGACCAGATATACATTTTGAAAAGATAAAATCCAAATATCTTATATAGAAAACCCTAATGATTCCACCAAAAAAACTGTTAGAACTAATAACTAAATTCAGTAAAGTTGCAGGATATAAAAGCAACATATGAAAATCAGTATTATTTTAATACACCAACAATAAACTATCCAAAAAAAAAGAGATATCAAGAAAACAATCTCATTTACAATAGCTACAAAAAATATTTAGGAATCAATTTAATCAAGGAGATAAAACACTTGTACACCAAAAACTATAAAACAATGAAAGAAATTGAAGACACAAATAAATGTAAAGATATCTTGTGTTAATGGATTGGAAGAATTAATATTGTTAAAATGTCCAAAATGATCTATAGATTCAATGCAATCCCTACAAAAATTCCAATGACATTTTTCACAGAAATAGAAAAAAATTTCTAAAATTTGTGTAGAACCACAGAAGACTCCAAATAGCCAAAGTAATCTTGAGCTAAAAGAACAAGGCTGGAAGCATTACACTACCTGACTTCAAAATATACTACAAAGCTATAGTAATCAAAACAGCATGGTATTGGCATACACACAGACACATAGACCAATGGAACAGATTAGAGAGCCTGAAAACAAATCTACACATTTGTGATTAATTGATTTTTGACAAAGATCAAACAATGGGGAAAGGACAGTCTCTTTAGTAAATAGTGTTAGGGCAACTGCGTATCTACAAAGAGAAGAATCTCACACCATATGCAAAAATCAACTCAAAATGGATTAAAGACTTAAATATAAGACATGAAACAGCAAAACTACTGAAGAAAACATACAGGAGGAGCTTCATGACATTGGTCTGGGCAATGATTTTTTGGATATAACTCCAAAGCATAGGCAGCAACAGCAAGAATAGACACATGGGATTCTATCAAACTGAAAAGCTTCTGTACAGCCAAGGAAACAACCAGCAGAGTGAAGAAACAATCTACAGAATGGGAGACAATATTTGCAAACCATACATCTAATAAGAGGTTAATATCCAAAATATGTAAGAAACTCAAATAACTTAGTAAGAAAACAAAGAGCAAGGGATTTGAATAGACATTTCTCAAAAGAAGACATACAAATGACCAATATGTATATGAAAAAAATTCTCAACATCACTAATCATCAGAGAAATGTAAATTAAAACCACCACAATGAGATATCACTTCACACCAGTTAAACTGGCTATTATCAAAAGGACAAAAGATAACAAGGGTTGGGGAGGATGTGGGGTAAAGGGAACACTTGCTCACAGATGGTGGGAATGTAAATTAATGTGGCCATTATGGAAAACAGTATGGAGGTTCCTCAAAACTTAAAAATATAACTACTATCTGATCCAGCAATCCCACTACTGGGTATATATCCAAAGGAAATGAAATCAGTATGCTGGAGAGATATCTGGACTCCCATGTTTATTGCAGCACTATTCACAACAGGCAAAATTTGGAAGCAACCTAAGTGTCCATCAACAGATGAATGGATAAAGAAAAAGTGTTATATATATATATATATATATATATATATATATATATATATATCTCAAAAAAATCATAACCAAATGAAAATAGAAAAAATGACTTTGCTAATATGCAATTTTATTTTATCTTATTTATTTATTTTTTTGAGACAGAGTCTTGCTCGTCTTGCTCTGTAGCCTAGGCTGGAGTGCAGTGGCGTGATCTTTGCTCACTGCAGTCTCCGCCTCCTAGGTTCAAGCAATTCTCCTGTCTCAGCCTTCCGAGTACCTGGGATTACAGGCATGGGCCACCCCACCCGGCTAATTTTTTGTATTTGTAGTAAAGACGGCATTTCACCACACTGGTCTCAAACTTCTGACCTTGTGATCCGCCCGCCTCGGCCTCCCAAAGTGCTGGGATTACAGGCGCGAGCCACCGTGCCCGGCCCCTGCAATTTTAAAAAAATGAAAACAAAAACAGAAAGCCCAGGTGTCTATCACTAGAGGACTGGTTAGACCAATTAGATTATACACATATGGGGAATAGCAGGTATCTGTTCAAAAGAATGAATATAACCTAATAGCACGATCTCTAAGAAATATTGTTTTAAAAATATAAGGTACAGAACAGTGTGTACTGTATACTATCATTTGTGCAGGAAATGCGTGTATATAAATACTCAATTCTCATTATTTGCAGTAGTTATAGTCTAATACTGCTCAAAACACTGAATTAGTGAATACTGAAACATTTGCTCCTGAGAGAAATACAGGGTTAGGTTTCTACGACCCTGTGGTCACAACACTTTTGTAAACCCATCAATACATAACCATGTTCTATGCGTGTATTGTTTATCCAATACATTTAATACATAATATATTATTCATTTAATAAATATTAAAATATATTGTTGATTCATTGACAATATGTTTAAACTCATTGCCAACACTGAACTCATGGCCAGCAGCACCATAACTCATGCCTGAATGAAGCTCATCTAACACATACATTTTCTCCTAAGGCACATCACGGCCTTCTTCTGCTTAGGAATGCTAGACAACATTTCAGCACTATGCTTGGGGACCATTTTAAACAGCAAAATATCAACCAAAGGCACAAAAATGTGAAAAATTGGTGCTAAACAGACCATAGAAAGGATAGTTTTTTATAGTATGAGAGCCGAACCAAGAAGGCAGAGTATTTCCTGGTTAGACCTCAGTTGGTAACATGTACATTGGGTGACTCAAATTTTTTTTCCAGCTCTACACATGTTTGCAAATGGCTATGAGTACTGGTTTTGGGGTTACAAAAAAACTTTAGTGATTAGGCGAATTTGCAAATGCAGAATCTGTGAATAAAGAAGATTAACTTTTTTTTTTCCTGGAAGTAATATTAAACATGACTTGCAAAAATAAAAGTAGTACAAGAATACTTATCAACCCTTTGTCCATATTCACCTATTGTTAACATTTTGCCCCATTTGCTTTCTCTTTTGTGTCCTTCTTCCTCTTCCAGTGTACAAACACACAGACACACACACACACATTTTTTCTTGAACGACATGAGGGTAAGTTATATACATCAGGGCCCTTTACCTCTAAATAAGTCAGTATTTATTTTTAAAAAAGAAAGACACAAACAAACAAACAAAAAGGATAGCCCTTATATAACCATAGTAGACTTATCAATTTCGATAAATTTTTTTTATGTGTCCCCCGCTTCAACTTTGGTAAATTTAACATGGATGCAGTACTTTAATCTACCATTTCCCTTAATTTCAGAACACATCCACAGCCTTTCTTTGTCTTTTGTGATATTGATTACTGATGCTTTCAGATAATACCATTATTCCTCTAACGCATGCTTTAAAAAATAGAATATTTCTTATTTTGGGTTTTTCTGATACTTCCTCATGGTTAGATTCAGGTTATGCATTCTCCCCTGGAATACTACACAGATGATGATATAAAATGTATTTGCTTTAAAACATATGGAGTATCTATGAACAACAAAGAAACTCATAACAGGGATTATCTTTGGGGAAGACAGCTGGGAGCCTGGAGGAGAGAAGAGAGAAGGAGAGCTATTTTTCACTGTGTACCCTTATATACCCATAGAATTGTGGACTGTGTGTGTATAGTACTTACTCAAAAACAAAATTTAAAAAAATTTTGTAAGGTAGGTGAGTCTGGTATTATTGCCCCCATTTTCCACACGGCGCAACAGGCTCCAAGGATAAATGTGAAGCAGGAAGGCCTCCACTCCAGGCCTGTGGCTCCATGGCCAGTGCAAGCCCTGCTGTCACTCAAACTCCTCCTCTGAAATTGGGTGTGTGCAGGTTGCAGTGAGTACTCAGAGGAGGGAAAAGTGAAAGTGGGGGTGTCAGGGAAGGCTTCCTGGGAGAAGAGAGCCTGAACTAACTGTAGAAAGGCGAGAAGTTAGCCAGATGTCCAAGGGTTACAAGAGTAGGGGTGGAATGAGGGAAGCAGGAACAGGAAGAATGATATTTCAGACAGAAAGTGATTTGGATCTGAGGATAGCAGGTGTGCAAATGTGCATGCCCCATTCAGATCTGCCAGGAAGATTAGGATCTTCTTTACCAGCCCCACACTATTGTGTACTGGGGAAGCCAAGGTTTGCCTTGAACAATACACACGTCTTTTCTCCTTTCAGTCTCCTTTCAGACTGAATACTCAGACCTTTTGGAGTTGAACTCCCTCATGTGGCTGCTTTCCATAGACTCAGAAAATTCAGTGTCTCCAAGATCTGTCTTTCTGAGCTCTGTCTGATCTCCCTTCTTCTCCCCAAGATGCCTTCTGTGTATCTGGGTAAATGAGGGCCCTTACTGTATCCCTGAAGTTGGGTGGTGGGTGGGGGGGCCTTCATATACCTGGGTCCTCTGGCCCTTTGCTGTTCCCACTGAAGAGAGGGGCATCTGCTCCTGGCAGTGGACCTGAGAGGTATGACTGTTCCATGTGGCATCCTGCGATAATGTGCTGCCAAGTTGGCTACATCATTTGCAGGGCCCTATGCAAAATAAAAATGTAGAATCTCTCATTCAAAAGGCAGGAAAAAAGTACTACTAAAGAACCTAAAATATAAAACATTTTCCTTTCTTCTGGTTTTTCTCTCTTGATTTGTTGTGGTGTTTTCTTTTTTAGTTGTTGAGATGGAGTCTCGCTCTGTCACCTCCTGGAGGCTGGAGTGCAGTGGCATGATATTGGCTCACTACAACCTCCGCCTCCTGGGTTCAAGCGATTCTCCTGCCTCAGCCTCTCAAGTAGCTGGGATTACAGGTGCTCGCCACCACACCTGGCTAATTTTTGTATTTTTAGAAGAGAGGGGGTTTTATCATGTTGGCCACACTGGTCTCGAACTCCTGACCTCAAGTGATCCACCCACCTCAGCCTCCCAAAGTGCTGGGATTACAGGTGTGAGCCACCGTGCCCGGCCTTTTGTGGTGTTTTCTATTTGCTGTTTAATGTCATTCTAAGTAAAGAAAAAATACAATTTTATATCATTAGTAGGAATTTTACTTACTAAAACCAAGCATGGGCCCTTCTGAGCCTGAGGCCTATGCAGTTGCGCAGGTCCATGAAGCTGGCCCTGTGCACTGGCTCCTCTGCTGGAGCAGCCAAGTCCCTGCAAGTGGGCACTTCTGGCCATCCCTGGGACTCCGCCACTCCACAGGCCCTCTCAGCAACAGAGACAGTTGTCCTTCTGTATCTGTCCTTCCAATTAACACCCAATTTGTAGCTGAAGACTACATATCCCCACTTCTTTTCCAGCTGGGTATTGTCAGCTAAGTTTTAACCAATGGGATACAAGTAGATAAATGTGTACAGTTTCGGGGGGGCGGGGAGGGTCTTTTTTTTTTTTTTTTTTTTTTTGAGATGAAGCCTTGTTCTGTCGCCCAGGCTGGAGTGCGGTGGTGCTATCTCGGCTCACTGCAAGCTCCGCCTCCCGGGTTCACCCCATTCTCCTGCCTCAGCCTCCCCAGTAGCTGGGACTACAAGTGCCTGCCACCACGCCTGGCTAATTTTTTGTATTTTTAGTAGAGACGGTGTTTCACCGTGTTAGCCAGGATGGCCTCGATTCCCTAACCTCGTGATCCACCCTCCTCGGCCTCCCAAAGTGCTGGGATTACAGGTATGAGCCACCACGCCCCGCCGTAGGGTCTTTAATAAGAGGTGGAGAGGGGTGCCTTCCTCTGCTTACCTCTTCCTGGGGGCTGGATGTGGTGGACATGATGGCAGCACCCCAGCAGCCAGCTTGGACCATGTGGACGAAGGCCACACTTAGGAATGGCGGAGAGGAAAGCTCAGACACGCAAGGGTCTCTCACACTTTACCGGCACTGCATGGGCCACCTCCAGGATTTTACATGAGAAAATCCATCATGTGTACGTTCTAAGCCACCATTAAACTGGGTTTTTAGGCTACTATAAAGCCAAACCTAATCATATCTGATAAAGCACCTTTGTGTCCCCTTTGCATGGGACATAGGAAATTCTGGATCCCCCTCAAGCTACTTGGAGGCCATGGGGAGCCAGGAATGTGACCTCTGGCTCAAATATCCTGCTACGCAGCTGCCTCCAAGTGTGGCTGCAGAGCGGATTTCTGTGCCATATCTGAAGTGTCCTCCTGTGGAATTTGTCTTAGACCAGGAGTTGGCAAATTATGGGCTGGCTACCTGTGCTGTAGATAAAAGTGTTAATGGAACACAGCCACGCTCCTTCATTTAGTATTGTATACGGCTGCTTTTGAGCTGTAACAGCAGCATTGGGTAGTTGTGAGATACTTACTATTTGGCCCTTTAAGAAAAAGTTTGCTGGCCGGGCGGGGTGGCTCACACCTGTAATCCCAGCACTTTGCGAGGCCGAGGCGGGCAGATCACGAGGTCAGGAGATCGAGACCATCCTGGCTAACATGGTGAAACCCCATCTCTACTAAAAATACAAAAAATTAGCTGGGCGTGGTGGCGGGCGCCTGTAGTCCCAGCTACTGCGGAGGCTGAGGCAGGAGAATGGCGTGAACCCGGGAGGCGGAGCTTGTAGCGAGCCGAGATCGCGTCACTGCACTCCAGCCTGGGCAACAGACTCGGTCTCAAAAAAAAAAAAAGAAAAAGAAAAAGAAAAGAAAAAGTTTGCTGACTCCCGTCTTAGCAGATTTCCCCATCTAAGAATGCCACTAGCTTCCCCACAACCCATCTAGGCCTGAGGGTCTCATCACCAGCTTCCACCACCTTCATCTCCGCACAATTCTTCAATTCTTCAGGTCTGACTTTCCCAGGACCATGCTGGCAAGTATTGAACAACTGGCTCCTCTATGGGGGGAAAAACAAAAAGCCGTAATGTAAATATTGTGTAAATATTCCGAGTATGGTTAATTTCAAGCTAACAACATGATGTTAGCTTGAAACAACATCATGTTGTTAGCTTGAAATTAACCATAGTAAGAATGGTTGGGAAGCAATGAAGACACTCAGCTCTAAGGAGCAGTAAGACACAGCTCCCATACATCACTAGAGCCACTTACTTTGCATTAGGGCCTGGGTTCTTCTCAATTCTGCATTGAATGGAACCCTAAAATCTAATCAACCAGGCCTGGATTTTGATATGCGTATGTATAGTCTCCAACTTACAATTGTTCTAACTTAGAATTTTTCAACTTTATATGGTGTGAAAGTGACATGTAGGCAGTAGAAATCATACTTTGGATTTTGAATTTTGATATTTTCCAGGGTTAGCAATATGCTGTATGATACTCTCTTGCCATGCTGGGCAGCTGCCAGTCAGCCACATAATCAGCAGAGTAAACAACTGGTACTCTACAGTGTACTGTGTTGCCCAACTGCAGGCTAATGTAAGGGGTCTGAGCACATTTAAGGTAGGCTAGGCTGAGCTATGATGTTCAGCAGGTTCGGTGTATTCAATACTTTTTGACTTATAGTATTTTCAGCTTAGGATGGGTCTATCAGGATGTTAACCCCATCAAAAATTGAGAAGCATCTGTACTAATTGCAGCTAAATGCATTTACAGAATGTAACTCCCTGGCTGGCTGTCAGCACTATTTTTCCCTTTACTTCATCAATGTTTATAATATTTACATTCTGTTCTGTTCCTTTTGTTTTGTCTACAGATTGGGTCTAAGATATTAAACCCCATATAAATAACATTATTGTAACATGCAATTATGATTTTATATTGTATAATTATTTGCTGCAGGATCAAGTAGCATGGCTGCAGCTCTGAAGAAGAAAATGATCTTCAGTTATTAAGTATCTGCAGGCCAAAGGAGAATGTCCCACGTATCAAAATGTAAACTAGTAAACTAGCTCATTTTGTTCCATGTTTATATTTCTTCGCATGCTCAGATTCTATTTCTTAAAAATCTCACTTACTCTTTTTGGAATTACTTTGTTTTAGTGAGACATCTCCTTGAGTAATTTCTTCATATGCAGTGCATGAGTAGTAAATTTTCTGACTCCCTGAATTTCAGAAAATGTCTTTATTTTGTCTTTCCTTTGGGTGGTAATTCAGCTGACTATAGAATTCCAGATTCAAATTAATTTTCTTTCAAAACTTGGAAGATGCCGCTCTTTGTCTCATAGCATCTAATTGGTGTAAAAATCTGATGTCAGGCTGAAACTTATTTATTTATACGTACCTATGTTTTTCTTTCTGGAAGCTTATATGATTTTCTCTTTATTCTTGAAGTTCTGAAATTTTACCCAAGTGCATTTATTTATTTAGAGATGGAGTTTCCCTCTTGCTGCCCAGGCTGGAGTGCAATGGTGCGATCTCGGCTCACCGCAACTTCCATCTCCCGGGTTCAAGTGATTCTCCTGCCTCAGCCTCCTGAGTAGCTAGGATTACAGGCATGCTCCACCACGCCTGGCTAATTTTGTGTTTTTAGTAGAGACAGGGTTTCTCCATGTTGGTCAGGCTGGTCTCGAACTCCCGACCTCAGGTGATCTGCCCACCTTTGCCTCCCAAAATGCTGGGATTACAGGCGTGAGCCATCGCACCCAGCCACCCAAGTGCATTTAAATGTGATATTTCTTTACTCATCCTTATTGCCCTCAGTGGGTCCCTTAAAACAACTCAAACAAAACAAAATACTTATTTGGCTTAGTACCAAAAAATATTTCGAAGCAAACAAAGATGGCTCACAATACCACCAGCCAGATAACTCCAATTAACATTTTTAAAGCATAAAATAAGCCAGGTGTGGTGGCCCATGCCTGCAATCCCACCACTTTGGAAGTCTGAGGTGGAAGGATTGCTTAAGCCCAGGAGTTTGAGACCAGCCTGGGCAATTGAAGGATGAGAATGGGTGGAGAAGAACTTTATTGAACAACAGAACAGCTCTCAGCAGAGGGGGGATGCAGGGGGTAGTCCCCCACCCCCACAGTTAGGTGGTTTCTCTCCCTGTGTGGCTGGGTCCAGGGCTTTTCATGGACTCAGAATGGGGAACGTGTGCTGATTGGTTTGTGAGTATGCAAAAAAGGTTAAAGCAAGGATATCACTCAAGGGTGGGCACAACAGTGTAGAAAACCAATTAGGAAAGGGTAGGTATATGTCAAATAGGTGAAGGGAAGGGATCAATCAGGAAAGCATGTCAAACGGGATGACAGGTTCTCAATCTGGTCTGTGGATTTGACTTGTAGCTTGACTTTCAGGCTTTAAACAGTTGTTTTTGGCTTGGAGGTGGGGTTTTACTGGGGATCCATCCCTATCTGCCTAGGTTCTTGCCTGCCTCCTGCTGCTATCAATTATAGATATCTTGACATACTTTAATGAGTTTATGCAAGGGATGAATTCCTAATAATGACAGTGCTGGAATAAAGAGCAAGGGCATTTTAAATTCTGATTTTTTTTCTCACCAATTTGCCTTGCGCAAACTCAGCACCATTGCATTCTCAGTAACAGATTATCAAAGTGCTGATTCTCCATTTACTTATTAATATTGGGTAATTTCAAGGTTTCAAAGTTTTACCCATCTGGGTAGGTGAAAACATCGGTGTTTTAATATGCATTTTTTTTTTTAGCTGTGTGTGTGGCTTATATTATTCCCTGTGTTTATTGGTCATCAGTGTTGGTATTTGTTTGTTTTTCTTGATTTCCCTATTCATATTCTCACCTTCAATGGATCCTTTTCTCTGATCATCTGTGTCTTTCTTTGCCTTAGGAAAATGTCTTTTGGTTACTTCCTCAGTTGTTTCCTCCCCTCCTGGATCCAGACATCTGGGTCTAGATTTATTTTCATGTTATTTTATTTTATCCTATGTTTTCCATCTCTCAGTCTTTACACTCTGCCTTAAAGGAGATATTTTTCAACATTATCTCCCAGACATTCGGCTCTCTTTTCAAAAATTCTAGATTATTATTTTTGAAAATCAAAGTAGTACATGAGGATTGTTTTATGAGCAAAATATAGCTTATATAGTTTATAGTAAAAATCACACTGTCCCACAATTTCTTATTCCTGTTCCTCTCCCTAAACTTTTTTTTTTCTTTTTTTTTTTTTGAGTTGGAGTCTTGCTCTGTTGCCCAGGCCGGAAAGCAGTGGTGCTATCTTGGCTCACTACACCTCCGCCTCCTTAGTTCAAGCGATTCTCCTGCCTTAGCCTCCCAAGTAGCTGGGACCACATGCGTGTGCCACCACACCTGGCTAATTTTTGTATTTTTAGTAGAGACGGGGTTTTACCATGTTGGCCAGGCTAGTCTCAAACTCCTGACCCCAGGTGATCCACCTGTCTCAGTCTCCCAAAGTGCTGGGATTACAGGCGTGAGCCACTGTGCCCAGCCTCCCTAAACTTTTAAACTGTTATTTTCCTGGTACTTACTGCCGTACTTCTCAACTCTAGATGTTATCTTTTGATTTCCTATCATTGGAAGACAAAGATTCAGTGATAACACCACCACCATGTCCCTACTATCATTTTCTGCATCCTGCTATGATAGTTATGTCCCAACTTTTTGTTAAATTGTTACTATTTTTTGGATAAACATGTGAGCTCAATTCATGGTTGAGTCCAAAAGTCCATTATGATTATGTCTCCCTTTATTTTTTCCTGGAGTTAATAGTTGTTTGTTTATTTATTGATTTGTCGCTTAGTTTTTATGTACCTTCTAAACCCTCCTAATGGAAGTGAAAAACACTTTTGAATTTGGAAGAGCCCTTGTCCGTGAACTGGCTCCTTCCTTTGTTTCTCTCCTTCTTGAGGTACAAGGACAGAGCCAAGAAAGACTGATTAGAGTGTTAGGCAGACAAGAGAGTCAGGAAAAGGGTGGAATGTTTCCAGGTGCCTGACAAGGAAAAGGGAAAACAGATCCACAGGGATCTAGGGAGCTGGAGCTTTTGAAATCAGTTGTTTGACCTCAGAATGTCTCTACAGAAACAGCGTTTTCCATGGTGGGTGGTTCCCAGCTCGTCTCCTACTCCAACTCACTCCCAAGCTGAACAGCTGTACAGGACCTTTCCAGAAAAGTTGTAAGACTGGGCCGGGTGCGGAGGATCATGCCTGTAATCCCAGCACTTTGGGAAGCCAAGGCGGGCAGATTGCCTGAGATCAGGAGTTCGAGACCAGCCTGGCCAATGTGGTGAAACCCCATCTTTACTAAAAATACAAAAATTAACTGGGCGTAGTGGCATGCACCTGTAGTGCCAGCTACTCGGAAGGCTGAGGCAGGAGACTCTCTTGAACCCGGGAGGTGAATGTTGCAATGAGCGGAGATCACGCCACTGCACTCCAGCCTGGGTGACAGAATAAGACTCAAAAAAAGACTGTAGCAGTGTTGTTTTCCAAGTTTGCAAGAAAGTAGAAACATTGAAGCAGCAACAATTTTGCATTTACCTTGAATGGCAGTGCTGGAGGCAGAGGGAGTATTAATGTTTTGTGCTTGGTGGAGATAGCAGTGGGCCAAAGACAAGCCCTGCATCCCCCTAGAGGTGAATATGGGTGAGATGGACAGAAGAGAAAAAGAATCCAAGGGGGAAAGGAGATTATGAGAAAGGAGAAGCCTCAACTGGGCAGAAGCCCTTCCCTGACCTTAGTACCCAGCCTTCTCCACCCCTGATTTTGCTAACCCTGCCCAGCACATAGTAGGTGTTTAATAAGTAATATAAGTAATAGGCTCTGTGAGGTCAGGGCACTTCTCAAGGGTGTGAGGATGAATATCCACAAGTCAGAAGTCTGTAATTTAGGGGTGGTTGGGAAGCACAGCAACAAATGTTTCACGTATTTTGATCTTTCAATTCACCTGTGCAGATGCGTAAATTCTTCTGGATTGCGGAAGAACTGATTGTTCCCTAAGGGCCCTGTTTGGGGTTGGCAGATCTTGCGTACCTCTTCTGGGCCACCAGACCCTCTCTTTCTTCATCACCAAACCCAGGAAGGGCTCATATCCCGTTCTGCAGGTGTGGGTAGGAGAAAGCTGGGGGAACACCCAGGGGTTACTAGCTTTTAACAAAACCACATTTTAGTTGGCTGGAATCCTAGTCATGAGCAGGGATGATTACAGAGGGCTCACCTCACACCTTGTCCTGGCTTCAAATGGACTGAGTGGGCCCAAGCATGTTCCAGAGAGCTTAGTGGTGATGCAACTCCCGCAGGCCACCAGAGCACAGAAATCCTTACTCTGCCTGGGCCTGGCTTTGTGTGTTTTCAGTTGTTCTGTCCTGGTGGCTTTGGGGAATACAATTCTTAGTCCTCAGAACACCAGCCTACACTAACTCTGCTGTTTAACACTTGCCTCTGTTTGAATGTTTTGTGATAGTTGTTTGCTAAAGTTTGTTAACCTTGCCTTGCACATATTAGGTGATCAATAAGTAATTGTATGAATTAATAAACTCTGATCCTTTCTCAGGGTCTAGCTCTGCAATATGCCTGGAGAATAAGTGACACTGCTTCCCTGCTGTCACCACTCCTTCCCTCTGCGATGTATGCTGAGCACCTTCCAGAGCGCTCTGCATTTCCATGGGGAGGGTGCTTGTGCACACACACACAGGCTCGTACTCACTACACCTGTCCAGGACGTGTTCACTGCTCCTCCGTGTGTGTTAGCTCAGGAACAGGAGAGTTCCTGTCCACAACCTCTCACTATCTCTCCAGGTCTGTGTCTAGAAAGATGTTTCAGTTGCCTTTCAGTGTCTGCAGGCATCAACATCAAGCGTCATGACCAACATCATAGCAGAGGTCCTGCCTATGTGCTCGCCACTGTTTACTGCTTTTCATTTATCCTTTCATTTGCTTCTAGCAACAACCCTAAAAAGTAGGTCTGATTATCCGATTTTAATGCTGAAGATACTGCGACTCAGAGAAGCTAATTTGCCCAAGATCACACAGATGAGCCCAGATACCACCCCAGGTCTTTGCAACACATCGCTGTATAAATAATTACGCCATTATACTAGAGCATCAAAGCGAGTTCAGCAAATAGTAAAGGAAGGAGCCGGGGTTCTGAGGCACTACATGTTAGGGCCACCAGGGGACGCTGTTTCTCTATACTTGGACCAGGAACGCAGCCACTCCCCTGCAGACCTCAGGAATGCAGCCTGAGTGTGGCCTTGGGAACACAAGGGAGTCCCACAAATTCACACCCAGTAGGGCCCACCCCACCTTGCTTCAGCACAGTCTTCAGCCCACCCTCACCCCCACAACTTGGCAGGGGAGCATGGGGAGGCTGGCGGTTGCAGATACCAAAGTAGAAGTCTGAATTGGAACATGTGATTCTTCTGCTCTGTCAGAAATTCTTCCAGTTGTGGGGCCTGGCCGCCTGATTTTCAGGGAAATGGCTAACTGCTGGGGCGCTTCTGATAGCAGAAAGCTTTTCAGAGATGGGCTCCTGGGGTGAGAGGATCCTGGTTAGGTCAGTGGCCTCCAAATTGGGATATGTAAGATGATCTGTTGGGGGTGCAGGAAGAAAATAACAGAACCTTTATGTGAGTATTTATAATTTTAATCTAAAAATAAGAGCTGATGCGGTGGCATGGGTCTGTAGTCCCAGCTACTTGGGAAGCTGAGATGGGAGGATCGCTTGAGCCCAGGGGTTTGAGGCCAGCCTGGGCAACATAGCGACACCCTGTCTGTAAAATAAGTAAATAAATAAATGACAATGTGACTTCATTTTTTTTTTTTTTTTTTTGAGACAGTCTTACTCTGTCGCCCAGGCTGGAGTGCAGTGGTGCAATCTTGGCTCACTGCAGCCCCCACCTCCCTGGCTCAAGAGATCCTCCCACCTCAGCTTCCCAAGTAGTTGGGACTACAGGCGCCCGCCACCACGCCCAGCTAATTTTAATGTTTTATATTCAGATTGGTGCTGGCTCTGTCACTGGTTTGTATTTCAAATAGTACTGAGTCGGCAAAGTGTGTGTGGTGAACTGAGAGAAGAATGGGGGTGCCCTGACAGGAACAAGCCTCAGCACAGTTGGCTTGCTCCTGCTGGATAGGATTTCTGCTGGATATACCAAACCTAACTAGATAACACATAACTGAACCACAGTCATCCTCACGGAATTGACAAGTAACTTCTAAGGATTCCTATGAAGAGTCCAAGGTTTGATGGTAAAGCGATCAGTATCTGCATGTTCGAACCAGACGAAGATGCCTGAGCTGCCACTTCCACTTTTTGTGGGGACTCTTAGCTGCATTATGACATAAAAATGACATTCTAAACAGACCTTTTAGGGCACTCATCTCCCAAATTTAAACCTGTCAAAATTATTTGAAATTATATCTATTATCACTTACAATGAACCTTGCTGTAATAATAAAAAATCGCTGTGCCTTGATACAGTAATAGCCAGTGACAGCAGCACAGGTACATGGTATGTCAGGGGTGCAGGCCAAACCCTATTTGGGGGTGGAGGCACAGATCAAAAGACCACTGGAGTATGCCGCAGCCAACAGTTCAGCGTTCCTGTCTTTACCATTCTTAGTTTGTTTTGGGCCAAGGGCCTGAGCTGTTAGGTTTGTGAAGACTTGCTGACATTGCTTAAGGGCTAGGCATTGGAACTATGACCCTTGGGGACTTTGGTTTCAATTCCAGTTGAGGCATTTCAAGTCAGGTGGTTTTTGTTTGTTTTTGGTCTACTTTACAAGTGTCCAATTCCTGTAACAGAAAGGAGGGGAGGAAGAGAAAAGGGAGGAGGAAGGGGGTGGGAGCCTTCCACTGCGTGGTGCTCTGTGGCACTCCCTGGAGTGTCGACTTTGTGGGCATTTCCCCATCTTGCACAATGGAGGGGCCTCCCTCTAGATCCCGTTCCTTAAGTTCTTCCTTTCAGGGGCAGATTTAAAAATCTCGTGGGATTTGTCTGAATCTTGACAGAAAGATGGTTCTTATTTATTTTCTTATTCTGAGACAGGGTCTTACTCTGTGAGTGCAGTGGTACAATCACGGCTCATTGCAGCCTTGACCTCCCTGGCTCAGCGATCCACCTCAGCCTTCCAAGTAGCTGGGACCACAGGCATGTGTCACCACGCATGGCTAATTTTTTCTTTCTTTTGTAGAGATGGGGTCTCATTATGTTGCCAAGGCTGTTCTCAAACTCCTGGGCTAAAGCGATCTGCCTGCCTCAGCCTCCCAAAGTGCTGGGATTCCAGATTCGAGATAGTGAAATGAACTTTCTAAGAGGACTTCCTGAGAGCAAATGTAAGGTTGTCTGTATAAGTTCCTGTCAAAGCATCAGGATTCCTTAGGACGATTTTTTAAGCATGTAGAGTCCTGGGCCTCACTTATGGCCTCCCGGCTCAGACTATCAGCTGGCCCAGGAAAAAGAATTTTCACCAAACCCCTCTGCCCATGCCCCACAAACTAGGGATTTTGAGAAACGTTATTCTGTATAATGACATTTTTGAAAACTCTAGTCTTTCAAAGAGTTTATTATTTGAATTAATTTCTCTTAATATGGGATAGGGAAGGCCTGGGGGTCGTTTATTCATTTTAAGCACAAGGATGAAGTGAGACTCCGAAGAGGTCAGCCATTCACCTAAGTGTGCGGGAAAGGTCATGGGAGATGGGGGCTGGTCCTCCCTTGGGGCCAAGCCCTCCCTGCCCAGTTCTGCTGCACACACTGGACACACCTGAGTGTGGGGAGTGCTATGACACTTCACACATCAGTGAGGAGGGCCCTGACTTTAAGCAACTCCAAGAGAAGGGGCTGAATTTCTGAGGCCAATTCATCATCGAAACCAGACCCCTACCTGGGCCCAGTGGGAAATTATAATCCCACTCATCTTCAGAAAGGGACCTTGGAATGGAAGCCTTAAATGCTATTCAGTCCAACCACATGACTGGCAAAATCCGTGGAGGTTCTTTAGCAAAACATCAGCACAATGGCATGTTGGCTGCAGAATACTAAAAAGGACTCTAGGCTGGGCATAGTAGCTCATGCCTGTAGTCCCAGTTACTCAGAGGCTGAAGCAGGAGGATGGCTTGAGCCCGGTGTATGAGGCTGCAGTGAGCCAGGATAGCACCACTGTACTCTAGCTGGGTGATAGAGGAAGACTGTCACCAAAAAAAAAAAAAAAAAAAAAAGGACTCTAGAGGCCAGAAAGTTTCTTCT